>NC_000004.12:58552387-58878793 GCF_000001405.40 Homo sapiens
GCAGGAAAATTCAAAGCTTAAAAGCATTGGTTGTATTTTTGAAGCACTTTTTATATTAATTGTTAGAAAATGCCAAAGTCCCTTGTGGTACACAAGGCAAAACAAGCTGATTAAGAGGCTTAGTATTATTTTTAAATTACTTAATTGCCATTTAATGAAATAGGGAGCTCCAACTTCCACGCTACCTAATAAAATGGTTCCCCTGCAAGGAATGAATTGCTGGTTGCATTGACCTTGCAGAGCAAGCTGGGCTTAGAAAAGCCACATAATACATTTCTACAATGATGGTATAGGGACTGAAAGCCATATTACTGGAAATGTGCATGTTAGCATTTATATCCCTTTTATAATTGCTGAAATGATGGCCAACATACATTAAGAAATGTCTGGGTATTCCACTGGGTGCCCTGACTGCCGTCAAACCACACATATGAACACCTCTTAATTGCCAAAGTAATTTCTAAAGAACTAAAAACACAGTTCATTTGCTTTTCCACCCTGCCCTTGGGAACCTGCAATTTTGCTTCATTACAACCACTCAACCTTTAGCCCTCATCCACTTCAGAAAGGTTTGCAGTGTTTTATGTACAATAAACCAGCATCCTTATGCAGCCATGCACAATTCCATTATGTTTGTTAGCACCACTATTTTTAAGTTTAGAATTAGCTAAGTTCAAAGACAGAAATTTAGTTATATCGATGCATGTTTATAAGATGTGCCTACTTGGAATACAAGTGTGTCCCCTTTCACTTAGTAAGACAACTGCATATTTGGGAAGAAAGACTAAGTTACCATCTGTTTTGTTTACTGCTTTGTCTCATGACACCAATTAGCTGGATAAGAAAAAGGAATTTGAGGAATGCACACTGTATATCAGATTTCCTGTAACTACTCCCAAACACTAATTTGTATGGTAAATTTACTTATCTTTATCCATACCTACACACACATACACCATCATGTATATATGTAGCTATATATGAATATACACATACATACACACAAACCATTAGTAAATTTTAGTAAATTATTAGTGTGTGTGTATATTTATCATACATATAACAATTATATACACATCTTTTGCTTGTGATCAGTTTTTGTATCGTTTTTTATGTTCATCTTATATTTACTTTCTTTCTTCACTTTTCTCACATTATCCACATTGTTTACTTTTTGCTTTTGTCTTGTAGCCTGATATCTGTCACTGTCTAAATCACCTCCTACCTGTATATATTATGTGTCTTACTTGTTGGCGACTGATCAAAATTAACTCCCCTATTCTCGGACACTAGTACCCAGATTTTCCTGTCCTTATCCACTCTTAGTTCATGAACTTCAGGTGAAGGGGACAGTCTCTACAGTTGGCTTCCCACTTTAGCTTGTTTAGTCAATGCAATCCACTGTCATAACTACTGTGATTGCCTCGGGTTGGGTTTGTGACATACAAATGGCCAGTGAAAAGAATCTGGAAAAGCTTGTAGCTCTTCTAGGAAAGACATATTCACTTTCTAAAAATGTGCTAAGCTGGTTGTATTAGTCTTGAATACCGTGTGGTCATCTTTTTCATAGCCTGAGATAAGCATGACTAAGAATGAATACAAAGAGAGATATGAAAACAGATTTTTAATAGTGTGCTTAAATATTTGGATCCAACATGCTTTAGGTTATAGATGTTTCAGTTATATAAGACAACAGTACCTCCTCCCTCCTCTACCCCACAAATGGGGTATTGTTATTATTAAGTCAGTTGGATTTCTCTTACTTGCAATGAAAACTAAATTCTAAGTATAAAATTCTTGATTATTTCCTGTTTCTATACTTATATCCCTTTGGATTTCTATTTGTTGTCTAAAGTATCCTTATTCAACCAATGTTCTATTTTATTTTGTTCAGGCTGCTTCACTTTTTCTCTTTTCTTTCAAGTTTATGTGGCATTACCTTCCCCATTTCCTTTAGTCTTCTGCCCATTACTCTGTTACTAGCTCTATTTTATTTTATTTTTCTGCTGCAGCCAGATCTGATGAAAATTGTTTCTTCTCTAAGATATATTTTCTGACTTATGAGCAGGGTATACAGCTTTAGTAAAGTTGGCATATTTAGAGAAATTCTAGTCACAAAATAGAGAAACTCTATGTTTTCCTTAAACCACTCAAGGGTAACAGCCGTCATTGCTTTCTATCTCCTGTGACATTTTCCTTCAGTATCATTGTCGCCTGATTTTAGCAACTAGCCCATTTCAGAAGTAGTAAAGTCCAAAATCCTTTGGAACCAACAAATTATTCCCAAATATATATGTGAATTCAGTATAATTAGAAGTTTAGGTATATAATGATAATGCATAATAAGCAAATAATAAAATTGTATTTCATAGATTACACACATGAAATATAGAGGAGCTACAGTAACAATATATAATGTGTGGTATTTCTTACATTAGATTGTATCTGTTCACATTCAAAACTCTTAAAAATTTTCTTCCAAAATGTCAATGAAAATGAACTATATTTAAAAATTAAATTAAGTGTAAAATAAAGAATGATAGATAAATGACAATAGACATGTTGTCATCATGTCTATGATTGTCTGTGACAATCAAAATTCATTATCCTTCAAATAGTAGTTGACCTTCCTTTTCTTTTGGTTTTTGGCCCAAAACATTAATTTATATTCAAAGATTGCTTAGAAATAAATAAATAATTATGGCTGATACTGAAAAGTTTCACAGATTTGGGTGATATCCAAAATTACAAATGATGTTTGAGGGTTATGCAACTGCAGTAGATCAAGAAAGTACAATTTGACAAACCTTTCAGAGCTTCTTGTTATGATGTGGGAAGTAAACGTTGAATATGAAATAATCCTATTCCTTAGCTAGAGTCTATTGCAGGAGAAGATTAATCCACATATTGGCATGTAATGGGATTGGCAAAAGTTGTTTTGGGAAGACAAGACTAAGGATATTTCACTATTTCTGACAAAGTTAATGAAAGATGACACAGAAAGAAATTATGTTTAAATAAGAGCAAGAGGATATATCAAATACTGGGTGGAGGTAAAGAATCTATTTCAAGTACATGAACAAGAATATTCAAATAAATGAAAATCTAAAGGCATATTGACAAAGTCTCTCTCTTTGACAAAACTTGGGCAGTCTCCTCTGAGCCCTCTTTTCAAGCAGGCATAAAACAAATAAATAAGTTGTGGTGTTACCAAGAATGAAATATTATGTAGCATGACATGAATGAATCTTGTGTACATTATACTGAGCAAAGCCAAGCCAATACCAAATGATACATATTGTGTGATTCCAGTTATATAAGTTCAAAAATGTTATAAACTATTTTATAGCAATAGCAATCAGAATACAGTTCATGTGGAGTGGACATTGACTAGAAGTGGGATATAGAGGATGTCCTAGACTGACTAAAATATTCTGAATCTTGGTTGAGTTTATGAAAACATTTACATTGGTGAAATTTATTAAATTTTAAATTTAGAATTTGTATATTTAACTGTTTTACTCAATTAAAAATTTAACCAAAAAGTAAATGCAATTAAAATCACAGAAAATGTTATAAACAACCAGATATTTATAAAGTGCGAGAAAAAGACATTTTAACATCTACAAGATGTCAAAAATGTATTTCCATAAACCTTTGTTATAAAGCTTCTTGAAGTTGTGCTCTATCAAATTAAGTGAATATTTCAATACATACTAAGACACAGAATACAGAAAACTGAGACTACAACTCAGATATTAGGTATAGTGAATCCCCAGGGTTATGATAAAAAAGATTCCAGGTCAAAAAGTATGCATCAATATTAGAGAACAGGCAATTCAAATTGGTTGGGTTTACAGTCTTCTAGAGAAATTTCTTTAGGTAAATGAAATGGTAACACCATCAGTAGGAGAGCCAGGAGACTCCAACTACAGAAAATATAATTGACCAGAGGTCCCAGCAGCAGTGTTCAGAAATCTTTAGTTGGATTTACAATTGGGCCACCTCAGGACATTACTTGTTTTTAATATTTTTAAAAAGTATACAGCAGGAATGTATACTAATTATAACTGTATAGCTCAGTGAATAATCACAAAGTGAACACACTCATCTTACTGATAGCATAGTCAAATGCCCCAGCCTCTGCACAATCCCAATATCCTCTCTCCTCTCAAAGTTAACCATTTAACTTCTAACACCACAGAGTGACTCTTTTAGTGTCTTTGAATATCATATAAATGGAATATAGCATTATATTCTGTTTGGTTGTGCTGGCTGCATTAATAGTGTTCTTTCTATTCTCTTGAAGAGCTTAAGATACTTTTTTTTTTACTTCCTTAAATGTAGAGAAGTAAGTGGAGAAGACATCTGGTTCGCAGCAGGATAAAGTTCCAAGTATCCAGGAAGCTTGCTTGATCAAGTAGATCAAGTATATTTTGTTTCCTTTCTTCTTTTCCCTGTTTCATTTCCTCATTCTCCAAAGAGCCTTTTCTGGGATCATCATTTAAATTAACTCTTTGCACTTGAGATCTTGACTCAGCGTCAGTTTTTATGGGAAAACACCCAAGGCAATTTTAGTGGATGTTGTTGGTTCTACCTTCAGATGTTCTTGCATTCCTTCCCCTGGTTCTTTGCCTTCCTCCTCTATTATATGTTTTTTTTCTTTCTATGTCTACACCTGTTTTTCTCCTCAGGGACCTTACTTGGGCTATTAAACATGTTTTTATGGAAGTGTCTTAATAAATCACTTACATAGAAATCTCTCACTACTTACTTTGAGGCCTAAGACAGCAATCTTCTCCATATTTCCCCTACTCAACCATCTCTTCCACTATTTATTATAACTATTATTTGTATGTTTTTAACCAAGTATTCCAAGTTATATAATTTCTCTGATAGCATAGGAAAATAATAATCTATACAATTTTTTTCAGAATGAATTTTTTTGGTTATTTTCCATCTTGATATGGGCCATTCAATCTTTACTTTTGTAGTATTTTTGCATAAAACTTAGTTTAATTCCTATTTAATATTCATTTTTAAAGAGAGCCCATTGTAGATTAATTTATCATATATAGGGTGGGAAAATAGCTAAGAAAATGAAATGGGGCAGTTAACCACTCCAGATTACAAGTTTGTCTTAGAAAATGTCATTCCTGAATCAGGTAGTCATCTTTGAAATGCTTTTATGTGGCTTAACATTAGGATTTAAATAGTTGTTATCCAACTTGCAGAAATGTTCTGTAGGCAAGACATTCTCTTTTTTCGTATGTTTTCATGTTTATGGTCAAAACCTGCAAAACTGATTTATTTTCCTCTTTCCATGTTTCTTGCCTTTCAAAGAGTATATGATTTTTTTCTTAACTGAGATCAATATTTTTTAAAATAATTAAATATGAGAATAACATTACCTCTACTTATTTATTTATGATGGAGTCTCGCTCTCTTGCCAGGCTGGAGTGCAGTGGTGAGATCTTGGCTCACTGCAATCTCTGCCTCTTAGGTTCAAGTGATTCTCCTGCCTCAGTCTCCCGAGTAGCTGGGACTACAAGTGTGCGCCACCACACCCAGCTAATTTTTGTATTTTTGGAGATGGGGTTTCACCATGTTGGCCAGTATGGTCTCCATCTCTTGACCGCGTGATCCGCCCACCTCGGCCTCCCAAAGTGCTGAGATTACAGGCATGAGCCACCATGCCCGGCCCATTACCTCTATTTAAAGAATAATTTAAATTCTGTTTAATCCTATGTAAATGCCAAGTTTAGAATCATAAAGTAACTCCTAGTGTTCCCCATTTTTCATATTCTCTGATTTATCTAAAATTTTACAATGAAATCTTACTTTGGTCATCAGCTAAAACTGGATTATCATTCTTTGTTTTAAGAAAATAATAGGATAATTTTTAGGTCTCTGTGTTTATGATTTCTAAAATTCAACTTTATAAAAATATGTTAGTGTAGCAAGAGCTAAGTTAAAGCTACGAAGTTTCTCTACTTTTATGAAGTTACAGTTTAAAAGTTAAAAAATGTTTTTTTTAAAGAAATTTTATGAGAAGCTCAAGATTTAGATAATTACAAATTTCTAGGTGTTTGGGAAAAAAAATGTAATTTCCACTAACCTACTTAAACGCACTCTATGGAAGTTTATTCAAATGGGAAATTCAGATAAATATATTATACAAGGACATAGCTTGAGGTGACTTAGAATAATGACAATGAAATTATCATCATTAAACTCTGTCACACCTGAATTAATAGCAAAGCAGTGATAGTTCTAAGGTAGTCTATTTAATTCTAAATGCCGCTTTTTAAACTGCCTACTTTGATAAGACTTCTTTCAAACAATAGAATTTGTTTAAAGGAGCATAAGTAGTGGCTAGTCCAACCAATTGATATTACAAATGACAAATTGTAGCAGGAAAGGCCCAGTCTTGTTCACTGTCATACAATATATAATTTCCAGGGTTAAATTTAGAGTCCACATTTGGGATTACATACACAGCTTTTTTCTTTTATTACAAACTTAGGTTTATTTGGAAGTCTTGCTATGTTGTTCCTGATTATTCACTCTAAAAAAATTGTAGGATTGAATTTTGGATTAAAATATATGTAAAGCTAATGAATAAGTGTTTTTGGACATTTTAAATGTACACAGGAATTTCTGAGAAAAAAATACTGACAATAATTTAAATCAGTTATTTTTTGGAATAACTATATGACTTAGGCCAGGAAATCTGACATGAGGAAATAATAAATAAGTGACCTTAGCTTCTACCTATAATTTATCAGATTTCAATCAACCTCTTCTCATTATTTTGAGGAGAAGTATAATCAGATTAAAGAAAAAAAAACTGTGGTGTCAACAATTATGTTAACATCTAGTACTAGATTTTGGGTTCCATATTCATATCTGATGTTAAGGATGGAAAATTATATGCATCTGTCATAGCATCTGTTGTAAAAAGTTATTTGCCAAATTCCAAATTATTTGCAAGAAGGCAATAAGGAAATTCCAATTTACGTAAATAATTATGCATACGTTGTTCCTGAAGTATAATACTAGAATGTGAAGAAAGAGAAAAAATGTTTTTTTTTTTGGTTGGTTGTTTGTTTTTGCGTCTCACTCTGTTGGCTAGGCTGGAGTGCAGTGGCACGACCTGGGCTCACTGCAACCTTCGTTCCCCCGAGCTCAAGCAGTTCTTCTGCCTCAGCCTCCTGAGTAGCTGGGATTACAGGCATGCACCACGCCCGGCTAATTTTTGTATTTTTAGTAGAGACGGGGTTTCACCATGTTGGCTAGGCTGGTCTTGAACTCTTGACCTCAGTTAATCCACCCTCCTTGACCTCCCAAAGTGCTGGGATTACAGGTGTGAGCCACTGCGCCCCACCAAAAAAAGTGTTTTTTAAAAAGCAAATTACAAAATGGGAATACCATTCCAAGCTTTTAGTTGTTTTTGCATAAGAATTAGCAAAAGAAAAAAAAAGGTATGAAATTTTGTTGTTGTTATGTTGTTGTTTTAATGCCCATTGAGGGCTCCTGAAGCAAATTCAGGCCTCAGATAGGCTGGGCATTAGCAATGGCTTAGCATTTCATCCAATTATACTTCCCAAAGGTGATCTCAGTTGAAGCATAACTTTCTCAGATTTTGTTCTCAATTTGAACCTAAGAAAATGGTATAATATTTTAAGGAAAAAGATCTTACATCTGTCATGTATATATAAAATAGTGAGAATCTAATCAAGATCTTGCTATCAAATAGTAACAAGAATAAAAATATAGTATCACTTTTTTTTAACTTGTTACTCTTACTTGAGACATTTAAGAAAAAATTAGACTTTTTTTTATGTGGGGAAGTGGTGGGTAGTTGGAGAATGAATTAAAAAAAAAAAAAAAGAAAAAACTAAATTACTCTGGATGACAAAGGGACAGGAGTGGCCAGAGGGGTTTTTAATGCAATGATACATGTGAATGTTTTTAGTCACTTTAAATTATGTCCAGCATCAGAAAGAAATGGCAAAATCTATTGACTACCAAACTTGTCAATTTTGGGCTACCAGAAACAATATTTCTGAATTCTCTAAGAATTCTTAAGGAGAAAGAATTGGTTGCATCTAGTCAGTGTTGAAATGCTGTTTACTGTTGTAACACTATAATAAACAGTATTTTAAAAAGCTACATTTCAACAGATGTCAAATTCTTGCTCCCATTATAAGAATAAGCCTATTTTGAAGTCCAATTATAGATATTGTTGGAGAACTTCTGGGTGCTGCCTAATTCCGAGCCTCGACATTCTTCCTGTCTCTGAAAGGATACTAAATCCTACATACAGATCCAGCTCTGCTTCCTTCTTAAAATCACTTTCAACCTCAGCCAGAGGCATTTTCAAAGCTGCTGCCTAACCTAGTAATACTCTGAATCATGTTGCTCTTGACTGCAAGTCAGTCTTCATCATGTGGTTTGTCTCTTCAAACACGGTTTCTGTCTTTTTCTCTGAAGACTCTTTGCTAATTTGTTATAGTAACAGGCTTACTAACTTGCTCTGAATACCCAAGTCTCTGTGTTAGTAACCCATGTAAGATCCCATTTCTTTAGGATTCAGTTCCTGTTTTGCTTGGTTTTTCAGTGCCTTTTTTACTCAGAACACATTTGTGGCTGGGATGTAGCTATTCTAATAGTATTCCAGAGCATAAGGATTTCAGAGTGTGCCTCAGGGCTGGAAGTATGGAGAAGTCCCATGCTTGGAACTTCAGAATGCCCACACCCTACTTCATTTATTACAAATTTACTTAATTCATTATATATGTTAGGAACTATTCTAGAAAGTACATTCATTCAAAATAGTTGCATTTTTAAATTCTGTAGTTTCACTATTTAAAAATATTTTCAAAATCATTGTGAGAGTATAAAATGCTAATATTTCAAATTAGTAAGAAAAGGAGCAGAGATTTTTGTGATTTATGCAGTTTCACACAGCAAATAATGACATCATTTATGAGTTATTCATATGTGCCTAACATTGTACTGGGTACTTTAGATGTGATCATTCTTTTCATCTTCTCAATGAATGAATTGGGTTAGTACAATTATCATTCCCATTATAAATATGAGGAAAAGCAGCACGTCTATTAGGTGATGTATCCAGGCTTTGCATTCTGGAATTTGCCTCCACCTCCTTCAGAAGTCTTTTACCGTTGTGTTAGAAACTCTGACTCCTGATTCAGAGACATTTTTATGGTCACCAACTCTTCCTGCCTACTCTAATTATTGTTTTGCATTAGAAATATTCCCAAAGTTTATTTCTCAAAAATTAAATTATTCATTAAATTATTTACATATCCTTGCTTGAGTAAATATTTATGGCCTAAATGTCACTATCAACAGAGACTCATTGTTTCTTCTTAAATCATTCTGCAAATGATTGTACAAATCTTCTGCAAGTTAAGAGACTTCAATCTTCATGCGTAATTTTGTTAGAGATGAATTATAGCTGAATTTAATAAAACATTTTTGACATGTTAGGTTATTAAATCTTACTTGGAAATGCTTAAATTGATTTTCACATGATCCCTATTTCATAGACTAGAGGAGATTGAATGGTATTGAAATACATATATATGTATAAATACATACAGTATTGATTTCTCTTTATTGGATTCCATCAAAATATATTTAACAAGAATTTTTGTAAAGTAAATTAAGTTTCCAAATGAATTCCATCATAAAATTAGAGACACAATCTTTTGGAATAATGTTTCCAAAAGAGCAAGTGAAAAACAGTTATTTCAAAAAGTAATTTTTATTAGAGACATTTCATGGCATAATCACAGCTACTGGAGATGTATTAGTACCCTTCGAGACACGTGTAACAAAAGACTCTGAGCTCCCAGAACATGCCTTTCTTTTCCTTCTGTCTATGTTCAATTTAGAAGAGCCTGGAACCAATAGATGTCAGTTAATCCACTATAGAAGATATGCTTTACTGATAATATCATAAAATTATGTCTGAGATAAAGGTAAATATTAGTAGAGAAATATATGTAGAGGAGATAAAAAGGTTTAGTGTCCAAGTGTTTGCTGAAAATGATAAAGGAAACATTTTAGTTTATATCTTCAAATACACATACACATTTTAATAGTTCACTTATGTCTAGTGTTAAAGGGAAAGAAGCCATTAACACATGTAGATTTTTGAGATATTTAAAATGTAATTTATAGAACTATGTAATAAACCCAGACAAGAATTACAGTAACAGGATTGAGAGTTAATATAGCTCTAGTTTATTAAATTAAGATTACATCCATTTTATTTTGTTCATTCACAGGATTACATTTTATAGAAATATTTAGAGATAAGAGCTCATCAAAGTGATAATGTTTGGAGTGAGATCTGAAAACCATTCACATTTTAAGAATCACTAAAAAAGGAGAAAGTACTGATATCTGTTTTCAAATAAGTGAATGCCCATCACATAAAACAAACAAACAAAAAAGACAATAAAAGTTGACCAAGTCCTAAGAGTTGAAAGTATAGTAGATATTCGGTCACTTTAAGAAGCAATTTTCTAATGATTATAATTGCTCCTAAATGAATCCTTGTGTTACAAGTTTAACCAGAGGACAGAAAACATTTTTTATTACAGACCATTTTCCTTTAGAGAAACTCCATACCACTTTTTAGTAAGTTTTGTTTTCAAGTAGGGATATATATATTGGAGAAAATTTAGAAAGGACTAAAGTTTAAATAATATGTAAATTTAACATGAGTTCCAGGACACAAATAATAAAGAAATCTTTACTTATACCCAGAGTTGAAGATGATGGTGTTTGAAATAGCTCAAAATGCTAAAGAAAACTTAGTAGGTTGGAGAAGATTCCTGGAGACTTGATGTATAAGGAAGGGATAAATATACCAAAAATAGCTGAGAGAGTGTGCAAGGCAGAAGAAGCAGAATAAATAAATATATGAGAGATAAACACATGGAGAATTGAGGGAATGCATGGTATGAGGAAGATCAAAATGTGAGACAAATCCAAACTTTGAAGAGTTTGTTTCCTGGCTAAAGTACACACCTATGGATGGTTTTTGATACTCAACCAATGGCAATTAAAAAGGCCTTACCTGGCAAGCCGGATGAGAAAAGCTGCCCTCTCCACATATGACTTGGGGCATAGCCAGTGTGTCGCAGTCTCTGAGGTGAGTTGCAGTCAAGGTTTCAGGTTGGGCCTGGCACAGTGACTCACACCTGTAGTCACAGCACTTTGGGAGATTGAGATGGGAGGATCACTTGAAGCCAGGAGTTCGAGACCAGCCCAAGTAACATAGTGAGATCCTGGATGCAAAAACAAATAAATATATAAAAATTAGCCATGTGCTGTGGCACATGCCTCCCAGCTACTCAGGAAGTACTGAATAACTATAGGCAATTATAACACAATAATATTTGTGTATCTAAAAGTATTCAAACATAGAAAAGGTACAGTAAAAATACAATATAAAAGATAAATAACGGTACACAGGTACAGAGCGCTCACCATGAATGGAGCTTGCAGGACTGGAAGTTGTTCTGGGTGAGTCAGTGAGTGAAGAATTTGGAGGCCTAAGACATTATAGTACACTACTGTAGGCTTTATCCATTCTTATTCTTTATTATTCTTAGGCTTCACTTTATTTTTTAAAAATATTCTTTCTTCAATAATAAATTAATCTTATTTACTATACCATTTTTACTTTATAAACTTTTAAATTTGTTTAACTTTTCTGATTCATTTGTAATAACACTTCTTAAAACACAAACACATTGTACAGTGGTCCAAAAGTATTCTTTCTTTACATTCTTATTTTATAATTTTTTTCTATCTTTAAAGTTTATTTTTGTTTTTACTTTTTAAACTTTTTGTTAAAAATGAAGACACAAACACAAACATTAACTTAGGCCTACACAGTGTCAGGATCACCAATATCACTGTCTTCCACCCTCCATATCTTGACCCACTGGAGGGTCTTCAGGAGCAGTAACTGGTGTGGAGCTGTCATCTCCTATGATAACAACACCTTCTTCTGGAATACCCGCGAAAGATCAGCCTGAGGCTGTTTTACAGTAACTTTTTTTTTTCTAAGTAGAAGTATAACTCTAAAAACAACAATTAAAATCATAGTATAGTAAATACATAAGCCAATAACCTAGTCATTTATTATCATTATCAGGTATCATAATTGTGTGTACTATATTTTCATATGACTCACAGTAGGTTTGTTTATACCAGCATCACCACAAACATGAGTAATGTGTTGTGCTAAAATTTTATGACAGGGAGAATGTCATTAGGTGACAGGAATTTTTAAGGTTTATTATAATAAGACCACCATCATATACGTGGTCTGTCATTTACCAAAATGTCATTATGTGGTGCGTGACTGTACTATCACATCACAGTCAATATTGAAATCTTGACTGTTACTTTCATTTTGCCTTGTTATCTTGATTGCCTACTATGACACCTGGCAGCTCAGCTCTCTCCAGCTGAGCTTGTCAGCTCCTGACAAAAGGAAGAAACTTGTGACAGTAAATTTTAAGTGTCAGGTGGACTGGATTACAGGATATCCAGATAGCTGATAAAGCATTATTTCTGAGTATGCCTGTGAGGGTGTCAGTGGCCTGAATAAGGAAGATCTGCCCTCACCCAATGGGAGCAGGTATCATCCAATCAGCTGAGCGCCTGGATACAATAAAAAGGCAGAGACAATGTGAAATAGTTTGCTCTCTGTCTTCCGGAGCTGGGATACCATTTTTCTCTGCCCTTGGATGTTAGAACTCAGTGTTCTCCAGACTTCGGATTCTGGAACTTGCACCAGCAATCCGTCAGGTTCTCAGGCCTCTGACCTCATACTGAGAGTTACTCTGTAAGCTCCCTTGGTTCTGATGCCTTTGGACTTTGATTAATAGTTACACCACCAGTTTCACTGCAAGTTTCTCCAGCTTGCAGATGGCCTATTGTGGAAATTTTCAGCCTTTATAATCATCAGATGAGTCAACTCACTTAATAAATCTTCTATCTATCATCTATCTATCTATTCATCTATTGTTTCTGTCTGTCTCTGGGGAACTCTGATTAATACAGAACTGATAAATAAGAATCTAGAAAGTGTGGAGTTCTGATTGAAAATAATCCTGTGAGTAATAACGGGTGTCAATACTCTAGGCTCAGGCAGAAGTTATGGGAATGCCAGATGGATTTATTAGCTGTCTAGGAGGCAGATTCTGTATGATTTGTCCACTGATGATGTGAGGGCATGTTAAGTCATGAAGAATCATCAAGATTGACGTTTTGATTTATTTCTGGGGAGATTTGGTGGCTTTTGTTTTTCACTCACATACTAAGTAGAATCAGAGATGAATGCGAGAGAGGGGAGAAAGATAGAGAGAGATAGGATGGGGGAAAGAGAAATAGGCTAGCTATTTAGAATAATCAGGGAGATTTTAGAAATAATTTTGATATCTATGGTAATTAAATCATGGCAGTGTTTAATTCAAGGAAAAATGTGTAGAAAGAAAAGAGAAATAAGAAAATAACTCTGGACATACCAATATTTGAGGCCGTGGCCTAAAGTGTACAGCTGGTGAAGTACACTAAAGGTGAAGTGGTAGAAGGAACATTTATTGATTAATTTTTGCCTCATGTAGTTTTAGTCTCACCATATAAGTCTTTCCAGTTCCCCAAGTTCTTTCCTACTTCAGGGTCTGTGAAAAAGTTTATTTCTCTACTTAGAGAATTCTTACTTCCTGTGTCTCCCTACATCTGCTCTGCTATCTGCTATTCACTTACTGGCTTGAATTTAAAAATTTCTTCCTCCCTAAGATGAGTAGAAAAAAATCAGGAGGGTGGAACTAGACAAGCTGTGTTCAAATACCAGCTGTCTCACCTAATAACTCCATGAATTGGAAATCTCTTAACCTCTCTGCACTTCAGCCTCCTCATATGTAAAATACATAATGAGGATTAAATACTGAGAGCATACAGAACCGTGCTGGTCCAGAGCAAGTGCTCAATCAACATTAGCAATTGTTATGTTACTGTGTTGCTCTCTTAGCATCCTGTCCCTTTTCTACAGGAGCTCTGAAAGCTTGTAAGAAGGATCCTGACTGTCTTCTCACTTCTGTGTCTCCAGGGCTTAGCACAGAGTGGGCACTTAGTAAATGTGGCCCTTTGGGTGTTTTTTTCTTTAGTTTACACTTGTGCAGGAATCTTCATCAACACTGAAAATGTCAAATGCCCAAAGAATATAGCCCATGAATCTGGTTATACCTGGTTTTATCTGATTAACTCCTTCACTCAAAAAGGACTATAACACATATCTCCAAGCTCAATTATTTTTCTAATGGTTTCCAAGCCCAGAATTTCCCTTTTTTTATACTGCAACATTTCTTCTGATTCATTGGCAGTACTTTCTCCTTTTAGTATAATTTAGCTGAATCTCCTACTGTTCTAGATTGTTGATGTATATTACATCCTCTGGTTTAAGGAATATTTTTTAACAGTGGCTTCCAACTCTTAATTTAATTTCTTCAGAGGCAAATATTACTTTTATTTTTTCTGGAGTGCACTTAATTCTGTTGCATTTATGTATGTAAGTATGTATTTATGTAGTTTGCTAGTTTTCATCTTATTTTTTCTTATTAGTTGTCAGATGTATTGTTATTATAACCTACGTTATCCCTGTCTTTTTCTCTTCTTTTACAGAGACAATATTCTCTTGCATCTCACTTTGGATTATTATGCAGATATTGCATAAGTTTTTTTTTTTGTCTTTTTTAATTGAGTAAGTCATATATAAAGTACAAATTTTTCTCACTTGATGTAGGGTTAGTTACTTCCTTTCTTTTTTCCTTTTTCCTTCCTTCTTTTTTGTTTTGTCTATTTTTTCTTGATTGAAGATTGAGTTATCCAAGCCTACATGACAAATCATGATTTACCTTTATATTTGTTTAAAGATTTCACATATGCCACCATTTTTTGCCACTAAGTCTTAAACTCAGAAAACACTCTGAGACACTTGGATAATTTCTAGATAAAGCTGTTGCTCAATGAATGCCACTTTTAAAATTCAAAATATATTCTAATTTCTGCAGTAGGCCAAAGGAATAATAAGTGTGGGGCCAGAGGCACTTTCTATGGAGTATTGACTAAGAGAACAAGAATGAAATTGAAAGACGGGGAAGCTATCAGTGAAAATACACTGTTCCTGGGCCCGAAACTAACTGGATATATGGATGCAAGCAAAATCTTTGGCCAAGGTAACTTTCTGCCTTTCCTCACACACTCTAGAGACTTGTAGCCCTCTCACAGGTCATTTATCTTCTCAATAATTGTTTCCTTTATGGTGCTATCTCCCCAGCCATATATCTTGATGATGGCAGACAGGTCCAAGTAACCTGATAAATTACAGATAGCAGTCTAGTCAATGAATGGCCTAGACCCCAAAATTTATTTTACCATGCCTGCAATAAAATGACTGATAAATACAAATAAGGAAGCCTAAAACTGTCTTATGACACAAGGGGGAGGTACCAGTTGAGGTACATAATCTGCTGGATGCGAACCAAAACTACATGGTTCACAGGATAGGTGATCACAAATTGGGGGAAAAAAGACAAATCAAATATATATTTTGTAAATAAAAATCATCATATGTACACTTGTTTACATAATGTGAAGACATAACTTAATGACAACACACATTGATTAACCTAAAATGTAGGATTTCATGACCAATAATGCACTAAAATTTTAAAATTAAAAATAAAACCTCTGATCAAATGTATAAATTAACTCCATAAAACAATAAAACAAAGAGCAGAATTAGTCACTAAACAACTATGCAATTTAGCATGTCAGCTAAATGGAGATGTGGGGAATAAACAATGAGCCTGCAACTGAAAACTTTATTTTTATTTTATTATTTTCCTGCGTGGCTTCTATAACTGTTAATTTTTATCACCCTCAAGTCTAGGGCTAATTCACTTCGCCTGAATAACCCCAATTTATTACATATTTAGAACCTGGAAAGGAAGACTATTTTCTTTCTTACAAAATAACGCCATTTAATTGTATCTGGGAACTATCACTGTAAAGCTGCCTGGAAAAGCCTGAACATACGCTGGCCTTCTATTCAAGCATCACTAAGTAGAGTGATCAGTCATAGACTCAGTTCACTTTTGTTCTCCTAACCCAGTTTATATTATTAACTGTCCCACATATCAGTACTAATTCTCTATGCATCACAAGTCTACAGTGGCCACATTTAATGGCTCAGATTGGAAGGACTTGAATTCCATTTAACGTGCATTTATTAAAAATACCAGGCTTTGCTCAAGGGTATATGGGTACCATAATAACACTCTTTTGATATTAGGACTTTTCTAATTCTTGATTGACAAATTATATAGTTCAATGATGCCTTATTCCTTATCCTATTGATAACCATGTAAGATGTGGCCCTCAAGGTATCAGTAATAATAACACTATCTTACTCAGAAAAAAAAAACGGCAATTTGACAAACAATATATACATTTCATAGAAATTTCAGAATTTAGGTCTACATGACTGTATAGATTATCTTAATCTGAGTCAAAATATAATAAAAATCCTAGTATCTGCCACTATAAAATAAGTTAACATAAGATAAGGAGTCCATAAGGCTAGAAAATAAATCCAAAAAAGAACATCCACTATTTTAAATTTAGTAAATATTTACTGAACATCTAATATGAGATCACTTAATGATATCTTCTAAGTACTGAATAGTAGTTTTAAACATTTACTGCCTTCATAGATGTTATATTCAATAGTTCATAAATCAGAGTCAATTTAGACCTTGCAAATGTACCTATGACAATTAGCCTTGAAATCTTATCATCATCAAGGTTTGTATCACTATTTTATTATGTTCATACTGTTGTCAGACCAGTTAGTTATTTGCACATTTATTTTACCTTGCAGAATGGCCTATAGTAGGATTTAGTCAGCCTTTGGAAGCCCAGGCCCATTATGAGATTGGAAATAATAATAGATGCATGTGTCAGTGAATTTGTGGATTTCCTGCCTAAACAAGAACAACTTATTATTATTATTTTTATTTGACTATCACCCTTCACAAGGCTACTTGTCACAGGTTCATTTGCAAGGTCTAAATTGACTCTAATTCATGTAGTATTGACTATAACACCTAAGAGGGCAGTAACTTTTCATAACTACTATTCAGTACTTACAAAAAAGCAGAACAATCTGAAAACCAACAATTCTACTTACATTACTCAGAAAATTGAGGTCACAGGGAAGACCACCATAATGAAAACTGAAAAGAGAAGCAAATACAGATAATCAAAGCTTACTGGGAGCAGAATCTTCTGGTTGAGTCAGCATGGAATTGGAATACATGAAATTTAATTGACCAAGTACCAGAGACTAAGAGTGGACTAGATGAAAAAATAACCCCCCAGGAGGCTGAGCCTTCAGAGAGTCCCCACATTTTTGTGAGCTTTACCTGCAGTATCAAGTTCTCAGAGTGAAGATCAGAGAAAATTCCCCTCATGCTTCCTTCAAGGGGTGGGGAAAAGTTACCATTTGAAATAAACCCAGAACAGTCTATCTCTTTAACAAAATCCTGCTATTTTACCAGAGCTAAGCAATGTGCACTTTACCAAAGCCTAAGCTATGTGTAGAAAAGGAAGTACCCAACGCAAATACCTTCTAGCCTTTAAAGTGGGGAAAGAGAAATACCCAACTCCAATTGCCTCTTAGCTGAGGATTGAGGAGGAGAGTAAGCTGACAAGTACTAATAAATATCACAGCTCAGGCGCACAAGCTCACAGAGCCTAAGACTTAATCATAAAATTATAGAACAGTGCCCGTCCCCATACATCTTACTATTACATCAGTAGGGCTTCTGTATAGTAATAAGGGATTATAGCTGAAAATAACTGCAAGGCTCAGACTTTATAGGAAGGAGTCTCTAGGGAAACCCAAAGCATGGTTTGGCTCTGTGCCCCCACTCAAATCTCATGTAGAATTGTAATTCCCAATGTTGGGGGAGGGACCTTGTGGGTGGTGATTGAATTGTGAGGGCAGATCTCCCTTTTGCTATTCTCATGATTGTGAGTGTGTTCTCATGAGATCTGGCTGTATACAAGTGTGTAGCACTTCCCCCTTTGTGCTTGCTCTCTCTCTGTCTCATTCTCTCTCTCTCACTTCACCATGTGAAGAAGGTACTTGCTTCCCCTTCACCCTTCTATGATTGTTAAGTTTCCTGAGGTCTCCCCAACCATGTTTCCTGTACAGCCTGTGGAACTGTGAGTCAATTAAACCTCTTTTCTTCATAAATTACCCAGTCTCAGATAGTTCTTTCTAGCAGTGTGACAACAGACTAACACTGCACCTTAGGAGGCAAAACAAGGATATCATAGATAATAGTAGCTACTGACACCTACCTCTAGAGGATACTTGGACAATTTCAGGATGCCAAATCTTATTCATTTTTTGCAATTGCCATGTGGGCCTGTATCATTAAAGTTGTATAAAGATTTAGGGTCTTCTGCCTACATACATTTTACAGATATATTTTTGGATTAGGGACATTCAATGATTAATATTTTAAAAAAGTATTTCTATCCCAACTAGGAGCTAATCTGAAATATTACTTGTTTGTATCTCTCTGTGTATGGTGTGTGAATGTATTTTTCCATTGTCGTCATTAGTAAACTGTATGGATTTTAGAAAAAAATTTTGGTCATGATATGGGAAACACCATTACTGAGGCTTCTTTTTCCAAAAACTTATTTTCTAAGCACATACCTATATGTAAATACAATGCTCACTCAAATCACTTATCTGAATTTTTTATTGTAACCTACCATGAAGAAGTGTGTTAATTTTCTGCTGCTGCACAAAAAAAGAATCCAAAACATTGTGGCTTCAAACAACACATAATTATCTCACAGTTTTCAAAACTCAGAAGTCTGAACGGGTCTTAGCTAGGTCCTCTGCAATCAAGGAATCAGCTGGAGCCAGGGTCTCAACTGAGGATTTGGATTCTTTTCCAAGATCACTGACTGTCGACAGAATTTATTTTCCCATAGTTCCTCTCAGATTCTAGTAGCCTTCTGCCTCTCCACTTTATAGGAAGATGCAATTTTCTTTTTCAAGACCAGCAACAGAGTGCCTCCTCAGTCTGTTAATATAGTTTTATATAATATAACATGATAATGGGGGTGGCATTCCATTCCCTTTGCCATGTAATGTAACATAAACAAATAAGTGGTAACCCATCTCCTTTGCAATCTTCTATTAATTAGAAGCAAGTGCTTCTTCCCCTCAAATGAAGGAAATTTAAAGGTCATGAACATGGGATAACCTGAGAGTGTGTCAGGTTGACAGGAAGACAGAGTTGTGCTGAGCCAAGTGAATGACTAGAAAATTAAGAAAAAAATCAAAGCACTTGCATGGATTTTAGCAGAACACAGAGTATCCACAACATACTATCCAATATGTCTAGTTTGCAGTAAATATTTCCTTGAGATATGCATTAAAATATGAAAGTTATATTCAAAATAAAGCACTCAGTTGAAACTAACCTGAGATTAAATTGAACTTGGACTTAACTGACTAAAGAGAAATAAGAGCCAAACGCAATGAGTGACAAAGGAGTTGATTCTGGGCAGGAAAATAAAATAGTTGTAAAGGACATAAATTAGTTGTAAAGGACAACAAATAAAATTTTAATAATGTATTATAGATTACATAATAACACGCTATTAATATTTTTATTTTAATAATTACACTGCAGCTATATAATAGAATTCAATTGTTCTCAGTAACTTAACACTGGAGTACTTAAGATAAAGAAGCATGATATCGTAATTTACTCTCAAATGGCTCAACAAGAAAATTATGTATATCCATATATCTATGTCTCTGTGTCTTTACGTCTCTATCTATCTGTCTATCTGTCTATCTATCTATCTATCTATCTATCTATCTATCTATCTATCTAAAGAAGAGGGCAAGAAAAAGAGAGGAGGGATGATGATAAAGTGAATATGCTAAATTATAGCAACACATGAGTCTTAATTAAGGATACGCAACATTTCCTTATAACATTATTACAATTCCTCTGCAAATTTGAAATTATGTGATTATAAAATTTTATATTTTTAAATATTTGTTATATTTAATTGATATTTAATCTTTTTTTTTTTTTTTTTTTTTTTTTTTTGAGATGGACTTTCACTCTTGTTGCCCAGGCTGGAGTGCAATGGCGCCATCTCAGCTCATTGCAACCTCCGCCTCCTGGGTTCAAGTGATTCTCCTGCCTCAGTCCTCCGAGTAGCAGGGATTACAGGCATGTGCCACCATGCCCGGCTAATTTTGTGTTTTTAGTAGAGACGGGGTTTCTCCATGTTGGTCAGGCTGGTCTGGAACTCCTGACCTCAGGTGATCCACCCTCCTGGACCTCCCAAAGTGCTGAGATTACAGGTATTAGTTAGTCACTGCGCCTGGACAATATTTAATCTTCTATATTTCGCTTTTTAAAAATATATAGTATATAAATTGAAAATTAAAATACATATAATATGGAAAGATGAAACAGAGACTGGAAAAAAAATATTATAAAAGTAAACTCTAGGTGTTGTGATGACAGGTAGTTATTTAGGTTTTTTCCCTTTAATTTTATACAGTTTCTACTATATGCACATGTACATATGCAAAATTGCAAGTTAAAGAACATGTAATGTTGAAATGTTAGTAGACTCAAATTAACATGTGATATTTTTCCTCCTGAAGCTCCTACAATAAAGTTACATTTTCATTTATAGCACAACTATATACTGATAATTTTTTAAAGTGAAAAATAATTCATTGAATTATATTAGCTTCATTATTTTACCAAAAATATGTAAAACTCCTTTGGGTGCCTTGAGTAACTTTAAAAATTTTACCTACAGGGAAAATATTATATTTTATAGTAAATGAAATGAGGAAAATAAATATTTGGAAATAGAGAAAATATAAAATGCATATTTTAATTATATTTACATATCATTTTAAAATTTTCTGGGTATCTCTCATTTTAATTAGAAATTGATAATTTTATATGAATAAAAAACAATAATGAGTTAAAAAGGACATCATGGAAGAAGAGTACATGAGTTTGTATTTTCAAAGAAAAATAGTGGATGAAATTTTGTTAGAAGAAATAATTTAAGTTAATTTTCTAATAATTATATGGAAAATTTCCAAATATTGTAAGTTTCATAGCAAATATCAAGATTACTTTGCAAATATTTTTGTTAGTATAATGTAAAATGTGAAAATGTGGAAAGATTGGCATTAGATCATTTCTGGTTGTCCTGAAACATGGACTTGAATATATATAGTATTGATAGTCTTGAACTAGCTACTTCAAGTGGGCTGTATTTTAGTTTCTGGACCCATGTCAGATTGTATTCAATTAAACTCATTTCAGATTCTTATGCCATATTCCATTTGAGGAAAAGTAGAGATTGTACTTGAAATTGCACCAAAGTCTAAAAGGCAATGTCAGTTTTACACATATCAGTTTTTACTGTCCTTCTTGAAATAAAAGCCATGGCATTATTTTGTCTACCAAGTAAATGCTTACAGACAAGTATGTTTATTAAAGCTAGACTGCCCAAAATCAACAATTCCATGAGTATTGGGGCCTACATAATGCAATGAGAATCATTCTAAATGATTCAATTTAAATTAAAATTATCCCCTAACATGGGATCTATATTTTATTATGTGATTGTGGCTGAAGCAATTGACATTGGAAAAAACCTAGTTAAATTAAGTTATTCAACTCAGAGACATATCCAAAAAGGAAACGAAAGAAAATACTTGAAAACTCTACTCTACCTCACTCTTTAACTCATTCATTTCTCATGAACAAATATGTGTTGACTTTTACTAGGATTTGTAATAGGCTGAATGAAGGCACTTTATGAACAAATCTGTCCTAGAATGAACATTAATCTATGACAATTTTAAATGCTCAAAATTTACAAATATATACATGGATGATTTGATGTGAATAGATAGATATCTCCTGGAATGCTGAAATAATGTGTTAATTATGAAGATAGACTTTTAGTGTATTTCTGTCTAGTGCACAGGACGTATCATGAATCAGTAATGAATGAATTGGTTTTATAATTCTGGGTACAATATGAGAAGAAGGACACTCAGTATTAGAGTTGAATTTTAGATTTAGCAAAAATGAAGTGGCTCATGAATTTGAATAAATCTTCAATGGTCGCAGTACTTTAGAAAATAATCTGCCACCTCACAACTTTAAGTTCACCAGCTGACAGGTCTAAACAAAATAAGGTTTTGTCTAAAAAATGTATTTTCTTATGTTAAATGTTCTTTGATAATTTTTTTGCTTTTATAGAAGCTTAATTTGTTTCACTGTTATTTCATTATTTCAGTGCATAGTTATATTTTAGAAAAACCATATCACTAGTCATTTCAAATTAGAGAACTTCTATATCTAAATATATGTCACCAAAAAAACATTTATGGTTATTTGATATGTTTACAGATTCTATTACATATGCTTCAGTGTTTTCCTTTTTGAAACAAAAAAGCATGGAGCAATATAAAATTTATCTTGCCCACCAAATATTTGTATAATGTACCAAAATAAAATAATGAATAAAAAGATAATTCTGAATATTGAAGCACAGAGGGGTGAAAAGAACCTAACATCTGTTATCAAACTATAGGAAATCATAAATGTGAACATGCTATTATTTCTCAAAAAGAAAAATGTTGAGTATCCACAGTTGATCTTTCTTCTCTCTCTGTCCTATTCCTGCCTTTGTCAGAGAAAACATTCTTTTCTCATATACCCAGTCCCCATTTATCATGAATGTTAGCTATCTTTTATATCTTTTATTCTGCTGACAGGAAAAAATGAAAATATAACTTCTATTAATCTGCAGGCTAACATTACCGATCGTACTTCATATGTAGTAATGATCAGTTTACTGCCTCATAAAACCGAAAATAATTAACTTCTAAAAGTATAGAATGGACAGATGACTCCAGGCAAAATTAAAATGATTTGTGCATATATGGAATATTAAATTACTTCATAAAATATTTAACCATAATTTGTTTAAAAAAAGAAAGAAACTTCAAGGCCAATGTCTTAGCTTGTGTTCCAGCTGGGAAGCAGAACCTGGAATCAATACTAGTATTCAGATAGTTTATTTTGGGACATGACACCAAAGGAAGTGAATTACAAGTATAAAAGAGGCAAGGAGATAAAGGCAATACAAGGCTATACAATTAAGGTGATCTCCACTGTAAACATTTGGCACTTGATGTTCCTGGAACCCCCTGGGTTTTGCTATATAGAAAGAAAATCAAAATTGTCCTTTGAAGGGAGGAAAAAAGTGACCATTTTCCCCCACACCCCATTCCCAGTGGACAAGAGTTGCTCTAGAGTGTTCTAACACTGTCACTTCCAGGTTGTCTAATTCTCCCACGCATCCTGCATAGGTTCATTTGAAAAGTCTTGTAGCAAAAGTGAGGCAATAGGTGTTGTGGCTAAGGAGAGTGAGAGGTCAGAATGCCAGGTTATACCTATATCAATCTGGTTGACTGAGCAATGGCTGCAGGTGCACAAGAATATGTTAGGCAGATACACAACTACTAAAAGAGAACTAAAGTATTGCATTCCTAAATTAGAACTTGGATTTTAATTAAATATAGAGGAATGGTTATATAATTTTAGCCAAGCTCTTTGTTCCTGCCATGGTATTTGATTTGTCATATAGTCTCCCGCAGAATATAAAGTGAATGAAATCTTTTTTTTTTTTTTTTTTTATTATACTCTAAGTTTTAGGGTACATGTGCACATTGTGCAGGTTAGTTACATATGTATACATGTGCCATGCTGGTGCGCTGCACCCACTAATGTGTCATCTAGCATTAGGTATATCTCCCAATGCTATCCCTCCCCCCTCCCCCGAACCCACCACAGTCCCCAGAGTGTGATATTCCCCTTCCTGTGTCCATGTGATCTCATTGTTCAATTCCCACCTATGAGTGAGAATATGCGGTGTTTGGTCTTTTGTTCTTGCGATAGTTTACTGAGAATGATGGTTTCCAATTTCATCCATGTCCCTACAAAGGATATGAACTCATCATTTTTTATGGCTGCATAGTATTCCATGGTGTATATGTGCCACATTTTCTTAATCCAGTCTATCATTGTTGGACATTTGGGTTGGTTCCAAGTCTTTGCTATTGTGAATAGTGCCGCAATAAACATACGTGTGCATGTGTCTTTATAGCAGCATGATTTATAGTCCTTTGGGTATATACCCAGTAATGGGATGGCTGGGTCAAACAGTAATTCTAGTTCTAGATCCCTCAGGAATGGCCACACTGACTTCCACAATGGTTGAACTAGTTTACAGTCCCACCAACAGTGTAAAAGTGTTCCTATTTCTCCACATCCTCTCCAGCACCTGTTGTTTCCTGACTTTTTAATGATTGCCATTCTAACTGGTGTGAGATGATATCTCATAGTGGTTTTGATTTGCATTTCTCTGATGGCCAGTGATGATGAGCATTTCTTCATGTGTTTTTTGGCTGCATAAATGTCTTCTTTTGAGAAGTGTCTGTTCATGTCCTTCGCCCACTTTTTGATGGGGTTGTTTGTTTTTTTCTTGTAAATTTGTTTGAGTTCATTGTAGATTCTGGATATTAGCCCTTTGTCAGATGAGTAGGTTGCGAAAATTTTCTCCCATGTTGTAGGTTGCCTGTTCACTCTCATGGTAGTTTCTTTTGCTGTGCAGAAGCTCTTTAGTTTAATTAGATCCCATTTGTCAATTTTGGCTTTTGTTGCCATTGCTTTTGGTGTTTTGGACATGAAGTCCTTGCCCACGCCTATGTCCTGAATGGTAATGCCTAGGTTTTCTTCTAGGGTTTTTATGGTTTTAGGTCTAACGTTTAAATCTTTAATCCATCTTGAATTGATTTTTGTATAAGGTGTAAGGAAGGGATCCAGTTTCAGCTTTCTACATATGGCTAGCCAGTTTTCCCAGCACCATTTATTAAATAGGGAATCCTTTCCCCATTGCTTGTTTTTCTCAGGTTTGTCAAAGATCAGATAGTTGTAGATATGCAGCATTATTTCTGAGGGCTGTTCCATTGATCTATATCTCTGTTTTGGTACCAGTACCATGCTGTTTTGGTTACTGTAGCCTTGTAGTATAGTTTGAAGTCAGGTAGTGTGATGCCTCCAGCTTTGTTCTTTTGGCTTAGGATTGACTTGGCAATGCGGGCTCTTTTTTGGTTCCATATGAACTTTAAAGTAGTTTTTTCCAATTCTGTGAAGAAAGTCAGACGACATGATTGTTTATCTAGAAAACCCCATCGTCTCAGCCCAAAATCTCCTTAAGCTGATAAGCAACTTCAGCAAAGTCTCAGGATACAAAATCAATGTACAAAAATCACAAGCATTCTTATACACCAACAACAGACAAACAGAGAGCCAAATCATGGGTGAACTCCCATTCACAATTGCTTCAAAGAGAATAAAATACCTAGGAATCCAACTTACAAGGGATGTGAAGGACCTCTTCAAGGAGAACTACAAACCACTGCTCAAGGAAATAAAAGAGGACACAAACAAATGGAAGAACATTCCATGCTCATGGGTAGGAAGAATCAATATCGTGAAAATGGCCATACTGCCCAAGGTAATTTACAGATTCAATGCCATCCCCATCAAGCTACCAATGAATGAAATCTTTCAATGTCTACGCTGCCATAATGGCATATGTTTTTGTTATCTCTAACTTGATTGTTTTTCGTTAGACAGAATCAGACTGAATTTCTGAAATGTATAATCCCCAGTAAATAAAGATATTTATTCATAGGCTGGAATGACATACGAAGGATTCCTAGGTGGCTATGATATATGGCTAAGTGACTTTTGGTTCATTTACATCCCTAAAAATTCACTTACAGGCCAACCTCACAAGTATTGCAGGTTGGGTTCCAGACCACCGCAATAAAGTGAATATTGCAATAAAACGAGTCACACTATATTTTTTGTTCCCTAGTTCATATACAAATTATGTTTATACTATAGTGTAGTCTATTAGGTGTGCAATAGCATCATGTCTTAAAAACTAATGCACATACTTTAAAAATATTGCTAAAATTTGTAACAAAGTGAGCACATGCTGTTGGAAAAATGGCTTCAATAGACTTGCTTGATGCAGGATTGTCACAAACCTTCAATGTATAAAAACCACATTATCTGCAAAGGGTAATAAAGCAAAACTTAATAAAATGAGGTATGTCTGTACTCACGAATAAGTTAGCATCCTTATAGTATTGAAAAAGACAAGTCTTTAAGTACAAATTCATACCGATTTTTTTTCTATGTTCCAATACTTTACTCCATAACTTTTTTTAAATGAAGGAAATACACTATTGGAAAATAAACTGTGGAAAAGTGAATTCAATTGATTGATTTTCAAACTATTGCCACAAGTGGAAAGTTTATTTAAAGGCTGACCAACATCCAATTTATGGATCAATAAAGTCATTTTCAAATACGAAGGGAATATCTCGCCTGTATGATCACAATTTTCTCTAAGTCCTACATGGTGCATATCCAGTCTACTTCTCTCGGTATAGTCAGCAAGTGCAGGCGACCCTCTCTGTCTGTGGGTTCTGCATCTGCAGATTCAACGAAATGCAGATGGAAAATATGTTTAAAAATACGATAAAAACACAATACAACATTAAAACTAATACAAATTTTAAATCAATACAGTATAACAGGTATTTACATAGTATTTACATTTGATTAGAAATTATAACTAATCTAGAGATGACTTAAGGTAGGTGGCAGAATGTGCATGAGCTATATGCAAATACTACCCTATTTTAAATAAGGACCTTAGCATCAGGGGATTTTGGTATCCACAGTTGTTCTGGAACTAATAGCTGGTGGATGCTGAGGAACAATTGTTAATATTAAATTGTTACTTACTTTTCTATGTGTAAGAGTTATCTCTTCAACAAGATTAATATTTCCTCAAAAATAGGCATTTTTAAAATTCTTAATATACCTAACACCCAAAATGATCTCTATGAATAGTAAATGACCAATAAATGTCTTATTTATTTATTTAATTTTTTATTATATTTTAAGTTCTGAGATACATGTGCAAAACATGCAGATTTGTTACATAGGTATACATGTGCCATGGGGTTTGCTGCACCAATCAACCTGTCATCTACATTAGGTATTTCTCCTAATGCTATCCATCCCCCTGCCCCCAACTCCCTGACAGACCCTGGTGTGTGATGTTCCCCTACCTGTGTCCATGTGTTCTCATTGTTCAACTCCCACTTATGAGTGAGAACATGTGGTGTTTGGATTTCTGTTCTTGTGTTAGTTTGCTGAGAATGATGGTTTTCAGCTTCATCCATGTCCTTGCAAAGGACATGAACTCATCCTTTTTTATGGCTGCATTGTATTCCATGGTGTGCCACATTTTCTTTATCCAGTCTATAATTGATGAGCATATGGGTTGGTTCCAAGTCTTTGCTATTGTGAACAGTGCTGCAATAAACATACTTGTGCATGAGTCTTTATAGTAGAATAAATTATAATCCGTTGGGTAAATACCCAATAATAGGATTGCTGGGTCAAATGGTATTACTGGTTCTAGATCCTTGAGGAATTGCCACACTGTCTTCCACCATGGTTGAACTAATTCACACTCCCATCAACAGTATAAAAGCATTCCTGTTTCTCCACGTCCTCTCAAGCATCTGCTGTTTTCTGACTTTTTAATGATCGTCATTCTAACTGCCATGAGATGACGTCTCACTGTGGTTTTGATTTGCGTTTCTTTAATGACCTGCGATGATGAGCATTTTTTCATGTTTGTTGGCCGCATACATGTCTTCTTTTGAGAAGCATCTATTCATATCCTTTGCCCACTTTTTGATGGTTTTTTTTTTTTCTTGTAAATTTGTTTAAGTTCTTTGTGGATTCTGGATATTAGCCCTTTGTCAGATGGATGGATTGCAAAAATTTTTCCCCATTCTGTAAGTTACCTGTTCACTCTGATGATAGTTTTTTTTTTTTTTTTTTTTTTTTGCTGTGCAGAAGCTCTTTAGTTTAATTAGATCCCATTTGTCTATTTTGTCTTTTGTTGTCATTGCTTTTGGTGTTTTAGTCATGAAGTCTTTGCCAATGCCTGTGTCCTGAATGGTATTGCCTAGATTTTCTTCTAAAATTTTTATGGCTTTTGGTCTTACATTTAAGTCTTTAATGCATCTTGAGTTAATTTTTGTATGTAAGGAATGGATCTAGTTTCAGCTTTTTGCATATGGCTAGCCAGTTTTCCTGACACCATTTATTAAATAGGGAATCATTTCCCCATTGCTTCTTTTTGTCAGGTTTGTCAAAGATCAGATGGTTGTAGATGTGTGGTGTTATTTCTGAGGGCTCTATTCTGCTCTGTTCCATTGGTCTGTATATCTGTTTTGGTACCAGTACCATGCTGTTTTGGTGACTTTAGCCTTGTAGTATAGTTTTAAAGTCAGCTTTGTTCTTTTTGCTTAGGATTTGCTTGGCTATGTGGGCTCTTTTTGGTTCCATATGAAATTTATAGTAGCTTCTTCCAATTCTGTGAAGAAAGTCAATGGTAGCTTGATGGGGATGGCATTGAATCTATAAATTACTTTGGGCAGTGTGGCCATTTTCAAGATATTGATTCTTCCTACCCATGAGCATGGAACGTTTTTCCATTTGTTTATGTCCTCTCTTATTTCCTTGAGCAGTGATTTGTAGTTCTCCTTGAAGAGGTCATTCATATCCATTGTAAGTTGTATTCCTAGGTATTTTATTATCTTAGTAGCAATTGTGAATGGGAGTTCACTCATGATTTGGCTCTGTTTGTCTGTTATTGGTGTATAGGAATTTTTGAGATTTTTGCACATTGATTTTGTATCCTGAGACTTTGCTGAAGCTGCTTATCAGCTTAAGGAGATTTTGGGCTGAGACAATGGGGTTTTCTAAATATACAATCATGTTATCTGCAAACAGAGACAATTTGACTTCCTTTTTTCCTAATTGAATACCCTTTATGTCTTTCTCTTGCCTGACTGCCCTGGCCAGAACTTCCAATACTATGTTGAATAGGAGTGGTAAGAGAAAGCATCCTTGTCTTGTGCCAGTTTTCAAAGGGAATGCTTCCAGTTTTTGCCCATTCAGTATGATGTTGGCTGTGGGTTTGTCATAAATAGCTCTTATTATTTTTAGATACATTCCATCAATACCTAGTTTATTGAGAGTTTTTTGCATTAATAGGTGTTGAATTTTGTCAAAGGCCTTTTCTGCCTCTATTGAGATAATCACGTGGGTTTTGTCATTGGTTCCGTTTATGTGATGGATTACGTTTATTGATTTGCATATGTTGAACCAGCCTTGCATCCCAGGGATGAAGCCAACTTGATCGTGGTGGACAAGCTTTTTGATGTGCTACTGGATTCGGTTTGTCAGTATTTTATTGATGAGATTTACATTGATGTTCATCATGGATATTGGCCTAAAATTTTCTTCTTTTTGTTGTGTCTCTGCCAGGTTTTGGTATCAGGATGATGCTGGCCCCATAAAATGAGTTAGGGAAGATTCCCTGTTTTTCTATTGTTTGGAATAATTTTGGAAGTAATGGTACCAGCTCCTCTTTGTACCTCTGGTAGAATTCAGCTGTGAATTCATCTGGTCCTGGACGTTTTTTGGTTGGTAGGCTGTTAATTACTACCTCAATTTCAGAACTTGTTATTGGACTATTCAGGGATTCTACTTCTTCCTGGTTTAGTCTCGGGAGTGTTTATGTGTCCAGAATTTGTCCATTTCTTCTAGATTTTCCAGTTTATTTGCATAGAAGTGTTTATAGTATTCTCTGATGGTAGTTTGTATTTCTGTGGGATTGGTAGTGATACCCCCTTTATTATTTTTTATTGCATCTATTTGATTCTTCTCTTCTTTATTAGCCTGGCTAGTGGTCTATTTTGTTAATCTTTTCAAAAAACCAGCTCCTGGATTCATTGATTTTTTTAATGGTTTTTCATGTCCCGATTTCCTTCAGTTCTTCTCTGATCTTAGTTGCTTCTTGTCTTCTGCTAGTTTTTGAATTTGTTTGCTCTCACTTCTCTAGTTCTTTTAATTGTGATGTTAGGGTGTCAATTTTAGATCTTTCCTGCTTTCTCTTGTGGGCATTTAGTGCTATAAATTTCCCTCTACACACTGCTTTAAATGTGTCCCAGAGATTTTGGTATGTTGTGTCTTTGTTCTTATTGGTTTCAAAAAACATCTTTATTTCTGCCTTAATTTCATTATTTACCCAGTAGCTTTTCAAGAGCAAGTTGTTCACTTTCCATGTAGTTGTGCGGTTTTCAGTGATTTCTTAATCCTGAGTTCTAATTTGATTGCACTGTGGTCTGAGAGACTGTTTCTTTCGATTTTCTTTCTTTTGCATTTGCTGAGGACTGTTATACTTCAAATTATGTCATCAATTTTAGAATAAATGCAATGTGTTGCTGGGAAGAATGTATATTCTGTTGATTTTGGGTGGAGAGTTCTGTAGATGTCTATTAGGTCCGCTTGGTCGACAGCTGAGTTCAAGTCCTGAATATCCTTGTTAATTTTCTGTCTCATTGATTTGTCTAATATTGACAGCGGGGTGTTAAAGTCTCCCATTATTATTGTGTGGGACTCTAAGTCTCTTTGTAAGTAAAGACTTAAGAACTGGTTTTATGAATCTGGGTGTTCCTTTATTGGGTGCATATATATATATTTAGGATAGTTAGCTCTTCATGTTGCATTGATCCTTTACCATTATGTAATGCCCTTCTTTGTCTCTTTTGATATTTGTTGGTTTAAAGTTTGTTTTATCAGAGACTAGGATTGCAATGTCTGCTTTTCTTTTCTTTTTTTTTTCTTTCCATTTGCATGGTAAATCTCTCTCCATCCCTTTATTTTGAGCCTATGTATGTCTTTGCACACGAGAGGGGTCTCTTGAATACAGCACACCAATGGTTCTTGACTCATTATCCAATTTGCCAGTCTGTGTCTTTTAATTGGGGCATTTAGCCTGTTTACATTTAAGGTTAATATTTTTATGTGTAAATATGATCCTGTCATTATGAAGCTACCTGGTTATTTTGACTATTAGTGATGCAGTTTCTTCATAGAATTGATGGTCTTTACAATTTGGTTTTTGCAGTGGCTGGTAACTGTTGTTCCTTTCCATGTTTAGTGCTTCCTTCAGGAGCTCTTGTAAGGCAGGCTTGGTGGTCACAAAATCTCAGCATTTGCTTGTCTGTAAAGGATTTTATTTCTCCTTCATTTATGAAGGTTAGTTTGGCTGGATATGAAATTTTGGTTTGATAATGTTTTTCTTTAAGAATGTCGAATATTGGCCTCCACTCTCTTCTGGCTTGCAGGGTTTCTGCAGAGAGATCTGCTGTTAGTCTGGTGGGCTTCCCTTTGTGGGTAACCTGACCTTTCTCTCTGGCTGCCCTTACCATTTTTAACTTTATTTCAACCTTGGTGAATCTTATGTATCTTGGGGTTGCTCTTCTCGAGGAATATCTTTGTGGTGTTCTCCGTATTTCCTGAATTTGAATGTTGGCCTGCCTTGCTAGGTTGGAGAAATTCTCCTGAATAATATCCTGAAAAGTGTTTTCCAACTTGGTTCCATTCTCCCCGTCACTTTCAGGTACACCAATCAAATACAGATTTGTTCTTTTCACATAGTCCCATATTTCTTGGAGGCTTTGTTCATTTCTTTTCACTCTTTTTTCTCTAATCTTGTCTTCTCACTTTATTTCATTGAGTTGACCTTCATTCTCTGATATCCTTTCTTCTGCTTGATGCATTCAGCTATTGATACTTGTATATGCTTCATGAAGTTCTTGTGCTGTGTTTTTCTTCTCCATCAGGTCATTTATGTTCTTCTTTCAGCTGGTTATTCTAGTTAGCAATTTTTCTAACCTTTTTTTAAGGTTCTTAACTTCCTTGCATTGGGTTAGAACATGCTCCTTTACCTCAAAGGAGTTTGTTATTACCCACCTTCTGAAGCCTACTTTTGTCAACTCATCAAACTCATTCTCTGTCCAGTTTTGTTCCCTTGCTGGTGAGGAGTTGTGATCCTTTGAAGGAGAAGAGCCATTCTAGTTTTTGGAATTTTCAGCTTTTTTGCGCTGGTTTCTCCCATCTTCATGGGAGATTGATGTTTGGTCTTTGATGTTGGTGATGTTGATACTATTCCTTTCTGTTTGCTAGTTTTCCTTCTAATAGTCAGGCTCCTCTGCTTCAGGTCTGCTGGAGTTTGCTGGAGGTCCACTCAAGACCCCGTTTGCCTGGGTATTACCAGCAGAGGCTGCAGAACAACCAAGATTGCTGCCTGTTCCTACCTCTGGAAGGTTCATCCCAGAGGGTCACCCACAAGTTGCCAGCCAGAGCTCTTCTCCATGAGGTATCTATTGGCCCCTACTGGGAGGTGTCTCCCAGTCTGGATACATGGGAGTTCAGGGACCCACTTGAGGAGGCAGTCTGTCCCTTATCAGAGCTTAAATGCTGTACTAGGGGAACTGCTGCTCTCTTCAGAACTGTCAGGCAGGGATGTTTAATTCTGCTGAAGCAGCTCCCCCAGCCATTTCTTCCCCCAGGTGCTCTGTCCCAGGGGGCTCTGGTGGGCTCCACCCAGTTCAAACTTCCAGGTGGCTTTGTTTACACTGTGAAAGTAAAACCGCCTACTCAAGCCTCAGCAATGGTGATTGCCCCTCTTCCCATCAACCTCTAGCATCCCAGGTTAACCTCAGACTACTGTGCTAGCAGCAAGAATTTCAAGCCAGTGGATCTTAGCTTGCTGGGCTCTGTGGGGGTGGGACCTGATGAGCCAGGCACTGGAGAGAATCTCCTGGTCTTTTGTTTGTGAAGACCATGGGAAAAATGCAGTATCTGGGCCGGAATGTACTGTTCCTCCCCGTACAGTCTCTCACAGCTTCCCTTGGCTAGGAATGGGAAATCCCCCAACCCCTTGTGCTTCCTGGGTGAGGTGACACCCCACCCTCCTTTGGCTCACCCTCCTTGGGCTGCACCCAATGTCCAACCAGTTCCAATGAGATGAACTGTGTACCTCAGTTGGAAATGCAGGAATCACCCGCCTTCTGCGTGGATCTCACTGGGAGCTGCAGACTGCAGCTGTTCCTATTTGCCCATCTTGCCAGCTACCCAATAATGGGTAGCTTTTACTTTGGATTTAGCTTTACTTGTTAACAAGGAGAGATTTTTAGGTTGTAAGTTTTATGATTATGTTCTTCACATAAATTATGTTATGAAATTTTAATTCTAATCTTTTGTGATAGGCATTTTATTTCAAATTGAAAGATCCTAAGTGAGGAAATAATTGAAAACTGTCAAATAAGTGGTTATCTATACAGACATATAAAATCTAACTACAGATTTGTTAACTGAATCAATATGCCTTTCTCATGATAAAATGATATATTTTACATAATAGTGTGTCAGAGTGATCCTTTATAAAAGCTCTGTACTTCAAAGGTGGATGCATAGCTATATTCAGAGCGAACACCTTTTTTGCTAGCCATGTGTTTAACCTAAAGAATTACTTATACAACTATTTTAGAATAATTACATTTTTACATTTTTTATCTAAGGGAATTATTGCTATGGTACGAGAGAAACAATAACATTTATCTACAATATGAGAAAAACTAGTCCACAGCTTTCTGTTTGTGAATCAAAGGATGTGAGTAGACAATTCTCAAAATAAGATATAAAAATGACCAAAATAAGTATGAAAAATTACCAACTTCACTAGTTATCAGGGAAATGTAAAATAAAACCACAATGAGATACCACCTTACTCCTGTAAGAATGGCCATAATTAAAAAAATAAAAAAAAAAATTGATGTTGGCTTGGATGTGGTGCAAAGGGAAGACTTCTACACGCTAGCAGGAATGTAAACTAGTATAAGCAATGTGGTTATACCGTGTGTTAGAAAACAGTATGAATATTCCTTAAAGAAATAAAAATAGAATTATCATTTGTTCCAGCAATCCTACTACTGGGTATGTAACCAGAGGAAAAGAAGTCATTATATGAAAAAGACACTTGCACACACATGTTTATAGCAGCACAATTCACAATTGCAAAAATATGGAGCCAACCCAAATGCCCATCAACCAACAAGTGGATAAAGAAAATGTGGTATATCTACACCACAGAATACTACTCAGCCATAAAAAGGAATGAAATAACGGCATTTGCAGCAACTTGTATAGAGTTAGAGGCCATTATTCTAAGTGAAGTAAATAAGTAATGGACAACTATCATGCGTTCTCCCTTATAAGTGAGAGTTAAGCTATGAGAATACAAAGGCATAAGAATGATACAATGGACTTTGGGGGTTGGGGGAAGTGTGGGAGGGGGTGAGGAATAAAAGACTACATATCGGGTACAGTGCACACTGCTCAGGTGATAGATGCACCAAAATCTCAGAAATCACCAATAAAGAACTTATTTATGTAACCAACAACCACCAGTTCCCCCAAAACTATTGAAATAAAAAAATCATGATTTTAATAAAATCATACGTTATCCTGCAGTTTCAATGAGTTGAATGTATGTGTTTGTAGTAACATATGTATACATTCATTCTAGCATGTATACACTCATATCTATAATTATTACTTTATATATCAATGTATTAAAATATGCATGAGTTCAAGATAGATATCTTCTCTAAAAGTGTACCATCGGGCTCATTCTAACCTCCTCCTGTGCTGATTTGTAACTTTTTTCTCTGACAGAGAAAAATTTGGTTCCCATTATCTGAAATAAATTTATTTATTTGTACAACTCTAGTATACATGTAAAATAGTTTCAGAATAGTTAACTTGTACCTATGTGAGAAATATAATTAATAATTAGACTACAGTATTTGTGTACAGCCTTTTTGTTGTTTTAGCTTACAGTAACTGGTCAAGATACTTTTAAAGTTATTTAGGTCAGTTGCTATTTTCCTTACTCCTTTCCGTAAGTAGTTAGATTGATTTTTCACAGCCTGCATCCCATCCTTGAACCCTAAGTGACAGATCTTTTTTAAAGTATTTTTATTTATCTCCTCTACTGGCTTATGTGTCAGAGTTCAACCAGAGAAGCAGGACCAGTAGGATGGATAGATAACAGGGAATTGGATTAAACATTCATGGTGGCTGGTTGAACAGTAGCTGCAAGGCTGTTTTTGAGTCTAATGCTGGAGCTCAAGCTAAATCCATGGACAGTCAGGAATGAAAGATCATGAGTAGCCTGCAACCCCACAAGCTGGAACCTATAAGAATGAATTGAAACACGTGTCCTTGTTCATTCTTTTTGTCTCTAACCTTGAGGACATGAGTATCCTGCAGAAGCCAGGTCTTTCATCAAAGAGTTCAACACACATTGGCCTATGAGTCAGAGAAACTGAAGGAGGATACAAGGCAAGGTAGAGCAATTGCAGACACGGCTGCTGCTTCACACCAATGAGGTGAGTCAGCCGATTAGCAACAGTGTGTGTGTGTGTGTGTCTGCGCACACGTGTATGCTACAAAATGGCTATTGCCTCCCTTGCGCCCTCATGTGAGAATCTTCTTGGTAGTCCACCCTAACCAGAAAAATAGAAATATATTTGTGAAATGTGATTCAGCCTGGCCAAACTAACACTCACAAGTCCATCATAGCTTATTTGCTATATGTCTGTTCTTGTTTCTCAGTTGTTACTCAAGGGAGCATTAGCAGCATTTACCTGAATTTCTGTTATACTACATTCCACTTTTCTGAATTTCTATTATACTAAGTTCCATATTACAGCTATATGTCTGTTATTGTTTTTCAGTTGTTACTTAAGGGAGTAAAATGTGTACATTTAATTTAGCTATATTTACTTTAATTTGTTATACTAAATTCCACATTTGTGAAGTTTTCATGTATTTTCTTCTAAATATTCTGTAAACTATATAATTTTTTGCTCTAGTCAGTTGCCTTTTATGAACACATTTTTAAATAGTATTTTATGTCTATTCCCATAGGTATCATTCTGTATTCTTCATTACTTCCTATAGAGCCAGAGGTTTTTAGCTAGCGTCATTTTTTTTAACCAGAAAAATTTCTTGTTTTGCAGTTTTTCTAATTGGATCTTTCTTTCTTTTGTTCTTACTTTACTTTTCTGTCTTTGAAAATATCTCTACTGGGCGTGGTGGCTCACGCCTGTAATCCCAACACTTTGGGAGGCCAAAGGGGGCAGATCACAAAGTCAGGAGGTCAAGACCAGCCTGACCAACATGGTGAAACCTGTCTCTGCCAAAAATACAAAAAATAGCCTGGAGTGGTGGCATGTGCCTGTAATCCCAGCTACTCGGGAGACTGAGGCAGGAGAATCACTTGAACCCAGGAGGTGGAGGTTGTAGTGAGCCGAGATCGTGCCACTGCACTCCAGCCTGGCGACAAAGTGAGACTCTGTCTCAAAAAACAAACAAACAAACAAACAAACAAAAAACTCTTTTCTATAGATATTGAAAAATTTTTATTCTGTTATGAAATTTTACCTTTCCTTTTTTTGGCTCCTTTTCAGATTTTCTCCTTATTTTGTTTTTAGCAATTTAAGTATGATTCATTGTGTTTTAATTTTATTTTGATTTATTCTTTGGATTTATTAATTTTATTGGATCTCTGATCTAGTATTTTTTATGAAATAAAGAAATTGTCATACTTATTTAAATGTTTTGTCTTCAGTTTTTTCTTTATATAGGTTCCAATGATATCTCCTTTGTCTTCTAAAGAAAATTTTGATTTTAAAAGACATAATTATTTATTTATATATATTATATATGTATATTCAGAATTTATAATATTTAACAAACAATAATATTTCATTTCTAATAGTTACACTAATCCAGTTAAATAATTTTTTTACAGCCAACTCTTCATAATATATGTTCCACTACACACACAAATGCGGTATTTCAAAATTGTTTAAAATGCTATTTTGAGCCGCAATTTATAACATACACTCTATATAGTTAGGTCCATTTGTGTCTTTATACTGTTGATGTTTAGAAGTTGTTGCTATGGTATAAATACGTCCCCCAAAATTCATACTTAGTTTTTGCTCTCGTCTGTTGCCTTTTACCAAAAAAGGTTTTGTTTTGTTTTGTTTTGTTGATTTTCTTATTTTATCTTACTTTAAGTTCTGGGATACGTGTGTGGAATGCGCAGGTTTGTTACATAGGTATACATATGCCATGGTGGTTTGCTGCACATATCAACCTATCATCTAGGTTTTAAGCCCCTCATGCATTAGGTATTTGTCCTAATGCTCTCCCTCCCCTTGCCCCTGAAAATATTTTAAATAGTATTTTATATCTATTCCCGTATTTACCATTTCTGTATTTATATATTGAAACTTAATTGCCAATGTGATGTTGTTAAGAGCTGGGGCCATTAGGAGGTGATTAAGTCATGTGGGTGGATCCCAAATGAATGGATTAGTGACCTTGCAAAAGAGGTGCAAGTGAGCTGTTCACTCCTTTTTGACCTTTTGCTCTTCTGTTTTTCTGGTACGTGAGGACCCAGCATTCAAGGCACCATCTTGGAAGCAGATATAGACCTTTATCAGACAAGGAACCTGCCTATGTGTTGTTCTTGGATTACAAAGCCTTCAGAACTGTGAGAAATAAATTTCTATTTCTTATAAATTACCTAGTTTCACACACTTTGTTATAGTAATACAAACACACTAGGTCAGTTTTTATTTTTGTTAAACTTTGATTGTGTATGAATAAACATAATTCCAAGGTAAAAACCTGTAAAATAGCATACATTCAAAAAAATATAATTTTAATTTTTGTCTCCTGTCCTGGTTCATTCCCTCTCTTATATGTAGCTATTTATAATTTTTGGTTTAACTCTCTATTATGTCTTTGTGTGGCTCTCTGTGTGTCTGCATACTTTTATTTCCATTCCCTTTCACATACAAAATATTACATATTATAAATCATAGAGTCTGCTTTTATTCTGAATAATATATACTAGAAGACCTGTGTTACAGTTATTGATTGCTGTGAAACAAACCACCTCCAAATCTTACTCACTTAAAACAGTACCTTTTAAAAAATTATTCATCACAATTTGGTGAGGATTTGCTTGAGTAATGCTTCTTTTCTATGTAGCACTTATAGAGACCACTCAGTGATATTTGTATAGTCCGTGGGGTGCTCTACATGGGTCAAGATGATTTTCCTCTCATCTGGGAACTTAGCTAAGATGGTTAAAAACTGGGCCTGCCAGGGACTTTCTATGTGTGTCTGTTTGAGCTTAGTATTTCCACATGATGAGTCATTAGAGGCTTTAAGAACAAGTGTTCAAATGATCAAAGGTGATGTTGCATGGCCTTTGTATGACCTACTCAGAGAAATCATGTAGTGACTCTTGCAACATTCTCCATTAATTGGAGCAGTTACAACTCCTTGATTCAAAGAGAGAAGATATATAACCATCTTTTAGTGTGAGCTACGTTAAAGTATTTGTGGCCATGTTTTAAAACTGCCCCATTTCCCTGGAGTATTCATTTGGGATAGCTAGATCAGTGGATTAGTGAATTAGTAAATAATAATAATAATACAATCTTATTACTAACTATGCATTTTATTGTAATTTATATTGTTAATAGTATACAAATGGCACAACAATAACTGCTATCAAGAAAATGCAAAGTGAGGTAATATACCTGGACATATTGTTTAGGAAGAGGTGATTGAAACTTTGTTTAGTTGAGAAAGTCTTCTCTGAGGAGAGGACTTTTGAATTGAAATCTAAATGGTATGAAAGTCAGGGGAAACAGTTTCAGCTCAAGAAAGAACTGTGAGAAAGCAATCAGGGTGGCATAGTTTTTGAAGGGATAAATAGCAAAAATAAATAAATAAATAAATAAAAGCAAGGAACACTGTGCTTGAAGCATATTGCACAACTAGAGAAGATATGAGGTCTCAGATATAAGGTACAGGTCTTTTTGAGTTGTTCAACCATGGTAAAGCAGCTAGAATATATTTTAAATGGGTAAAAAGCCATTGGTTGAATAATATGATCAGTTTTATTATTATAAAGTATTACTGGAACTGTATTAGTCAGTTGTTATACTGCTCTAAAGACATACCTGAGACTGGGTAGTTTATGGAGAAAAGTGGTTTAACTGACTTACAATTCCACAGGCTGTATGGGAGACATGGCTGGGGAGGCCTCAGGAAACTTACAATCATGGCAGAAGGCAAAGGGGAAGCAGGCACACCCTTCACATGGCGGGAGGAGAGAGAGAGAGAAGGGGGAGGTGCTACACACTTTTAAACAATCAGACCTCATGAGAACTCACTCACCATCACAAGAATAGCAAGAGGGAAATCCACCCCCATGATCTAATAGTCTCCTATCAGGTCCCTCCCTCAACAATGGGAATTACAATTTGACATGAGAGTTAGATGGGGACACGGAATGAAACCATATCAGTAGCTACTACAGAATCAATTTTAGCATAAGAGTGGCAGCAAGGAGACCAGTTAAAAATTTTTAATAGGCTAGGTGGTAGATAATGATGTTTTGAGCTAATATGTTTACAAAACAGAGGAGTTTGGGATTCAGTTTGAAGAAGGATTATCAAGAGCTTGCTGAAATATTGGCTGTTCGTAACAGAAATGGAAGAATTTGGGCAGATGCCTAGATATTTTCCCTGAACAATTCAGGAGCTGATTGTGTTCTATATCAAGATGTGAGATGCAGATTGGAAAGAACAGCTTGATTGGGAGAAATCAAGAGTTCTACTCTAACTTCTTAAATATGAAATTCTGTTAAGAGTAAACATAGGAAACTATCAAGTACGCTATTGAATATGAGTCTGAAGCTAGGTTATGGTTCAGGATGGAAGATATAAAGTCAGGAGTCATTAAGATATGAATTATATTTGAAGTCGTTGTCTTAGTCTGCTCAGGCTGCTATAGCAAAATCTTGAGTGTCTTAAACATTAGCCATTTATTTCTCGTAGTTCCGAAGGCTGACACGTCTGAAATCAGGTGCCAGCATTGTCAAGTTCTGGTGAAGGTCGTTTTCCTCATTTGTAGATGGCTGCCTTCTTGCTGTATCTTCACATGGTAGAGACAGGATGCTCTGGTATCTCTTTCTCTTTTTATAGGGGTAACAATCTCATTATGAGGGCTCTACACTCATTACCTCATCTGAATCTAATGACCTCCAAAGGCTCTACCTCCTAATACCATCACATTGGGGGTTAAGGCTTCAACATATGAATTTTAGGGGTACATAGGCATCCAGACCATACAGGATGTAAATGAATGAATCAACCAGGATGAAGAGAAAAAACCCAGAAGATTGAGAACCTAACAATATTCTCTATTTTATAACTCTTATATTTCAACCAACATTTTTATTAGGATGCCAGATACCTGCCATAAATTTGTCATGTCTTTAATCTATCACCGTCAAGTCTTATGCATATATAGGGGCAGATAAATAAGTTAACATTATGAATTGCTTTAGAGAAGATAGAAAGACACAACTGCTATTTTAGATATAGAACCCCCTTAAATATAGAACGCTTAAGTGGTATTCACTGCTCACCCCTACCAGTCAGTGCAGACCGTTATTTCACAGCTTTACTTGTGATGGGTTCGATCCAAAATTTTTACAAAGAAAGTTTAATAAATAATTGAAGAGTTATTCCTGTTGTATAAAACTTTATTTTTGGAGTATTGTTGTGATTTTCTGACTTTGTGATCTTGGAATGTTTGTATTTCCCAATTTACTTTTTGTTGAGATTTTCTTAATCCCTTTTGTACTCACTGTCATTCTTCTACTTGCAATATCAGAACATGTGACATTTGTCCAATATACTGATTCTGTTAAGGAGCTACTGTTGTATTCTATGGTGTGCAATGGTCATTCCCACAAAATAATTATATGTTAAAGAATGATATAGTGATTAATGTATGGTAGACACTCCATTAAAGGTTGGTCATGGTTTCATTCATTTATTCTTCAAATTGGCCCTAATGTGGTAATTTTATTGTCTACCTTTATAAATAAGGAAGCTGTAAGAGCCAAGAAACTGTATGAGTTTCCTATAGCTGCCCTAAGTACCAGAAACTAACTGGCTTTAAAAAACAACTAAATGGTCTCTTACAGCAGTCTGCAGTCAAGGTGTTAGCACGGCTTTTCTCCTTCTGGAGGTCCTGGGGATGGAAACTTCTTGTCTCTTTCTGCTTCTGGTGGCTTCTGGTGGCTTTGGCCTCCTTAGTTTGCAGCTTTCTCACTCCAACCTCTGCTTTTGTCTTCATACCACCTGCTCCTCAGTGTGCCTTTTCCTCTTCTGTCTTATCCAAGGACACTTGTCATTGGATTTAGGGCCAACACAGCAATTCAGTATGATCTTACCTCAAGGCCCTTAACTTAATCTGCAAAGATTATTTTTAAAGAAAATGTGGCACATATACACCATAGGATACTATGCAACTGTAAAAAGGATGAGATCATGTCCTTTACAGGGACATGGATGAAGCTGGAAGCCGTCATCCTCAGGAAACTAACACAGGAACAGAAAACCAAACACTGCATGTTCTCACTCATAAGTGGGAGTTGAACAATGAGAACACATGGACACAGGGAGGGGAACAACACACACCGGGGCCTGTCGGGGGGTTGGTGGGGCGAGAGGAAGGAGAGCATCAGGACAAATAGCTAATGCTTGTGGGGCTTAAAACCTAGATGATGGGTTGATAGATGCAACAAACCACTATGGCACATGTATACCTCTGTAACAAACCGGCATGTTTTGCACATGTATCCCGGAACTTTAAGTAAAAAAAAAAAAAAAAGGAACATTCACATTCCCACATATTTGGATAAGGGTGTATCATTTTGGGGGCCACCATACAAGGTACTACAAGGACAAATCCTACGTCCCATAGTTAGGGAGAGTCAGTGCCTTTCTATGGTAAAGCTTCAGCAAACTAGAAAGAAAGGGAAATATTTTTAACTGGCTAAAAAATATTTATAAAATATCCCCTTTATCTTTTGTTTTAAGCATCATTCCCTTTAAAATCAGGTACAATATTAGGATGAGTATTTTCATCACTCCTAGTCAAACTTGGATTGAGGATTATAAAGATCAGAAAGGAAAAAACACATTTTACTTTTTATTAGCAAATAATGTGTAGAAAATCTAACAGAATCTATAGTCAAAAATGTTAAATGTAAAAAAAAAAAATCAAGGCTGTTGCAAATAAGATCAAAACACTAAAATCAATCATGTGGTTTATATATATAAACCAATTATTTTAAAATGGAATCATTTTAAAATGGAATATATCAAATATTCCATTCACAATAAAACTTTAAAATAACAAAAACTATAAAGCACATGGCCATGTACAAACTTTGTAATTAAAACTGTCCTTAAATGAAAGAAATAGTATAGATACTGGATAAATTCCAAGACATGTCATATCTATGAAATAAAATATTAAAAAGTTAATAATAAAGAAAATTAATTAATCTGTACATTAATTCTATTTTATTCAGAATACTAACAGGTTTTTTTTTAATAATGAAACTTGACTCCTTGACACATTGTAAAGAGAAAAAAAAGTCCTTATTTAATTTTTGAAAAACGGAAGGAGGGGAAAAAATGAGAAGACAATGAAGGTGAAGAAGAGAAGGAGGACGAAAAAGAAAGAGGAGGAAGAGAATGAGTGGAAGCTGGGAGATTTGATGAAAGGGATAGGAAGCCCACTTTCTCAGATATCAAGTGCCAGAGTTCAACCTATAAGAATGAAAATGGTCTTACACGGAGTCAGCAAAGACACACAATAGCTAAGAACTAACCACCTATCCATAAATGGATGAAAACTTGCTCTGTGATAGAGTGACATTACAAATCAATAGATAAATAATGGGCCAATTAAAATAGAGTGCAGGAACTATGAAATATTTATATTAAAAAATAATTAGACCCCAATGTATAAAAATCAAATATCTAAATATAAGAAAAAGTTGTAATACATTTAAAAGGAAAAATAGGAAGGATTTTTAGTACATTCGATTATGAAAGCATTGCTTGAATAAAATTCAAAGATTATAGATCATAAAAGAGCATGTTGATAAATTTGAATATATTCAATTTAAAAGAAATTTGTATAAAACAATATAACTTATCACAGTTAAAAGAAAAGCTGCTAAATGAGAAAATATATTTACAATGCTTATGAACAACTTTGTTTACTGAATATATAATATGTTCCTAAAGCATCCCATTAGGAAAAAAATGGGGATAATATATAAATAGGGCTTTTATTAACAAGAAAGCAAGAATGATTAATAATGTGAAAAGATGCTCAACCTCATTAATAGAGAAATACAAAATGACAATGTCATGCTATTTCATACCCACTGGGTTTATATCTGAGAAAGCAGCATGTTTAAAAAGATGGAAAGAAACAGGTACTCTTAAGGAACTTCTAGTGGGGATATAAATATTTCTTGTCTGAAAAATAATCTAGATTTATTTAATACAGTTGAAGACACACACAGCTAGCAAAGGCTCAACGATGTACACCACACACACAAACACACATATAAATATATATCTGTATATATATAGAGCAAACTAGAAAGCTGTCTCTATATAATATATATATAGCATTTTATATATATATATATATATAGCATCATATATATATATATTAGATGGACTTGGACACATATTCAACAGATGACATGAAACAAAATTTTTGAAGACATCACTTTCAATGACTCCCAAATATAGAATTTCACAATAGAAAATTAGTGTGGTGTTGTGATGATAGATTTTTAAAGTAGGAATAATTTTCACTAGATTACTTTAAAGGGATTTTAATTATAAAGAAGTATCTTAAAGTGTAAAACTAATTATCATTTTGAACGTTTCTACATTTAAGAAAACATTATCATGAAGATCAGTGACATGTGTCTCAGACATTGCTTTTGCAAACCTCCTCAACAAATACATTTGCTGTATTACTTGAAGAGTAATATATATACTGGCTAAGAGAGTGCTTTGAAATAAACTCTTGGGTTCCTACACTGGCTCTGATTCTTTCTAGTTCTGTAGAATTAGTAATTATTTCAAAGAGTAATTTTTGTACATTAAAATAGATAATGCACATATACCACTTAGCAAATTACTAAATAAATATAACTACTATTACTATTATCTGTAGTTCCTTTAATTTCAGAAACACTTTATAATCCTGAAATTAGAACATTAGCACTATTATGTTGTTAATGTTATATATTACTATGCGTAAGTAAAATTTACATATGAACATAGAATTTGTAAAGAGTTCTCCAATTCTTTTCTAATGTTACTGTCTTTCACAAGTGAAAGAAAAAATAATACAGTCATCCAAGAACACATTCTTTAGCTTTGTCAATTTACAGGAAGGTTTCTATAAATGGGTAGCTGAGCAGATAGTGGAGAGAGAGGAAAAGAGAGGAAGATAAAAAGAAAAAAAATAGAAAGAGTGAAAATAGGACAAAAGGAGAAGCTACCTGTACATCAGTTTGTATTTTCAATAGCCATAACCCCACTTCTCAAGACATCGACTAAGTCAGCATTTCTAGTGGGAGCTAGAGGGAACTTTAGTTCATTATCATTTTGCAGTTTTCTCTTGGGAGGTAAATGGCTCACATGGCTTCATTTGGAAAGGATATCCATAAGATTTTATTAGTTTCTCTTCCATTTTTGTTGGATGACTTTGACAGGGGCAGATTTTTGATCAGGCACACAGTAAGTTGTATGTTTATTTCCTGAGCATCCTTGAGCTAATTGAAAAAAAAGAAAATAAATGATGCCCAAAAAATGCATAGGCAAGCACCTAGCTATTAAAAAAAATAAGCGTTTGTTGGATTGAGTTGGAAAAATTCCAGAAATTGCACTATTTTATAAAAATAACATGGATGTACGTCTTTGAATCAGACATCATATGTCTGTGGTGTTGTGATGTCACAACACCACATCACAACACCACATATGACTGTATGTAGTCAAACACTACATACAATTCTTATGTCAGGGAATCCGGGAGAAGATTTAATATTTATTTTGATATGTAGAATTCCAAAATTATTAAGGTATTCAGAATACTCTGATTATAAACATCAATACAAATTATGCAATTTTCAATTTTCTAAATGTAAACATGAAACTTCTGGTGAGAAAAAGTTATCTTGGCAGCTTCAGAACAATTATCATCTCATAAACTTCATTTATGACAACATAAATACATCTTTGATTTCTTTTTCAGTCAATAACCTCTTTAGGAAAATTCCCAAATTCCCTTCCATATCTTGCTTGTGTCAAGTCATATCCATCAAGTAAAAAAGTTCTATAAAAAAATTTTTGTGGTGAGCTGTAAGGGCAAAAATATAGCCCGACTTTGTCTCCTATCTCTCGTGTTACTCTGATGCTTCTGGGATACCAGCTGGTAGGTCACAGAATTGAAGATGGAGATAGGAAAGTTATCCGGCCTACAAACCTGTTTAGACTTTATTGAAGAATTCAGGAAGAGCCAGTTAAGAAAGATATAGTCAGTTATCCATGGGAATAAAGAGGATAGAAAATATTTATAAAGCATGGTAACAGCATAGAAGTAAAAGAGGTAACTTTTTGTTAGTGCTATAGGAAAAAAATAATTTCCTACTGCTGTCTTTTAAATGGCAAATTTAACAATTATACTATGTTTTGTTCTGATAATTATTTGTTTCCAGCTCTTAATATTTGATAAACTTTTCTTACTTTTCTTATCTGGTTATATGTCTTATGTTTATATATATGAATCTACAATTACCCCTATGGAGATTAGGAAAAGGAGATACTCCCCATGACCAACACTACCTTAGTTAATAACAGCCCAGATTGTAAACATTTTCTTTACTGTTTTATTCATCTCTGTGTAGTTAATGTGTATTTTAAATTTCTTCAGGATGAGTATCTATATAACAAAATGGCAAATTCCAAACTTTAACATCAGGACCCAACCTCGAATATATTACATAGATTTTAATTTTATTTACTGTGGCTGTCAATATAGTCTTATTACTCTATTTCATTTTTGATCTTTAATGAAGTACCTGTAAGTTATGATGTGGAAAAATGTCAGGATGGGAAAATGATGATCTCCATTTTTTTTCCAGCCATGACATTTCAGTATTATGAGCTATATCTCACAAGGTCAGGACTGTGTGACCTGCTTTCCTGTACTCATTATCTACTAATCCCAAGATAGAGGCCAAGAGAAAGTGGGGAGTATATTTTGTGAGGATTTCCTGACATGGCTTTGTGTGATGTGTTGCCTGGAAGGACAACATGGGGGGATATTATTGCTGGCTTTTTGAGGTGAAAAAATTCAAGCTGTATCATGAAAAAATTAACTCATGCCCCACCGTAAAGAATCAACAATGAGTTTATGTTCCCACCACCTTTTGCCACCTTTGGGCATGACAGAGAGGAAGGTAAGTCACTTTTCATGAAATAATCCTTTTTGGACACTTGAACAACATTTGTGAGAGAGTAGTTGAAGAAGTGCAATTTTGAAGTGTGAAAAAAAGCTGCCATTTTTTTTTCTTTTTGCAATGAGCATATATTGTTCATGTGAAACAACAATAACGTAATGCTCAAAGCTGTTAACAATTTAACTATATCCGCAGTCACCTGCTAGGACACACATCAGAATTTTCACAGAAGGAAATATAATCCCAACCTGGGGATATATTTCCCCATAATTTTAGAACAAATTGAGAAAATTGTTCATTCCTGATATTTATTATCTAAAATATGGTCACTATTCTTAGCTCTAAAGAAAATCCATATTTAATCCCAAAAAGGAAAACCTAGGACCTAATTCAAACATAAGTAGAGCAATATCGAACCAAACTAGCAGCCCAGGTACAAATCATCATGTAATATATAGTTGCCCATCCTAGTCACCTAAACTGGCTTAATTGCAGCACACCTGGACGCCCAGAAACATGAAAAAAAAAACACTGTTTAAAACAACTAGCCACTGAGTTTAGGGGTCATTTTTTGTCAGCATTATTTTGGCTGTAGCTGGATAATACAAATATTAAGAACACAGAACTTCAATTTGAATTATGTTTACCATGAGAAATTATTTAAGGTTTCTGTGATCAATTTTATAACTTGAAATATAGATATTTGCTTAGATTTTCTCAGAAAAATAGGAAGGTCATTAATTAAGAATGTAAAGGGAAAAGGTGTCAAAGCGAGGAGAATGTAAATGTGAACGTACTTAGAGATATAAAAATATTGGGGGATAAGTTGTATGTCTTAAAGGTGGGTTATAGAAGTTAGGGCACCAAAAAAAGTTAACTAGAAAGATGCAAGTTGGTGGTTGCAGAGTGTAAAGAACAGGGTGAATCTGAGATGATGGAGGGTTTAAAGTTACTGGTAATGACAAAATCTAAGAAATGACCATACTGGTAAATGTCTAAGGTGAGGGATAGTCTTATAAAAAGATTATTGGAGAAGATAATTCAATGAATTGAGAGAGATCAGAACATTGCAAATATCAATAATTTGTTCACTGAAATAATCAATAAATGTTGAAGAGACTGGGAGTTAACCAGGAGCTGGAAATCTCTAAGAAATGACAGGGAGTAGACTGGAAATCTCGAAGAAATGACAGGTCTTATAGAGTGTGGTAACAGTAAGAGATCCTGATACTTATGTACTGATACTTATATGCTGATAAAGAAGATCTATTTGTTTTGAGGGGGAGGCACTGAAAATGCTCTTGAATGAGAAAAGAGAGACATATAGAATACCTAGCTCACCTGCAGGTGCAGTTTTATGAAAACAATCACCATTTGCAATACCATTTTGATGCTAAGTACCAGAGTTAGCATACATTTCACAGGGTGAGGGCACACTCTCCCACACTGCTCCCCTTCCCTGCTGACACCAGCCACAAGCTTGGGACTTCCCAAGCTACCCACACTTCTGACAAATGGCTACAAATATGGGAGTTCAATGATTCGGTAGAATAACTCACAGAACTCAAGAAATGCTATTTAAATGACAGCTGTATTACAAGGATACAAATCAAGAACTATTCAAGAACCACTGAGTAAGTTATCAAAAGGTCCCAATACAGCTTTTCTGTGTCTTCTCTAACTGAATTAGAAAAATCAGAAGCATCACTATCCTGGTACATCAGGATGTTCACCAACCAGAAACTCTAATATCCAGAATTTTCTGGAAACTTCATTAGATGGGCATGATTGAATCATTGACCACATAATAGAACTCAATCTTCTGTGTTTTCATCCTCTTCAGAGGTTGGGGTAATATCATCTGGCTCAAAGCGTCAATCATCTCATCATATGGTTGGTGTTCCTGGCATAGCCAGTTCCAATTATAAAACTATCTAGGGACCCACCATGAGTCATCACTCTAGGATAAACTCAGGCATGGTCCCAGGGACTCACCATTAATAAATAAAGCAAGGGTTTATTTTTCTTAGGAAAATCCAAGGATTTAGAAGCTTAGGCCCAAGAACTAAGGACAAAGACCAGACACTTTTTTTTTTAATTATACAACACTATTTAAGAGAGCTACAGGGAAATCCATCCTTGAGAGAGAGCCTGGTTACCTTTGGAGCAAGAATGTGGACAGGTTTAGGATAGGCAGGATTTGGCTGATAAATCACCATCAGAAGGTACAGTAAAAAGATTTCAGGAGTTAGGAAAGAGTGGTAGATATCAGAAAGTGGACTGTTCAGAAAGTAGACTTTGAAAAGTTTTATCAGGATTTGAGTACAGAAGATGAAGAGTGACCTGAGACAACTAAACCTTATACCAATTCAAACTGCTATAAAAATAATGAGATTAATGCTGATGGTTTACCGTGACAAGTGATATAAGGACTGTGAATAGTGACAAGAGGCATTGAAAGTTTGTAGCCTCTTTTTTAAATTGTGCCAAAAGAGTTGTTGAGGTTGGAAGAGGCTTGGAGAGTACAAAGAACTACTGGTAAACCAGTCAGTGTAAAACATTGTGTGGCCCCAGAAAAACAGAATGTCTTCTCTCACCTAAATAGTCACGATTCTGACTTCTCGCTTATAAAGACCAAATCTCAAAAATATGTAAGAGTCCTAAATTATGTAGTCTTTTGTATCTGCCCTATTTTATTCAATAGAAAATCTTTAATAACTTGTAATTGCTTCATAGTTTATGGTTTACAGAATATTTGATAATATATTATTTAAGTATCCCATAAAATTAGGATGCTGGGCCCACCTCTGATGAGAGAGTAGTGTCTGACCCCATAACAAATATCTGCTAAATAATAAAACCCTGATTTAAATGAATATTTCCCAGTTTAAAATTTTTTCTGCCTTTCCATTAGTTCTCAGTGTTTCTCTATTTGGGGTGAAGAGCTTATTTTATATAAGCTTATATATTCATAGCCTTACTAAAATGTCATTAAGTATACTAAACCAACTCAGCTATATCTGAATAGTGAAGTGAAATGTTGTTTAGATGAACAGTTTCTTTAAGACTTCCTGATTTTCTACTTTCCTTTTGACTCACATATATCCTTGATGAGTTTATGCATTATTATGCCACAGGAAACTCTAGAGAGAGCTGTGACATCTCAATGTATGTATCTATTCGGAAGTTAACAAGACTTATCAGTAACAATAGCTCTTCTTGTTTTCCATTTAGGACTTAGGTCTTAAAAATCTAAAGAATGTTGCCTTTAGGATTTATTTTATGAACACTTACAGTGCCCCTCCCTAACAGGTTAGCTGCTAGGAATAAATTGAAATTATTCAGTAAAACATAAGTGAAGTGCCCAGTGTTGCCAATTCATTAGAAAGGTGGATTGTTATTACTCCACTAGCATATTATAAATAATGTAGGAATTTTAAGCAAATAACAAACCAACTTTTATATTGGTGCATATTTTAGTTCAGAGTCTCTCTTAATTTTGAGCACCAGATTTATTTCACATGTATTTTTGATGTTTTCTGTAGCCAATATTTATTTACTAAATTACATAGATAACCAACATAAACTGTAACCAGGAGAATGAGTCATTAATATTACAATGGATCCATAGAGAACTATATGTTAGATCTATGAGGATCTGGAATGTGCCAGTCCTGCCAAAGTGGTCTTTTCCATTATCAGGGAGTAGCTTCCCTGCTTCTTGTTCTAATGTGTTCATCTTTGTTTGCTGATGCTCTCCATCTCAAAGGAGAGAAGAAGGGAAGGAACCACAGCAATAATTACCAACTGAGCAAGTCATTATCATTACAATAGATGTGAAATTAAAATGGTAAGAGCTTGGCATTATTCAAATTTTTACTCCATTCTGTTAATTGTTATATCATATTTAAACTCCTCACAGGCTTCTTTTGAGCTGCAGATGTGTCATAATACCTAAAGTAACTTAGGATAGGAAATTGTGGCTTAATCCACTGATCAAGTCTTTTAGGCCAAGTCTCTAGGTGTATCACAGCCCTGATCCTTATGACCCTTCAAAATGTCTTCCTGAGGAGTTAATAGAGAACAGATGTTACCTAAGGCAGCAGCTGTTACAATTAGACAAATGGGGAAAAATGGCAAATGATGATGGCAGAAACTCTTTAAATAGACCATCCACTTCCTTAAAAGTCAATAAAACGTTTTGAAAAGGTCAGAAAAGGTACACAATCATGTGTTTGCACACAGACATTCATTACAAATACTTTCAAAAAAAGACAACTTTTATTGAAACAAAAATTCTCAGGTGTTCATTTGAAATAGGTCAGCAATTACAGTTATGGAAAGCATATCATACTATACTGGAAAAATAAAGTTTGATTTGGTTTTACTGAGTTTTCAAGTTTATATCCCTTCCTTTCTTTTTTTTTTTTTTTTTTTGAGTCAACAATATCTTTTTAATGGCTTAATGTGTGCCCAATGTTATAACGCAAAACTTAGTGAAAAACACATTGGTCTCTTTCTTTCCTTTTTTTAAAATTTTGAGACAGAGTTTTGCTCTTGTTGCCCAGGCTGGAGTGCAGTGGTGTGATCTCGGCTCACTGGAACCTCCACCTCCCGGGTTCAAGCGATTCTCCTGCCTCAGCCTCCTGAGTAGCTGGATTACAGGCGCCCGGCCACCACATCAGGCTAATTTTTGTATTTTTAATAGAGACGGGGTTTCACCACGTTGGCCAGGCTGGTCTCAAACTCCTGACCTCAGGTGATCCGCCCGCCTTGACCTCTCCAAGTGCTGGGATTACAGGCATGAGCCACTGCGCCCGGCTTACATTGGTCTCTTTCTTAGTTTAGAAGATCACCTTCCCTCAGCGGAAAGAGACATGAGCATGTTATGCTGTGACTGCTAGCAGAATTGATGGAGAAATTAATCTTTCTGACAGGGAAGGGAAGCCTTATAAAAAAGGCATATTTGGCTTGGGTCTGGGAGATGGAAAAGAAATTGACAAGCAGAGGAAGAAAAGACAAGCAATCTTACCACTGGGAGCTCTGAACACTACACAGAGTTGTGAAAGCACATCGTAGGTTAGAAAACAAACAGGATGTCAGAATTGGACAGAATAACACTAGTCTTCAGGTTACAGTGTGCATTACAATCATCTAGAATTCCTGTTAAGAATGCAGATATCTGGGCCGCATCCTGGATATTCTGATCCTGTAAGTCTTGATGGTGTCTGGGAATTTGCATCTTACTAAGCACACCTTATTATTCTGATGGTGTCAGGGGGTAGACTACATCTTAAAACATATTTTTTAGGTAAATGATTCTTGAAGTGTGGTCTCCAGACCAGTGTCACCATAATCATTACCTGGAAACTTTTTAGAAATGAAAATTCTCAGCTCAGCCTCAGGCCTGCAGAAACTCGAGGTGAGGCTGGGTTGTTTGTGTTTTAACAAGCCACTTAGCTGATTATAATGCATAATGAGCTTTGAGAATCATTGCTTTAAATTGTACAAATATTTTAGATCTTCATTGGCTAGGAAATCTCTTTTGACCAGTTCCCAGAAGTGAGCTAAACTTGATATTGCATACTTAATAGTAACTTTATGTGTGAAAACGTTTTGATGATATAGAAGCAGGAATAAAACTCAGAGAGACCCATTGAGTTTAAACCATTAATTATTGCTGGTATCTCTTAGATGGTCTGATTTTAGATTAAATACCTGACTTTACGGGATATAAATATGGACCAGGATCCAGTCTGAAGTAATATAAAAGATTGTCCCAAAATATATACTAAATTATAATTATCTGTCTGGAGACTTTGTGTGTTTTACAAAGATTTTAGCAAATTCAATTAGACAGATTTTTGGATTATACTGGAGTTTGTTGCAATATTTTTCTTTTTTAAAAAACTTTTAGGTTTGCAGGTACATGTGAGGGTTTGTTACATAGGTAAACTTGTGTCACGGGGGCTTGTTGTATAGCTTATTGCATCACCCAGGTATTAAGCCCAGTGCTCGATAATTATCTTTTCTGCTCCTCTCCCTCCTCCCACCTTCCACCTTCAAGTAGACCGCAGTGTCTGTTGTTTCCTTCTTTGTGTTCATGAGTTCTCATTACTCAGCTCCACTTATAAGTGGGAACATGCAGTATTTGGTTTTCTCTGTTGTGTTAGTTTGCTAAGGATAATACTCTCCAGCTCCATCCATGTTCTCGCAAAGGGTATAATCTCATTGCTTTTTATGACTGCAAAGTATTCCATGGTGTATATGTACCACATTTTCTTCATTCAATCTGTCATCGACGGGCATTTACGTTGAGACCATGTCTTTGCTGTTGTGAATAGTGCTGTAATGAACATTAGCATGCATGTGCCTTTATGGTAGAAAAATTTTCCTCTGGATATACACCTAGTAATGGCATTGCTGGGTTGAATGCTAGTTCTCCTTTTAACTCTTTAAGAAATTGCTACACTGCTTTGGTTGCACTTATTTGCACTCCCGCCAACAGCATGTAAGGGTTCCCTTTTCTCTGCAACCTCGCTAACATCTATTATTTTTTGACTTTTTAATAATAGTCATTCTGACTGTGGTTTTGATTTGCATTTCTCCAATGATCAGTGATATTGAGTTTTTTTTCACATGATTATTGGCCACATGTATGTCTTCTTTAAAAGTATCTGTTCAGGTTCTTTGCCCACTTTTTATTGGGGTTGTTTTTTTCTTGTAAATTTTTTTAAGTTTCTTATAGATGCGAATATTAGACCTTTGTCAGATGCATCGTTCAGTGATGGAAAAGCAGCTACTATGCAGTCAGAGATAGATGGAGGTTAAAAAAAATAAAGCAAGCTTCCTATAATCTGTAGCTCATAATGTTCTGGGAGAAATAGCTGCATGCCAAAGTAGCATTTTAAAAAAAAGACAAAGAAGAGTACAATTATTTAAATTATAACCCCTATATGTTAAATTTCAAAGTACATTTTTGCTAACCTCTAGGGTCAGTACATGCATAATCTTCTCTTAGTATTTTATGATATAAGTCCATGGTATTGACTGACATTAATCAAAAGGAAAAATTAGTTTATTCTGTTTTTGTATAGAACAGATATTTTTAATATGTTATTTCTCCCCAGAATAAACATAGAATCCTGTTAGAATATGTCTTGGAAATTATTATTATTGAAATTTCAGGTATGAACTTTTAGAGACAGGGCGATTTTCTTGGAGACAGAAGAGACATTGGATCTAGGCAGATCTGAATTCCCAGACTTGTGGCGGTTATTTTAACCCCTCTGGAACTCTGTTGCCTCTTCTTTGTACCTGTGAACTGTTGGTAATAAATCCTACAGTATGTTGTCATAAAATAATTACGCAATATGACGCTTTTGAAGAGCCTGGTATTTGGTTGGTGCTCAATGAATTTTAGTTTTATTTGACATACATTCTCTTCTATGGCTTATAATTTCCACATATTGGGCATTAACTGTTTGCTACTCCATTTCACAGAATATCTCTTTGAAGTTTAAGGAGTCAGCTTTAAAAAATAAAATTGTTACAGTAGACTGTTTTCTTATTGTTCAAACAGAACATGAATACTTGGTGTAGATCTACTGTATACCATGCATTCATACTAGTTCCAACAGACAGTTGGAGTGAGTGGTAAAATGTAGGATTCCAGACTACAGAATTAAAGCAAGAGAGATGGTTTGGATTGGCTGACATTTGCGGCAAGAATGGCTAGTATGAGTGAAAGAAGGAATACAAGGAAAGTGAAAAGATACAAGCCAAATTCTAATTAGGTTTCAGTGCTAGCATTGACTGGCTCTCTGAAGGTTTCTTAATATATACAAAATTCCTTCTTTCCTATTTTTATTTTTGTTCTATTTTGACTTTTTCACCATTACTTATAAAAAGTAAATTTTTGTGCACTTTTTAAGCATGAAGGCAATAGGGAAAAAATTAAGAATCTGCTTCATGTTTCATAGAAATTCTAGAAAACAACCTGCCAGACAGAAGTGCTTGCAGATAGTGTCTATTTATCAAAGCTGAGAACTAATGTGAAGAAGTGTCTCTCTATTGGCTTTGAGGACAGCAGTAGTTTTTCCACATTTATTAAATACAGAAATAGTTTATTGTATTGTGCTAACCACTGCTCTAGGTGCCGGTGTTGCAGAGATGAATAAAACAAAGTCAATATTACCGAGAAGCTCAGGGTCTCAGAAAAAAAAAAAGATATCTGGTTCCCACTATCTAAGAGCCTGTTCAGAGCAGAACAGTTTCCACTTGAACTGCAATACTTCATCACTTAACAGAGAGTGACTAAAGATACAATGGAAAGGTAGGTTGAGAAGAGGTTTAATTTTCTCCTTTCTAGGCTCTATTATCTAACATCATAACTGGATTCTATAAAATAAGATACTTTTCTTATTTTAAGAATACTAAGATAGGAGCAGAACAATATGCGTTCCTTCTTCCTTCTGTATGTTTTATGGATTTATAAAGGTACGTTAGCAATGCAATCTCTAAAAGAGTTATATTATGATGTTCTACGCATCATGTTACAAATAGGTGACATAAAATATCATATTGCTTTGTAAGATGCCATGATTAGTGGGACTATTTTAGTATTTGTGATAAGAAAACACTAATACAGAGTACTATTTTCATGTTTATGTATATTTTTTCTTTTGAAAATTTTTCTAAAATACATTTCTGGGAAATTTCTGAGAAGAGAGCATATCATGTGAAGTGAAGCATTTATTTGAGACTGGACTTCTTTTTACATGTATAGTTGTGCCTGCTGATCTTGAAAGGCAATAAATGCTTCTTAAGAACTTAAAAATCTGATCCATATTCCAGCAATTATTCTGATAAGTAACATAATTTGTATATCCCCAAGATATGTCCACAGCCAAAGTACATATTTTAAGAGATGAGATGACCATAAAAACTGACTTTCAGATTTTTATAGTTCTATTTATTGAGAGACTTCATTAGCAATAAATGTTGAATATAAGTTTTTCATATCACAATATTTATAGGACATTATTTGATCCTTTTGCCCTAAGCTTAATGATATGAATATTTTTCTACCTTTCATCCTGAAGGTCTTTTTTAAGGAGATGATTCTGTACAATTTAAAGAATGGAGTAATTTTAAAATGAAAAAAATAATAATTGTTCATACTTTTTAAGAATGTTGCAATGTGCTTATACTTATTCTAACTTTTTTGCATGCATTCATTCAGATAAATCTATTATTTTCATTTTCATCTTACAAATGAGGAAACTGAAGCTCAGAGAGAGGTATAAATTATTTGCCAAAAGCTGCACGGCTACAGATTTGACCTCAAGAGTGCAGAAACAGTGGCTATATCCTTAAACTCTAAGTTCTGTTGATTCTCTCGTTTCATCCTTGTAACACAAAGAATGACAAAGTAATCTGTTTAAACATTCTAATTGGTGACTATTTCTAGAATTGTATGTAAAATTATATCATTTCTCCCTTAGATTTCTGTATCATACCTAGTATTCCAGAGAAGATTGAAAGTAGTACTGAAATTTGCCCGCACACTGTTTAGTGTGTTTTAGAGCCTAGCATTGAGATAAATTACTTTTAGTGCACACAGAACAATGAAAATGAGTAAAAAACAAGGTCTACCATATTTACCTTTAAAAGACTATAATGATTTGAATAGAAAAAAAATAAAAGATTTTATTCCTTCATTACCTTCTACCTCCTTCTCCTCCTCCTCGTCCTCCTCCTCCTTCTTCTTCAAATAATTTCTTGCTGAATCTCATCCCTCTAGAAAAAATAGACATCATTCTTCTGAAGTGGCAATAAAAATAAAAAATTGGCCAGCTGTTGCACACCATCTTTGTTTCCTGCATACTTAGACCTGAATACTATGCAATTCTCCAGATAATTGTGAATGTTTGTTCTCATTAATTTTGTATAGTTTTTAGAACTAAAATAATAAAAGTCATGAATCAAGATGTGAGAAATATGAATAAACACATAAAAACAGAGTGTTCAGAGAAAACAGGATTTTAAAAGAGCCATTTTATTATCCTCTATTCATTGTGATCCAGTGTTATGGTGAAAACTCAAGGCAAGCTTTTTTCTGCACTCAACAGCTTATGGTTGCTGCTTAGCTAATTATATATTGCATTTCATTTACTGTATAGCTCTAATATTTAATGTAAAATTATCCATAGCCTCACAAATAAAAGTATCTTATCCAACTGTATACCAAAAGCCTCTATCTCAAAAGGATTATCATAAAGCATATTTGTTCAATCACATGGAATTTCTGAGACAACTTTATCCTCCTTTATCTCTAAGGTTCAGGAATATTAGAAAATAAAGGTGAAAAAAATTAAAGTTTTCTTAATATCACTATGTCACTCAGTTTGTCCTGCTATAACAAAATACTTGAGACTGGGTAATTTATGAACACCAGAAATGTATTTCTGAAGATTGAAAAATCCAAGATCAAGGTTTGGTGACTGGTGAAGGGCTGGTCTCTTTTTCAAAGATAGTGGCCTGCTCTTCCTCCTTGCATGTTGGAAGGTGGAATAGCAAAAGGGGACAAATGTTGTGTCTGCACATGGTAGAAGAGCAGAAGAGAGGGAAATTACTCACTCAAATGCTTTAATAAAGGTCCTAGTCCCATCTATGGGGACTTCATTACTTAATCACCTCCTAAAGACCCTGCTTCTTAAAACTATCACATTGGTGATTAAGTTTCAACATATAAACACTGGGGGACATATTCAGATCATAACATTCTGGCCCTTGCCTCTAAAATTCAAGTGCTGTAACTTAATTTTCAATATGATGGTATTAAGAAATGGGATCTTTAGGAGTTGATTAAGTCATGAAAGCAGAGCCCTCATGGATGCCATTAAGGCCCTTATAAAAGGGCTTGAGAGAGTGAGTTCATTCTCTTCTGCTCTTTCACTATGTGGGGACACAGGCTTTGGCCCTTTTGCCCTTTTACCTTCAGCCATGTGAGGATCCGGGCAAGATACCATTTTGGCCGCAAACCCAGGGCCATTACCAAACATCGAACCTGATGGCACCTTGATTGTGAGATCCTCAGCCTCCAGAATTGTGAGGAAATAAATTTCTGTTGCTTATAAATTACCGATTATCACAGCACAAACCCATTATGGCAGCACAAACAGACTAAGACCAAAATTTATACCAGAAACACGGGGTGCTGCTGTAACAATTACCTAAAAATATGTAAGTGGCTTTGGAACTGGGTAATGGGTAGAGGTTGGAAGAGATTGACAGTGCATGCTAGGAAAAGCCTAGACTACGATCAAGGAGCCTTCAGGGAAATTCTGGTGAGAACTCAGAAGAAGAGAGCTGTAAAGAGAGCATATGCCTTCTTATTGATAATCTAAGTTCTTGTGACCATAATGCTCTTAGAAATATGGACAGTAAAGCCCAGTCTGATGAAGTGTTAGAGAGGAATGAAAAATATCTTATTGGAGACTGAAGGAAAAGTCCTTGTTATAAAGTGACAAAGAATTTGGCTAACTCGAATCCGTGTCCTAGTACTTTGTGGAAGGCAAAATTTAAGAGAAATGAACTAGGCTGTCTGGCAGTAAAAAAATCTGTAAACAAAGTTTTCAGGGTGCTGCATGGCTTCTCTTAAATGCTTGTAGTAAATATTAGAAAAGAAATAAATGAAAGGAGACATTTATAATCAAAAAGGAAGAAGAATTGAAATATTTGGAAAGTTTTCAATCTGGTCAGGTTGTAAAAGTATATTTGAGATAAAACTCCAAGGGTGTGGCCAAGTGAGCATTTGATAAGGAAATTAAAGGAAATTAATATGGATAGAAGGAAGCTGGATGATAATCATCCAAAGAAAGAATGATCTTGAAGGCATTTTAAAGATTATTAGTGCTGCCCCTCCCATCACAGGCCCAGAGTGCCATTGTCAAAGAAAGGGCCCAGAACACTCCTGGGGCCCCAAAATTTGCTGTCCAGAGCAACCTCAAGTCTTTGCGTTCAACTTTCCATTGTAGCATTCCTCCACTGCCCCAGCTGTGACTCATGTGGGCCTAGTTGCAGCTCAGATTCCTTTCTGTAATTCACAAGTGGTCAATCTTGGTGGCATCCTTAGAGTACTATTTCTATAGGAATGCAGAGTGCAAGAGCTGTGGAGGAATGGCTATCTTTACCTATATTTCAAAGGATGCTCCAAAGAGCTCAGGCAGAGAACTGTCACAGAGGTGGGGCTGCCACAGAGAACCCCCACTAAGGTAATACTTAGTGGAGCCATAATGGCTGGGAACACCAAAGAGCGCACCCACTAGCATACAACCCAAGCCTGGGAAAGCCACAGGAACTAGGCTCCAATTTGTGAAATCTGCAGCATGGAATGCTCCTGGCAGTCATTGGGGTGTGGTCCTTTAGAGTTTGGAGGTCCACCTTCCACTCCAATGTTTCCGGAAGGTAGTACATGAAGTTGAAAGATAATTTTCAAGCTGCAAGGTTTAGTGTTGTTTGCCTTGTTGGGTTTTGGCCTTATGTGAGACCTCTTCCACCTTTCATCTTTCACATTTCTCCCTTTTGGAATGGGAGTATCTGTCCTATTTCTGTCCCACAATAGTATTTGGGAAGCACGTAGCTTGTCTGATTTTACACATTCACTACTGGAAAGTAAGTTGCCTTATATCTAATTTATATGAGGCTCTAGATTTTAGAATTTTGATTCGCTGCTGAGATGAATTAAGATTTTGGTGGCTGTTGGAATTAAATGAGTGTGTTTTACATGTGAGAAAGATGAGTTTTGGGGGCCAATGGTGAAATGCTGTGGTCTGAATGCCACCCAGAATTCAGGTGTTGAAACTTAATTCAGGTGGTATTAAGAGTTGGGACCTTTTGGGACATGATTAAGTCATGAGGGCTCTGCTTTGATGAGTGGATGAGTATCTCATGAAAGGGCTGCAGGGAAATAGCTTAGTCCCTTTTTGTTCATCTGCTCTTCAGTCATATGAGGACACAGCATTTGTCCCCTGTGCTCTTTCCATTCTTTCCACCAGGTGAAGACACCTAGACGGTGCCATCTATGAGAAAGGAGGCTTCATCTGACACTGATGAACCTGCCAGTGCTTTGATCTTGGACTTCTTAGCCTCCCAAGCTCTGAGAAACAAATTTCTGTTTTTTATGTTACATAGTTTCAGATATTTTGTTATAGCAGCACAAACAGGCTATGGCAACCACCATCTAAAAATAACTACTATTAATATTTATGCATGGCTTTCCAATGTTCTTCTGTGTTCATTTCATAGAATCTACCAATACTAGATAGACAGGCTATCTAATTTGTGGAATTCAGTGCAGAAAAAAAAGGCATGATTCTTTCTTCAGAAGTTATTAAGATTTTCAAGATGACGAAAACAGAGAGCATTAATCCTGGCTCTTCTAAGCAACTGCACAGGTCACATACCCATGAAAGCAGCCCTGGTTTGTTTAAATAATGAGCATGTGAATGTTGTGGGATTATTTAAAGAATCCAAAGGTCTCTTAAATGTATTGTGGAAAACGCAGGATGACATGAGTAAGGAAATGCTGCAAGTACTTTCTATTTCTACATATCCCATCTATAAGGAGAATGACATTCATATGGAGTTAAGAATCCATATGCACTTTATTGTTAGGAGAAAGAAAAGAAACATGTAGCTATCCCAGAAATGCATGCGGTGAAAAACAGATTTGAGAAATAAATAAAATGCTACTTGAATAAAATAGCCAAATAGTAGGTCAGAGATAATTTGACCTACTATTTCCTGATATATCCTGTTTCCTGATATAACCTGACTACAGGATATATCAGGAAATGTTTATTCTACTTTATTAAAATTAATTCCTATAAAAGGGTTGCAGCATAGAAGTTTCCAGGCAAATTGGTGATTGAATGCTTGCTAACACTTTCCTAAAATATATCCTTTGGCTATTTATCATTTTATACTTATAATTTCCTCTTTAATACGAGAGTACAGTACTGATGAATTTTGGGCTTCTTTTGCAAATTGGAGAAAAATAGGCTGATTTGAGATTACTAGTAATGCAGTTTTGCTTCTGCCCTTGAGAAACTTGGGATTTATGTTTCCTAAGATTTCTGTCACCGTCCTTGTAAGCAATCATCAAACCTTGAACAATAAATATAGACATATATTTGCAAGTGGTAGAAACAAAATTACAGGCATATTTATTCCTTGCATACTTCTGACAACAGCATAAATCACCACTACAATTACTTTGTGAATTTTGTTGGCTAATTGATATATAGTCAACTTCAGATTATTTGCAATAATGGAAAGAAGCAATAATATGAAGAATTCAGGGAAGTAGATGATATAAAAAGAATAATTTATGTAAGTTTTGCATCAAAATGTATTTGGTTGAATTTAGTATTAATTAACATGATATTATTAATATTATCTTTAATATTATTTCTGTAATATTGGTATAACTAAGACAGTATAATATTGTTAGCAATAGTTAATATTAACCACATGTAATTTATGTATAATATTAACTAATGATTAGATGACACTGTGATATTCACATTGTGTACTTTAACACACGTACCATCCTATGATAAACTTGATCATATTTATCACACTTGTCTGAGTTTCTCTCTACCCTGTGAGCTTCTTAAGCCATGGGGGTTATTACTTATCTTTTTTTAACCAAGATTAATAGTGCATTGATCTGAGCACAGCTACACCTCAATAAATGTTTGTTTCAGGAAAGAAAGAAAAAGGGAAGAAAGGAAAGAAAAAGAAATGATGGAAGGAAAGACAGAAAGAGGAAAGGGATAACCCTAAATTTAAAGATCATATGGGCAGGGCACGGCGGCTCATGCCTGTAACCCCAGCACTTTGGGAGGCCGAGGCAGGTGGATCACCTGAGGTCAGGAGTTTGAGACCAGCCTGACAAACATGGAAAAACCCCGTCTCTATTAAAAATGCAAAATTAGCTAGGCATGGTGGCACATGCCTGTAATCCCAGCTACTCGGGAGGCTGAGGGAGGAGAATCGCCTGAACCTGGAAGGCGGAGGTTGCAATGAGCGGAGATCGTGCCATTGCACTCCAGCCTGGGCAACAAGAGCAAAACTCTGCCTCAAAAAAATAAAATAAAATAAATAAAATAAAATAAAATAAAGATCATATGGCACTATTGGGAGAGCACATGTAAAGAAAAACTAGAGAAACACAGGTAATGATATATAATCAAATACTACAATATATTTTAATATGAAATGTCTCACATTATGTCACAAAAAGATATTAGAACTGTCCACATAAGTTTCTTGGAAGAGATTGGGTATGGATAGTGACTTGGATTGGTCTTAGGCTTTGTGTTAGATGTCCATGGAAAAAGTCAGGGTTGTAGAATTATATTCAAAGAGAGGAAGTTGGCTGAATAAAGGTTGGAGGTAAGAAGGGTGAGGTTGATGCAAAATATAATAAGTCTGAAGCAAAGGGTTCCGATGTTTTATTTTTTTTAACTTTTCTTTATTTTTATTATTATTAACACAGAAAAAAAGAGTTAGATTAAACACATTCCTTAATTTAGGGCTTACTATATTTGTTCTTACTTTTATCTCAATTGCCAGTCCACTCCATAGAGTGTTGCTTTTATATGTTTTAAATGTAAATCATGTTTTCTTTTCAATGAATCCCATTCTGTTCCCTACTCTTCTCACTCAACATCACTTTCCAAAATGCATTCATGTTGCAGTAAAGAAAGATCTTTCTATTTCCTCACTTCTAAAGGATCTCATATGTCATTTACATATGCCCGGCTTTAGTCAGTCACACCCTGAGGCCCAAGCAAGGGTCTTTATCATGCTTCACTATGGCCTTCTTCTGGTTGTGCCTCCCCACAGTGTAAGAGATCTAGGAGGGCTGCTACTGTCTGAATGTGTCCCCCAGAACTAATATGTGGAAACTTAATCTCCAATGTGATAGCACTAAGGGCTGAGGGCTTTGGAAGATGACTAAGTTATGAGAGTGGAGTGCTCATGGATAGAATAAGTCACATTATCTGAAAGGTTAAGGTGAGTGCCCCAGCCCCTTTTCCCTTACGGCTCTTACGGCCTGTGGGGACACTGCGTTCCTCTCCTCTGGAGGACACAGCACAAGGTGTCATCTTGGAAGTAGAGAGCAAGCCTTTACCAGACACCAAATCTGCCCTCACCTTGATCTTATACTTCCTAGTTTCCAGAACTGTAAGGAAAAATATATATGTTTGTAAATTACTCAGTTTGTAGTATTTTATTACAGCAGCAGGAATGGAGTAAGACAGGGCCAAAAGGACTTGCTTATCAAGAAAATACAAAAGTGCACACCACCACTCCCCTGGGGATTTTTAGAATATATTTCTGTTACCCAGGACCTTAAAGCTTTCTGCCCAGATGTCCTCAGGCTATTTGTCTTCCAGAGCTACACTGGCTTCATCCTCCAAAATCAAACCATGTCTCTGACATGCCCCTAGGCTGGATGGGTGTGCAGCTAATGCAGAGATTGAGAATGGAGTGTTAATGTTTGAGCTGAAGTTCCCACACACCTGCAGACTGAACTCTTCCAGTGTAGGATAGAGCAGGATAGGAATGCTGCAGGAGAAGGAGGAGATGAGGTGACAAGGAACAGAGGGTCAGTGGCAGAAATAGGCTCAGGTACTTGCCTCATTGGAGAAGGGCATTTGTATAGAAAATGTATATATGTGTGTGTATGTGTATATATACACACACAGAAGCATGAGTTTAATAAATTTACATGGTCCCCAGAAAATTCAACTCCTGGGGGTATATCCAGAAAAAAACTCTCATCTAAGTTACCAAGCAAATATTCATCTTGTAATTATCTATGGTAGAAATGAATTGGAGACAATCTATTATCTCTCATTAGAGTCAAATCAAGCCATTAAGTTAGGATTAGGTTTATTTGATCTTGTTAACTCATTATCTATTTATACCTATTCATCTGTCTGTCAATCAATCTGTTGATCTATCAGCTATCTTACATATGTGTTATATAAATTTTATAACTTTTGCTTTGAAAGCTTTATATGTTTATTTTTATTATTTTCTTTAAAATATATGGTCACAATAATGTAGTTCTAAATACTATTTAAAAATTTTCTCTTTTTATTTTTAGGATTATTTTTATAAATGAATAGACTTCATTTTTAGAACAGTTTTTGGCTTACAGAAAAATTGAGCAGAAATTACAGAGTTCCCATATATTCCCTCTTCTTCTGCCCTCAGTTTCCCCTATTATTAACTCTTGCATTGGTTTAGCACATTTATTAAAATTGATGAACTTATATTAATTCATTATCATTTGCTAAAGTCTATTATTTGCATTAGGGTTTGCTCTTTGTGCAGTTCTATGGGTTTTGCAAAATGCATAATGTTACATATCCACCATTACAATATCATCCACAGTAGTTTCTCAGTCCTGAGAATCCCTTCTGATTCTCCTATTTATCTTTATCCCTTCCATTCTCCCAACCCCTAGCAACCATTGATGGTTTTACTGTCTCAATAATTTTTTTATTTTCCAGATGTCATACCATTGCAATTATATGGTATGTAGCTATTTCAGACTGGGGCTTCTTTCACCTAGTAACATGCATTTAAGTCTCCTCCATTTATTTTGGTGGCTTGATAACACATTTTTTCTTATTGCTGAATAGTATTCCATTGTATGGTCATAACAATGTGTTTACAGTTCTCCAGAGTAATAAAACCAATATGATGTGTACATATATAGAAAGATATTTGTTATAAAGAATTGACCCCCACAATTGTTAATGCCAACAATTTGAAAATCTTCAGTGTGGGCTAACAGGCTTAAGACACAGGAGAGCGGAATCATGCAGTTTCAGTCCAAACGTCAGCATGCTAGGGACTCAGGAGAGCTGATGGTACATTTGAAGACCAAAGGTTTTCCTCCTGCTTGTGGAGGCTGGCTGATTGGATCTTCGGCTGACTGGATGAGGCACACCCACAGCATGAAGGCAAATCTGCTTTATTCTAAGTTCACCAGTTTAAATATTACTTTCATCAAAAAATGCCCTCCAAATTTACACATAAAATTAATCATCACAGAGAGATTTTCATACATTCACTTATTGAAAGACTTCTTGATTGCTTCCAAGTTTTGGTATTATGAATAATTATGGTATAAACCTTTGCCTGCAGGTTTTGTGTGGACATAAGTTTTCAACTCATTTGGGTAAATACCTAGAAGTATGATTTCTGGATCACGTGATAAGACAATGTTTATCTTTATAAGAAATCGGCAAACTGTCTTCCAGAGTGGCTGTAGCATATTCCATTTCCACCAGCAATAATAAGAAACCCTATTGCTTCACATCCTTCCCAGCAGCATTTGTTGTTGTCTCTGTTTTAGATTTTAGCCATTTTAATAGGTGTACTGGTATCTCATTGTTTTAATTTGTAATTCCTTAAAGACATATGCTATTAAACTTTTTTTAAATATGTTTACTTGTCATCTGTGCATCTCATTTGATGATGTGTTAGTTGATTTGGTGAAATTTGTGTTTTTTTATTGTTAACTTTTGAGAGTTTTGTACATAGTTAAATACAATGTGTGAAAGTCCTCAAATATACATGTATGTTGCAAATATTTTCTCCTGGTCTGTAGATTGTCTTTTCATTCTCTTAGCCTTGTCTTTCACTGAGCAGTTTTTAATTTTAATAAAATCTAACTTAACAATTTTGTCTTGTGCAGATTATGCTTTCTGTGTTGTTTCTAAAATGACATCACCAGACTCCAGGCCACCTAAATTTTTTCCTATAATGTTCAAAATCATTTATAGTTCTATGTTTTAGGTTTAGGTCTAAAATTGTACTCTAATGGTTTTTTTTTTGTAATTTCTAAATATGACAACAGCTTAATTTCTCTATTTACTTTTGACTTGTAATTTCAATGAATTAAGGTAAAAACATGTTTGATGTTTTATCTTTGGTGTGCTTCATTTGTTTGTGAAAATTAATTTTTATTTTGCATTCATTAGTTATGCAATTCTCTCTAGATATAAAATATGCACACGTGCACACTTATACACATATAGATGCTCTAATAATATGTAGTTATGCTGTTACACATAATGATATGAATATGTACTTACAAATAGTATTCTATGACTTTGTGTTTATTAATGAAATATTAAAGCATTGCGATATATGTGTTCACATCTCTTTGTTTGGATCTAAAAACTTCCGAGAATAATGTAAATGCGAACAAGGGAGAAGGCCATGAATTGCAGGTAGTGGAGGAGGATGCAGGATGGCAGTGGTAAGTAGAAGAGGGATGGGGGGTCTGCACACTCAGAGCCAGCCCTCCTTGTGCTACCACAATCTTGTAAGAAACTAAGAGAGTCAGACATGTCTAAATGTAAAGTCAGCACCACACCTTATATGAACAGGACTGGGGCAAGATTTTAGAGGTTATAAATCAAGGTAATAAACAATTAAATCAATGTATTCTACCTGTCTACTTTGGTTAAAAAAATCATAAAACCTTTATGACCACATTTAATTGTGTGATTTGTTAAGTGATACTCCTGAGTATTTTTTCAACATTCTTTTTTATTATTATTTTTATTATTATTATACTTCGTGAGTATTTTTAATACAATGTTTTCTTTCATATAGCTGTACCGGTGAATAGATTTATCTGTTTATTAGTGGACATTAGGTTATTGTAATCTCTGTTATGGTAAGACTATTGTAGCCTTTTTTCTAAAAATAGCTAAAAGTAGCCAAGGTTTCTGTTTTAGAATTTAAGCCATTGTATTATTTGTATTATTATTTGTATACTCACTGAAAAACTACAGATGCTTTCATGTGTCCTAGTAGGCCTTACAATTCACATGCATTGTTCTTGGAGAAGTGATGAGTAGAGATTCAATGTCACTGTAGAATGACAATGATTCTGGCAGTGGCAATTTAACTTAGTCATATATATCAGTCTATGAGGCAGTTGAATTTTTTGGAAGGGAGGTCTTATTCAGATATTCCAACTTTTCTCTGCTGTCAACAGTTACATTAATACTAGATACTCATGGGAATATCTCCCTTTTAACATCTTTTTTTGGGTCACATAATCACCATAATCAGACTACATCATGGTAATGACAGTGCTTGGCCTTTTCACGAGTCTTTTAGCTAAAAATCCTCAGGAGATATTGATTAATTAATCCTTTCCATCCTTCTTGTTTGCCAGCATTATCCATACCAAAAAGAGGCCTTGGCAGAAGGCACAGATATCAGCTATCTGAATATAAAACACATCAGGAAATCCTTTTCTCTGTCTTTACAATTTACCTCTACACCTTTATCTTTCAGTAATACAGTACAAAATGTATGTTTGTTGCAGGAAGTCAAGGACCCCGAATGGAAGAACTGGCTGAAGCCATGGCAGAAGAACATAAATTGTGAAGATTTTTATGGACATTTATTAGTTCCCCAAATTAATACTTTTAAAATTTCTTATGCTTGTCTTTACTGTAATCTCTGAACATAAATTGTGAAGATTTCATGGACATTTATCACTTCCCCAATCAATACTCTTGTGATTTCCTATGCCTGTCTTTAATCTCTTAATCCCATTGTCTTCGTAAGCCGAGGAGGATGTATGTCACCTCAGGACCCTGTGATGATTGCATTAACTGCACCAATTGTTTGTAGAGCATGTGTGTTTGAACAATATCAAATCTGGGCACCTTAAGAACAGGATAACAGCAATGTTCAGGGAACAAGGGAGATAACCTTAAAAGTCTGGCTGCCTGTGGGCTGGGCAGAACAGAGCCATATTTCTCTTCTTTTAAAAGCAAATAGGAGAAATATCACTGAATTCTTTTTCTCAGCAAGGAACATCCCTGAAAAAGAGACTGCATCCCTAAGGGGAGGCCTCTAAAATGGCCACTTTGGGGTTGGCTGTCTTTTATGGTCATGGCTGTAGGGATGAAATAAGCCCCAGTCTCCTGCAGCGCTCCCAGGATTATTAGGATGAGGAAATTCCCGCCTAATAAATTTTGATCAGACCGGTTGTCTGCTCTCAAACCCTGTCTCCTGATAAGATGTTATCAATGACAATGCGTGCCCGAAACTTCATTAGTAATTGTAATTTCGCCCCGGTCCTGTGGTCCTGTGACCTCACCCTGCCTCCACTTGCCTTGTGATATCTTATTACCTTGTGAAGCATGTGATCTCTGTGACCCACACCCTATTCGTACACTCCCTCCCCTTTTGAAGATCACTAATAAAAACTTGCTGGTTTTGCAGCTTGGGGGTCATCATGGAACCTGCCGACATGTGATGTCTCCCCCGGACACCCAGCTTTAAAATTTCTCCTTTCATACTCTTTCCATTTATTTCTCAGACCGGCTGAGAAAAGAACCTACGTTCTTTTTAATAATTTTTAATATCTTTGTTTATTTTTGGTTCAAAATGGTATATCCTTAATAGCCTCCAGTTTGAATTGTCACATTAAAAACAAACTCATAATAATAACATTATAACAAAACAAAATAAAAACTCCTAACACCAAAACACAACCTAATATCAGTAGCTAAAAAAAAAAAAAATTAATTACAATTTAGGTAGATATATAGAAAGTAAGAATCACTGGTGCCTAGCACATGACATAAACTTGTTTTGCTTCTGAAAAAAACATTATTAAGACAAAAATAACAAAATGATAATGTGTGCATTCTCTGCCACACTGGGCTCCAATATAAAAGTCTGTACCACATAGAAAGTTGAAGAAATATTGATTTCTATACATTAATTTCCTTTCCGTGAGACTAGAGGAGTGCAATGTCCAGTACCCATATTTAGCTAACTTATGTGCATCTAGTCAGAAACCTCAAATTACAGAAGACAACTGGAAAGACATATGATTGCAAGGTGATACTAGGAAAAACTGCTAGAAATAAGATTTGGAGTAGAAGTGCTACATATTAAATCTACACATATACCTTAGTACACACACACACATACACACACATACATTAAAAAAGGACAGAGAATCTGTTGACTCACTCTTAATTTACTGAATCACAATCCAGACAGATGCTATGGTCTGAATGTTTGTACCGATGTACACACCATACTAATTGTGATGTGAAAATTCTAAGCCCCAAGGTGATAGTTTTAGGAAGTATGGCTTTGGGAGGTAATTAGGTCATAAAGGTAGAGCCTTCCTGAATGGGAATAGTGTCCATATTAAAAAGTCCCTAGAGAATTTCTTAATGTCCGTTCTGCCATGTCAGGTTACGAGAAGAAGGTTGGCTGTCCAGGAACAAGAAAGTAGTCTCTCACCAGATGGTGAATCTGCCAGTGCCTTGATCCTGGACTCCCCACAGCCTCCAGAAGTAAGTTTCTGTTCTTTATAAGCCACCGAGTTTTTTGGTTTTGTTTTTGTTTGTTTGTTTGTTTTGAGGTGATAACAACATGAACAGACTAAGACAAAAGATTTGTATAATTATAGCGTAAGCAAATGTAAACATGTCAATGTAGAACCTATGAATGACATCTGTGTGGACACACATCTACACACATAAAGAAATGCATACAGAAAAACACCTCCATTCACAATAAAATTAAAAATTCAGACTGAAAATTACCTTGAATACTTTAAAATTTAAAAAAATTGTTTTAAATTTAAAAATTAAAATAAACACTATTAAGATATAAAATAAGCTAATACGATTTCTAAAACATCTCAGAGGTGGGGCGACCAACATGGCCAACTAGAAGCAGCTAATGTGTGTGGCTTTTATGGAGTGGAACAGATGGGGCAAGTGAATACAGCACCTTCAACTGAAACATCCAAGTACTCACATTGGGACTAGTCAAGGAAACAATTGAATCCACAAAGAATGAAGAAAAGCAAGGCAAGACAATGGCCCACCTGTGAGCGAAATAGAGCCAAGGGAAGCTCCCCAACCCAGAGAGGCAGTGAGTGAAAGTGCTAGCCTGGGAACCCAAGCTTCTCCCATGGATATTTGCAATCCTCATAGCTCTGTGTGTCATACTGAATCCCCTGGTGTAGTGGGTCAGGAGATCCCCTCATCAACCCACTCCTCCAGGGCCTTCAGGATGACAGAGAGAGCTACATGGAGTCTCACCAAAACAGCTGCCCAGAAACATGTGGGGACGCAGGAGCTTTGAATACTCCAGCTTCCCAGGCATACCAGCAAAAGTAGTTGCAACTCCAGCAAAGCAAGAGGTTAGGCCCCTGTACATACCCCTGGGAAAGAGGCTGAATCCAGGGGGCCAACCAATGATGCCTCATAGGATAGGACCCACTGGCATGGAATTTCAGGCAGCAACAAATAGCAGTGCTGCACCTTCCTGGGATGGAGCTCCCAAGGGGAGGGGTGGGTCACCATCTCTGCTGTTTGGGCAACTTAACCATTTAGGCCTTCAGGTTCTGGAGAATCCACACCAACCAAGGGTGAAAGGGATCCCCCAGCACAGCACAGCTGCTCTAACAAAATGTGCCCAGACTGCTTCTCTAAGTGGATCCCAAATTCCATTCCTCCTCACTGGGTGGGACCTAACTAAGGCTTCCAGTCACCACTGCCAGTGTTCTCAGGCTGACAGACATTTGAAAACTCCCTAGGACAGAGGTGCCAGGGGGAGAGTCAGGCCGCTATCTTTGCTGTTTTGGTAACTTAGTCTTTCTAGACTTTAGGCTTTGGAGAGCCCAAGTCCACGGGGGTTGGGGCAGTATCTCAGAACAGCAGAGCTACCCTACAAAAATGTGACCAGAGTGCTTTTGTAAGAAGGTCCCTGAACCTGTTCCTCATTACCAGGGGGAAGTCTCCCAACCAGGGTCTCTGGCTACCTGCACTGGTGTTCTCTGGCTGACAGAGCTTTCAGGCCTTCTTAGGACAGAGCTCCCAGGTAGAGGGGCAGGCCACCATCTTTGCTGTTTGGACAACTTAGCCATTCCAACCTTTGGGCTTCAGAATGTCCAAGGGGACCAAGGACAGAAGCAGACCCCAGTACAGCACAGTTGCTCTACAAACACTTGACCAGACTGCTTTTGTAAGTGGGTCCCCAACCCTGTTTCTCCTGACTGGGTGAGACCTCCAACCGGGGTCTTCAGTCACCTCATACAGGTGCATCCAGATTGGCAACAGGACCCTTCCTCACTGAAGCTACCAGAGGAAGGGGCAGGCTGCCATCTTTGCTGCTTCACAGGCTTCACTGTTGATACCTCCAAGTACTGGGAAATCCAAGGCAACTAGTGACTGGAATGGGCCCCAAGCTTACCACAGCAGCCCTATGGAAAAGTGGCCAGAGTGTTATGTGGATTCCCATTCCCATATATCCTCAAGAAGCAGGTCCTCCAGGCCTGAGCTTCTAGGGACCCCCTGCCAGAGCTATCAAGCCTGTACCAACTCAGGAACTACCTGGACAGAGCCTCCAGGAACAACTGAAAGCCTCTCTGTCACTGTCTCTGCAGTAGAACCATCCTTACTACCCTCAGACTAACAAAAGAGTAAAGACCCTAAGTGCCTTATCTACACCTCCAATAAGATGCAGTCAACCCAAGGAGAGGAGGCCAGTGTGTTTCCCAAGGGTCTCACACATTCTCCACTGTTCATCACTAGATGGGAAACCCCTAGCTTGGGCCCACAACACAGACCCTCCATACTGGGCTGATTGCACTGAGTGACTGTTTACTCACATTTATCTGGGGTGGAGCCCCCAGGAGACAAGCAAAGTGGTGGAACAGCAAGCCAGCTGGTATGAAGCCCAGAAGGTTTGGTGCAGAAGCATCTGTAGTGGAGCATGGCCAGAGAGGACCACTGCTCCAGGCTCAACTTGCTCCTATAAGAGCCTATAAGAGACTTTACCTTGGTTCCCCCCAGCACAGTAAACTCCAAACCTCAAGGAACCAGAGAATAAAGTCAAGGCCCAATACAAGTCCCCAGAGTTAGAAAAAACAGTCCAGGAGTTAGGAGCTGAATGTTAGCCGCATAAAATCTTCCAGAAATGAAGCCAGTGGCTGAATCCACCTTATGCCACAATCAAACCTTCAAGGTAATTAAATACTATTAAAAACAACACAAAACAACAACAACAAAAAATCCAAAGGTTAGCAACCTCAAAGATTGAAAGTACATAAACCCACAAAGATGAGAAAACAAATGTATGTGCAAGAATGCTGAAAACTCAAAAGCCAGAGTTCCTTCTTTCCTCTAAATGACTGCATCACCTCTCCTGCAAGGGTTTGGAACTGAACTGAAGCTGAGATGGCTGAAATGACAGCAGTAGTCATCATTCCTATGGATAATAACAAAGTTCACTGAGTTACAGGAGTACGTTGTAACCCAATGCAAGGAAGCTAAAGACCATGATAAAACATTGCAGGAGCTGACAGTCAAAACAGCCGCTGTAGGCAAGAATGTAACCAACCTGATAGAACTGAAAAACACAAGACAAGTATTTCATGATGCAATCACAAGTATTAATAACAGAATAGACCAAACAGAGGAAACAATCTCAGATCTCGAAGACTGCCTTTCTGACAGTCAGACAAGAAAAGAGAAAAAAGAATGAAAGGAGTGAATAAACAATACCTCTGAGAAATATGGGATCATGTTAAAAGACTGAATCTATGATCAATTGGTGTACCTACAAGAGATGGGGAAAATGGAACCAACTTGGAAAACTTATTTCAGGATATCATTCATGAGAACTTCCCCAACCTAGCTACAGAGGTCAACATTCAAATTTAGGAAATGCAGAGACCCCCAATAGGATATTCCATGAGAAGACCATCCCAAAGATACACAGTCCTCAGATTTTCCAAGGTTGACATGAAAGAAAGAATGTTAAATGCTGCTAGAAAGGCCAGGTCACCTACAAAGCCCATCAGACTAACAGCAGACCTCTCAGCTGAAACCCTACAAGCCAGAAGAGATTGGGGACCAATATTCAACATCCTCGAAGAAAAGAAATTCCAACGCAGAATTTCATATCTTGCCATCAAAGCTTTATAAGCAAAGGAGAAATAAGATTTTTTTAGACAAGCAAATGCTGTGAGAATTTGTTACCACCAAATGTGCCTTAGAACAGCTACTGAATGAAGGGCTAAATATGGAATTGAGAGACTGTTACCAGCAACTACAAAAACAGACTGAAGTACACAGACTGGTGACACTATAAAGCAACAACATAAACAAGTCTGCCAAATAACCAGCTAACATCATGATAATAGGATCAAATCCACAATAATAACCTTAAATGTATATGGTCTAAATGCCAAATTAAAAGACATAGAGTGGAAAACTGGCTAAAGAAACAAGACCCATTGGTATGCTGTCTTCAAAAGACCCATCTCACATGCAATGACACACATAGACTCAAAATGAAGGGATGGAGAAAAAACTACCAAGTAAATGGAAAACAAAAGTAAACAGGGGCTACAATCCTAACTTCAGACAAAACAGACATTAAACCAGTAAAGATCAAAAAAGACTAAGAAGAGCATTACCTAGTGGTAAACAGTTCACTTCGATAAGAAAATCGAACTATACTAAATATATATGCACTGAAACACAGGAGCACCCAGATTCATACAGCAAGTTCTTAGATACCTTCAGAGAGACTTAGACTCCCACACAGTAATAGTGGGAGACTTTAATACCCCACTGACAATATTAAACAAATCACTGAGACAAAATTAACATTTAGGATCTGAACTCAGTACTGAATCAAATGGACTTGATATATATACACAGAAGTCTCCACACAAATACAACAGAATATACATTCTTCTCATTGCCACGTGGCACATACTCTAAAACCAACCACATAATTGGAAGTAACACTCTTTGATTTAAGACAGAAATCAAGAAGTTCTTTGAAACTAATGAGCATGAAGATACAACATACCAAAATAACTGAGACACAGCTAAGGCAGTGTTAAGAGGGAAATTTATAGCACTAAATGCCTACATCAGAAAAGGTAGAAAGATCTCAAGTTAAGAACCTAAGATCATGACTGAAAGAACTAGAGAATAAAGAGCAATTTCCAAAGCTAGCAGAAGACAAGAAATAACCAAAATCAGAGCCAAACTGATAGTGATAGAGACATGAAAAACCACCAAAAGGTCAACAAATCAAGGAACTGTTTTCTGAAAAAAATTAATAAAATAGACTGTTAACTACACTAATAAAGAAGAAAAGAGAATATTCAAATAAACACAATCAGAAATAAGAAGGATATTACCACTAATCCGTCAGAAATAAAAACAACCGTCAGAAAATATTATGAATACCTCTATGCACATAAACTAGAAAATCTGGAAGAAATGCATAAATTCCTGGACACAGACACCTTGCCAAGACTGAACCAGGAAAAAATTGGATCACTGAACAGACCAATAATGAGCTCTGAAATTGAGGCAGTTATAAATTAGCCTATCAACCAAAAAAGCTCAGGACCAGTTGAATTCATAGCTGAATTCTACTAGTTGTAAGAAGAAGAGCTGATACCATTCCTAGTAAAACTATCCCAAAAATTTGAGGAGTAGGGACTCCTCCCTAACTCATTCTATGAGACCTGCATCATCCTGAAACCAAAACGTTGTAGAGATACAACAAAAAAAGAAAACTTCAGGTCAATATCATTGATGAACCTTGATGCAAAAATCCTCAATGAAATACTGGCAAACCAAATCCAGCATCACATTAAAATGCTTATTCACCACAATCAAGTAGACTTTATCCCTCAGATGCAAGGTTGAGTCAACATACACAAATTAATCAATGTGATTCATCACATAAAGAGAACTAAAAACAAAAACCACATGCTTACCTCAAGAGATACAGAAAAAGCTTTTGATAAAATTCAACATCTATTCATGTTAAAAACTCTCAGTAAACTAGGTATTGAAAAAACATACCTCAAAATAATGACAGCCATATATGACAAACCCATAGGCAATGTTATACTGAATGGGCACAAGCTGGAAACATTCCTCTTGAAAACCAGCACAAAACACACCACTCTTATTCAATTTAGTATTGGAAATTCTTGCCAGGGAAATCAGGCAAGGGAAAGAAATAAAGGGCATCCAAATAGGAAGAGACAAAGTCAAACTATTCCTGTCTGCAGATGACAAGATCCTTTATCTAGAAAACTGCATAGTCTCAGTCCAAAACCTTAAGCCGATAAACAACTTCAGCAAAGTCCCAGGATACAAAATCAATGTGCAAAAATCGCTAGCATTCCTATATACCAACAAGAGTCAAGCTAAGACCCAAATCAGGAATGAACTCCCATTCACAACTGCCACAACAATAATAAAATACCTAGAAACTATCACAGAAACAGAAAACCAAATACCTCATGTTCTCACTTGTAAGTGGGAGCTAAGTGATGAGAACCCAAGGACACATACAGAGGAACAACAGACACTGGGGCCTATTGGGGGGTGGAGAGGGTGGGAGGAGGTAGAGGATCAGAAAAAATAACTAATGGATACTAGGCTTAAGACCTGGATCAATAAATAATCTGTGCAACAAATCCCCATGACATATGTTTATCTGTGTAGCAAATCTGCACATCCTACACATGTATCTCTGAACTTAAAAGTTAAAAAGGGAAAACATCTCAGAAAATAAAAGGCATGAAAATAAAATCCACACAAAAATAGGGAGAAAATAAAATAAAAGAATGCGTTAAAAAGGAAAAAAAAAGATGATTTTCATAATAACAATCAACATGCATTTGCCTATTTAAAATCAATATAGGGTTGGGCACAGTGGCTCACATCTGTAATTCCAACTTTGGAAGGCTGAGACGGACAGATCACCTGAGGTCAGGAGTTCAAAACCAACCTGGCCAACATGGTGAAACCCTGTCTCTACTAAAAACACAAAATATTAGCCATGCTAGGTGGCGCACCTATAGTTTCAGCTACTCGAGCTGAGACAGATGTATCGCTTGAGCCTGGGAGGCGGAGGTTGCAGTGAGCCGAGATTGTGCCACTGCACTCCAGCCTATGTGACACAGCTAGACTCTGTCTCAAAAATAAAATAAAATAAAATAATAAAGGTAAAAATATAAAATCAATATAAATTTGCCTATAAAAAGCAAAGCTTTGAAGATTATGATGAAAACTTAAATAAACTTAAGCAGTCAAATAATATAAATTGGTTGTATAATTCTTATACATAAAACATATTTGGATGCAAGAATTAAAAAGATAAATGTAAAATACAAAGCTAATGCTCTTAGATTTCAGAAGTCTATGAAAAAGCTACAAAAGCTTTTAAAGGAAGGTAAAAAACTTTGGATGTCAAAAGCAAATGTTTGCAAATCTTCACTTTATTGGACAAGAATTAATATTATACAATTTTCATCATTTCTGTATGTTATTTAATACTTTCATGAAAAAGAATTTATTAGCAGTTAATCCTATGGATATCTTTTTGTGTGTGAGGTGGGGTCAAATTTCATCCCATGTGTCCCATTATCTATGCCAGGGAATTTGGGGAAGTAATGAGATTCTACTAACCTGAAAGGTAGATAAGATATCTGATACCATCTTTTGTGTATGATTGGTATATAAAGCAAACAACACAAATGTTCAAAAAAAAAGCAGGTAACAGTATATCAGACAAATACATATATGAAATGCAGTAGTCAAAACAAAAACATGGCTAAGAATTTAAGACAAAAATATTAGTATTATAATTATCATTATTTGTAAAATCCATTACTAAATATCAAGCAGTACTTACTGAATAAGTAGTAATAACATTTGGAAACCACCAAGACAAATATCTTCTATTCTTGTAATAAATATACACATATATTTATAAGAGAAGAACAAATTGACCAATCAACTGACATAGAAATACTTTTATATTAATGGGAAAAATACTACACATACTATATAATATTTACAGTACTAATTTTGGTTTGGGGATGAATATTATTTTTCTTAGAAAATACACATTTCTAGAATTATAAACAAAACAAAACTGTTAAAGAACTAACTCCTAAATATGCTTCCTTCTAAAAATTATATCTGACACCACAAGACCAGTGGCTATGAGAAGGTTCTAAGAAAGTTTTCTGACTACTCATTAGTTCGCATGTATTCACCAGCATCTGAATTACAAGTTATTTTTTAAAAGTACTTTAGCGTTTTACACTTTCTTAGCTCATACAGTTGTCATAAGGAAACATTCAAATTTTACTTAAAAGATATGATTTTACTACAGGGCATGAATTTCAGTGAATCAATTTTCCTTATTAAAGACCATTTCTATAACTAATATATTCCTGTAACATTATTTTTTCCATAATATTATGAACAATGATTTATGTGCATATATTTTCTAGATGTCTTGTAGCTAAATCAGAAACTTATAAATCTTATCCTTGGAGATACTATGTTGACATGTAATTCTCAAAGAGATTCTCTTCCGTATGTCTCCTTTCTTCAACTGTGAAACTATGTCATATGGGCTATTTTCTTCACTTGAAAATAAAAAATGATATATTTCAATTTTTTTTAGTTTCAGAAAAAAACACACAAAATAGTAAAAGAAAATTTTCTTAAACAAAGATCTCAGCATTCCATGACGGTTAGTCTCTCAGTGAGTCTAAAAACATCTGGTACTCACATTTTTAATTTTTAGCTAGAAAAAACTATGACAATTGGGCAGATAACAATTGGAAAACAACTCTCCAGGTAATTTCTACACCTTTATATGAAAATCATCTTCATGATTTCAAAAACTAGATACAAAGTTTCATCTCTAGAAAACTACTAGTAAATTATATTGCACTGTTACTACTTGAAAATTTGATGATAATCTTAGAAATGCAAGCTTTGCAGTGATAGTAATGCTAGCTTTGCAGCTGTAGAGCAAAACTCCTCTGGACCTTAAAGCACTTTACAATGGTTCCTTAAGGACAGATTATCTTTAAAGCTACAAAAGCTTTTAAAGAAAGGTAAGAAACTTTGGATGTCATTAAATATCTTAGTCTAATCCTAAAGTGTATGAGAGTGTTTAGTAAAAAAAAAAAGTCCTTTAAAAATTTATTAAATAAAAATATTTAAAAATAAGCAGAGCTCTAAATTATCTCCCTCAGTGAATTTTCAGCTGGGTTCTGAATATCATAAAGGAAAGTGGTTTTTCAATGTTCTCCTATTTAATATCAAATATTAAAGGAAAGAAAAATAATTCACCATAGAAAATATATTTCTATGTACATAATAAAAATGTGCACTTCTATGTACATAATATATTTCTTTCTATGGAAGATAAATTTTTTTGATGCTTATATTAATTTTATTAAAATGCAAACTTGCTTTTATATATAGGTACACACACATGCACACACACACTTTTTTAAATTTGCATATAAAAGTTCTTAGAAAACAGAATTAGATGGAGAGAAAGGATGTGAAAAAAATGGTTTCTAACTACCTCAGGTTCATATTTAATATATTGAATATAGGATATAATTTATTATATACATACTAATGTGTGTACACACACAATATAGTCAAATGTAATAATTTTTAACCTCAGTGAAAAGGGATGGGGGTCTTTGAGGGTGTAGCTGGCAAGATACTAAATCTATCTTCAATTTTAGCTGTGGCAATATTATTCTATCAGATGAAGTTCACATAGTGTGTGCTTTCAGTTATGACTTTTAACACCATTCGGTGGTGGAAATAATTTTGATTATAAATTATTTCAAATATCTACTCATAGAAATTTATTTTAAAGCCCCAAATCATCATCATCAGGACCGTGGTTTCTACCCTGAAAAGAGGTGCAGAACCATAGCAAGAAAGCATAATGTGTTCTAACGCAGGTAAGAGAGGGAAAAAAAAAGATTAAAGAAGCTCATGATTTAGAGCAAAATTTAAGAAGGGGGAATTTTGGACCCTTTTGGACCCTTAACCAAGAGTCATCTTGGTAGTTCAGACTTTATCTTTTAAACTTGTTCTCTAAAGAAGAAAAGAGTAAAAAGAATTCTGATTTTCCTTTTTTAATACTGTGACCAAAACCTAACCAGGAACTTTCAAGCTGTTTCCTTTTTCTATGTCGTTTATTTAAATCCCTAGGATTTATTTTTCTGCCTTGCAAGTACATTCGCCTCGACTCCTTTGCATTCCGTCATTGTCAAGCTGATCCATTTTTTTCTTTGTAGTCAAAACAAAAAAAAAAATCTTATAAATATTTGTCAGTTCTAATGACTACTTTTTAACGCAACCAGCTTCAAAAAACACCCATTTTTTTCAGGGATTGGTAGAAACCCTTTGCATTAGTAATATGAAACTTCAAACATAAACAGCATCTTTCATTTGGTTTTCCAATTCTCCATTACAGTCATGTTGTGTACAAGCCACTGTATGATATTCAAAATGGTCTTACTTCTAAAGAACAGCCTTGAAGACATATGTCCTGAATGATATGCATATTAACATAACATTAAAAGATTGTATGCTGGTGACTGTGGATTAACTCTGTATTGTGCTACCCACACTGTGACTGTTTATTACCAATCAAAATCCTGTGAATACGGTTGAGAGCAATGTCAAAGCCAGAACTGAGTCAGTAAGAGTGTTTGAAATATAAACAAACACCTTCAGAGAGAATTAAAAGAATGATGTTGAATATTTATTTTAGAGACGGTGTTCAAAATGGAGGAACTATATATTTAAATCGACATCACTATGTATCTGAATTTATGGATGAGCACAGTTTTTTTTTTTTTTTTTTTTTTTTAAGGCGAACCTGATAATCTTGATAGGTCCATGGGGTCAGTGTAGTTTATGGATCAAGTTATTGTCTTGGAAATTTAATGGCGTATAAGACCTTTCATGTGACTGCCTATGCAAAAGTCTGGCTGTGTGGATTGCAGCTCAACATTTAAAGGACTTTGAGATACATTTTTATTCAATCAGTACTCTGGTTGGGATAGGTTAATACCATGCCCAGAGGTATAGTAGTCACATAAAAGTAGTTTGTTTATATACAGTTGTTAAATCAGGCTTTTAGCGTTTATTGTGTAACTACTGTGCCCAGAGTGCTTTTAGGTGTGTGTGAGGGGGTGGGGGAGACAGGAGGTAGGATGGCATGACAGAGCATTTACATTGAAGAATTTAACATCTGATTGAGTACATAACGTGTAAATATTTGAAGTGATTTCAGGACATTCACCAAGAAAAAAGTCTATACAGTATGCTTTATATAAAACTTACAAGATTTGTTAGAAAAGAACAAAAAGTGAAGGAATGACTAGAAATTTTAACTGGACTGATTATTGTGATGGATATGCATATTCAACTGGACAGATTCATTAAAAGAAAACTTTTACTATTTGTTTAACTGATTAAGTAGCAAGTTGCACTGTGAAGAATGTCTCAAACTACATAAATGTTAATGAATTAATGCAGATTATCACACAGAACAGCACTTCTGAGTTGAAGTTCTGAAATGTGATTACAGGTATAAAACACTATATAGTTATAAAACACTATAGTTGATATTAAATATATATTTTTAAAATTAGATTATCTTTTCCTCTCCTCTTTGTAGATGAGTCAGGTATTTCCTTTTTTTTTTTTTTTTTTGCTCTTCTTAACATAGACTAAGCAGGTAGATGCTAAACAAATTTATTTTTGTGATTGCTGTTTGTAACTGATCCTCAAATGCATTAGCCTTGCTAGGTTAGGAAAATACTACAATCTAGGGGAACAATCGACTTTGTTTTTTATAATTATTTTTAATAGATAAAGGCATTGTAAATATCAGAGCAAATGAATGATTTATTCTGTTAAATATGCTTCATAAAGAAATAAAGTGTTTCCCTGAGTCTCCATCTACTCGCAGGTGCCATTCAATAGGAAGCACCTGCTCATTCTTGCTGCCTGATCTTCCTATATTTATGTTTTTGGTCTATACACACAAACTTTTTGTCTCATATAACCTCTTGAAAGCCAAAAGATAATTAATGACTTAGGTGTCAAATGTCTTTCATGAAAGTGGAGATTTAAAAAGCAATCTATGATTTTTTTTTGCCTCTTTCATATTCTGCTTGACCATTCATTTTCTGCAGAAAGAGACAATTTTTGACTGTGTAGAAAAGTGTCATTCTCCAAGCACCATCATAAAAGAAACAGGGATGAGAAGACAAAGCAAACATCATGATTAGTGTTCAGGAAGTAGGAATTAGAAAATGTGACTAAAATGTTAATAATAACACTCTCTATATTAGCCATGAATAGAAACTACTCAAATGAATAGAAAATACTCAAATGTCCATCAACAATAAAATTGATATTTTATTGTATAAAACTGATAGATCGTGGACATTTCCTCAAATGCAGCATTATACAGAACAACACACACAAGATACATAAATTGAACAAACAATATTTCACCAAAAAACAGGCACAAAGCATGATATATTGTATAACAGACAATATATTTTGGAAGGAAAGAGCAATAATAATCATCCCTAGGATTTTATGTGGACCAGAAGAAAGAAAGGGAATATTCCATCATGCTGGTTATACTCTGCTTCTTGAACTGGGTTCTAGTTACACGGATGTTTTCCACTTGTAAAAACGTATTGAGCTATACTTAGGATATGTGTACTTCTGTATTCATATTATTCCTCAATTAGACAAATAGTTAAAGAGAGAAATAAATATGTCAACGCAAAAAGTGAAAGTACAGCAAGGTGCTTCCTCCTATTGCCAAGTGAATGATTTTCTGTTGAAAAAAATAAAAGTGAAATTTACTGGATGCTTCCCTTTACAGATCAAATGATAAGTAATTCATCAAACCAAATGCTCTATTTCAGATATATATTACTTTACTTGTAAATATTTTTTCTTTTAGTTTTTATGGTATTTTATATTTGACATTTGCCACTGAAAGTACACACACACACACACACAAAACAAACATAAAACAGATCTTTAATTCTTTTTGTAGTAGTTTCTAGCTACTATTATTTAAAAGATAAAACACATCTTTAATTTACAGTACTAGTCAATTGATATCAGTTTATCAATTGCTTATTTCTCACCAAAAGAAAAATAGAATAGGGTTCCTGTCTTTATGAAAAAAGTTAACATGCACAAAAAATTCATATTATGTGCTATTTTTAAACTTGATCATTATCTGAAAATGTTGAGTAATGGACAAAATGTACACATTGGACCATATGCAGCTGGATCAGCAAGTGTCTGGACCTTGTAGGATAAGTAGAAATTTGTAGGTGAAAATTGTGAAGATAATTGTAGATTTGCATTCAGTTTTAAGACAAAATACAAAGAGGCTGTGTGCACTTTTAACCTCATTTCTATAAAGGCAAAATTTTACGAGTTTATAGACCAATATTACAAGATATAGATATTGATACAATACGCTGATTCATATTTTCTAGTTCTACTTATGTGTATCTGTGAAGTTCTATGCAATTTTATCACCTATATAGGCTCTTATATTCCCTACTACAGCCAAAGTATTGTACAGTTCCAACATCACAAGGGTGCATACCTTGTTTTCCCTCTTTATAACCACACTCAACTCCCTCAACTCCTTCCCTTGGCTCTTCCTACTCCTTCCTCCACCTGATCTCTAACCCCTGTCAGCCGCTAACCTGTCTTTCATTTCTAAAATTTTGTCACAAGAAAAATGTTATGTAATTGGATCTAACAGTGTGAAACCTTGTGACATTTTTCACTTAGTGTAACTCCCTGATAATTCATCCAATCATTACATGTATCAATAGTTTGCTCCCTTTTATTGCTGAGTAGTATTACATAGTATGGATCTAGCACAGTTTGTTTGACCACTCTTCCGCTGAAGGATCTTTGGGCTCATTTCAGTGTTTCAATCAGCCTAGGTTCAACATATAAGTAAAACTGCTAAGAATATTCATGTTCATAGATCTGGTTCAGAAAGAGCAAATGTAGGAGATACAGGTGAAAATAAGGTAAGGTCCTTCAAAACACAGATAGAGGTACTCATACCTGAGACTTCAGCAAATAAAAACCACTTTTGGTCTCTTAGCAAGTGAGAGTCCTGATTCAATAATAATCTGATGGCAATACCAACGAAAGACTAGGTGCAGTGGTTCTCAACCGTGGCTGACTATTCATCTCATGTAGGGAGATCTTTCTTTCTTTCTTTCTTTCTTTTTTCTGAGAAGAAGTTTCGCTCCTGTTGCGCAGGCTGGAGTGCAATGGCGCCATCTCGGCTCACCGCAACCTCCGCCTCCCGCTTCCCGGGTTCAAATTATTCTCCTGCCTCAGTCTCCCGAGTAGCTGGGATTACACGCGTGTGCCACCGCGCCCGGCTAATTTTTTTTGTGTTTTTTTTTTTTTTTTAGTAGAGACGGGGTTTCTCCATGTTGGTCAGGCGGGTCTTGAACTGTGGGGAGATCTTAAAAACCCTCAGTATAAGCTGCTCCACAGATCAATGAAATCAGAATCTTTTTAAGTGAAATTCAGGTATTGGAATTTTTTAATTTTCCTAGGCTAAACCAAGGTGGGAGACCACTGGACTATAGGAAAGTAATCCAATCGCAAGCTTGCTGTTGTAATACAAAGGTGAAGTGAAAATGAAGTGAGTCACAGAAAACGAAACAAATTGGACATTTTGAAGGCAGAAATGTCGGTGTTTAATAATAGATTGAGGAGGAAGACAAAGAATGGATTAAAAGGTTCCCAAAGTTCTAGAATAAATTGTGGATTCCTGGAAAAATGGAATATTTACACGGGGGTTTTCAGGGAGGTCATTGAGGGTGGTGATTTATTTGATTTGATGGGAATGCACTCAGGTAGAGATTTTTTAGAGGCAGCCAGAAACTTTCATATTCAAAGTTATTCATTTATTTCCCCCATAGAATTTACAGTTAAATTTTTATATTTAACATATACTTTTTATATCTTAGCAGACACCAATGTTTTGTTAGATGCTTCAGTTTGTGGTATATTGAGTTGCTAACATTGCACATCTTCTGCGATGAACAAGTTTCAAACCTGGATACTTACTGCTATAAACTGAAATGAAAATGCATCTTCCTAATATATTAAATTAGTTATAGCTCTGCTGTGAGTCTGGCAGTCATTCAAAACTTGGCAACAGCAAAGGAGAACCAAGTGGCTTTTATAATGTATTTTTAAGTGAAAGTCATAAAAAAAACTCCATTTCATTAAGTGCTTAAAAAGAGCTTCTTGAAAACATATTCAGTTCGAGAAGCCCAGCTCCCAAGTGAGTCCTGTCACTCCACAGTAAGTGAGTTTATTTTCCACGGTGGCTGAGTTTGGTGCTATTGAGTTGTTTTCCTTGTCACCTTAGGCAAGCTTGATGGTTAATGGCATCACTAATAGGATATACAGTCAGTTATGGAGTTCTAAACTAGCTTGAATTAGCTATGACTAAAATCAATTACCACAGTCCACTGGTCCACAGAAATCAGGGGGTGCTCTCATTTCTCTTCCTAGTGAACATCTGTACTCAGTCCCAAGAGAAGAAAAATATTACCAGCAAAATTGATGCTAATTAGCACCCATGTTGGCAGTCAGAATAGAGACACGGAGAAGAAAATCTGTAAAATGAGTCTGGTTAAAGGCAATAAACATTGTGACACTAAAATTATCCAAGTATAATAAATGACTTTCCATTGATTTTCTGAAAACCCATATTCTTCACTTAATCAACACATTAAAGGAAAAATTTGTGATTGATGTGATATAGGTTGTGCATTTCATTATTTACCCAATGATGATTTTTTACTTCAAAATATTCATATCAGCTAACTTGTGCAATCACCAAATGTTACTGGCTTGCTGTATATATTTGGCATAATAAATAGTCCCTCTAGTACATTAGAACTGGCAAGCTTCAGTCAGTCGACAAGGACAGTAGATAATAATTCTACTAGTTGTGCCTTAAAAGTTGAGCTGTAGATATTAATTTCTTTATCCATATACTTTGAGCTTAATACAATTCAATAAGAACAATACATGTAGCTTTTCATTACTTACAACTTAATATGAATAAATTCTAGATCGTTCTCTGAGTGGAAGCTGAGGGGAAAAAGGTTGAAAGATTCTAAGAATTATAAAAGAAAAGGTTTAAAAATAGGAAAAGATTGCAGAAAAAAATTTCCATGCTTACTGAATAAACTCTCAGGTGAGTTTAATTAGCACTTTCATCTTATATTGTATGGCATCATCTTCCAGAAGGCAATATTACTTGTGGTAAAAACATCTTGTATTCCAACTAAATAAATACTGAGGTGGACAGCTTCATTGAAAACTGAATTTCTTTTGGAAAAGTCATACAATTTGCCTTCTGCAATTTATAACTGACATGCTAGAAAAGACTGATGTCTAAATTCAATCAAATATTTATACTATCATTTTTCTTTGAAGATGAATTTGTCAATGAAGTAATACTTGATTATGCAACTGGAGTCACAGCAAGCATTTCATGGGAATCATGATTGTGGAGTTGTCCTTTATTGACGTGCGTGTGCTTTCCTATAAAACAGTCTTATAAAGGATAAGAAGTTCGCTGAAATTAAGAAATGGTTTAAACTGGCTGATTAAACTCTCCTGGTAACTCCAAAACCACATATTCAAACATAATTAACTTTTAAACAGGAGACAATGTTTGACTCTCACTCGACCTATAGGACCCTGTTATTTTATTCTATCTGCAGGAATGAGCTCTGTGCCTTTCATAACATTCCTCACACTTACGCAGAAAAGCAAAGGAAAAACTGCTTACTGACAATATTACACCTGTAGCAGAAGAGCAAGATAATACTTTGCAATTTAGAGCACTTCGAAGTTTATAAGATGTTTCCACAAAAGTCTTGTGAAACTATAAAATTAGATATTATCATCTTGAAACCAAAGTTAAACAAATTCAAACATCTAACAAAGTTTGTGTTTTTGATTGTCCAAGATTTCTATTTTTTCATAAGTGTCCAAAGATGGACTATTAGAGTACAGTACATCATGTGTGCATTTAATGTAGGCATATTGGGTTTGGCTCTTGGTGAAAAAAAAAATACTAAGCATATGCAAAAAAAAGAAAGTTGTAATGATTTATACAATGCAGGTGATTCTGCCTGTTATTATATTTAATGGGCTATAGCCGAATATATATAAAAGGCAAGGCATAAATCTGCCCTTCCTTTAGTGAGTCTCAGTTCCCAGGTGGTTCTTATAACATGTGCATCTCACCACACTGACTTTAGTTCAAATAATAAAGGCACACATTTTTAAATACGATTGAGCTCTCAAATTTAAGCTGTTCTTGTGTCCACCTAAAGAAGCAGTTAATAATTAAAGTAAAAAATTCTTTGTATAGACTTGTTATATACTTCATATCCACCTCTAAAATGATACTGACTATAAATTGTTGGGTTTGTTTGTTCATTGGTTTTGACCTCAGATGAGGAGTTTAGAATGTAAACACCAGTAAGTCCAATTTCAAGGTGACTTTTTTATTTCTTGGCTTTCATCTTGGCTTTTAAAATATTTTTGGTTTGGTAATCTTGAAGCAGGTGATTTTATTTGTGCATCTCCACTACATGACCTAGAGTAGGTGCTACATTAACTACTGCTTAAAATAAATGTTAAGTGTTCACATATAGGATGGTGAGTAAGGTAGCTGAGTCATACTGGTGATAATAAAGGAAGAAAAAGGGGCAATGTCGGCACATAAAGAAATTGTGTGCTATTAATTCTGAGAGTTGTAGCAGAAAATCTCAGGTATGGAGAGATTTATATCCAAGGAAGACATTGAAGATGAAACTAATAAACTGAAGGTTAAAGACTGGCAATAAATAAACTAGGAAATACCAAGGTATTAGTAAAGCAAATATTACAACAACAGTAACAAAAAAAAAATCAGTAAAATAGGAAAGAGAGAATCAGGATTTTCAGATTGGAAAGGTATTTATCAATAGGGGATATAAATAAAGTTCTGAAGATATTTCTGTAAATATGAACAACATATTCCTCAGATAATTCAGTAGTAACACTTGAAACTGTAAATGATTAACTACTGTTGAATTGAAGGAAGTAGTTCTCCACAAAATAGGCAAGGTATTTATAGGATTCCGAAACTAAACTATTACTTTAGTATAAATAAGTTCTAGGTGGCTTTAGACTAATTAAATAACGGGAACCAGATCCTTAATGAGTTTCTGAAAGAAGCTATTTATAGAATGTGACTGTATTCTTTGAGAAATGGTTGGGAAGTAGAGACTGTGTAACCGCCTGGACTTGGATCTTGTCCCCATGCCTTGCAGACTTGAGCTTTAGGTAAATTACAGAACCCCTCTAAATACCAGTTTTCTCATATACGAATAAACATATTTATTTTTATTTGGTAAGGTTGCTGTGAAGATTCTAGGAAGCAAAATTAGAGAGCGCAGCCTAGGACTTGGTGCATCCTCAGTGTTCTAAAAGGACAGAAATGGAGACAGTGACGGCAGCACCAGGTCCCTAGCACAGTTTCCAAGCACATACCAAATTCTAATTGTTCCCATTCTTTTTCTAACATTTCTCCTTAATTAAGGGGATTTCTGCCATATGACACCAGTATTCCCCCTGCTCTACAAAAAATGTCTGTTGGAGAGCTTCTGCCTACATAAAGACTGTATATGTTGCAGTTCTTCCTTTAATTTTATTACCATTAATGTCAATTGTGTTCTTAATTCTGCCTGGAAATAATAGTAAATATCTCTTATCCAACTATTCTTCTACACGACTATTATACATCTCCTCTCTCAAACTTCAGCATTTATCCTTCATTTACACTCTCAGCTGGTGAACTTACTTCTTACTTGACTAAAGAATTGAAAGCAATGCAAAAAGAATGTCCACAGATTTCTACATTTACATTTGTTTACTTATTATCGTCTGTATCCATTAACTTAGGTATTTCTCATAGTAGTAATGAAGGAACTGTCTTTGCTCCAGTCCTAAGTGAATCCTTCCATTGGTGTACTTGCTCTGATCCACTCAGTTATCCCAAGGCCAATCCCCCAGGAATTACTCCTTCCCTTCAGCAACATCATTTCTTTCCTCTCCTTGGACTCAATCCTATTAGTGGATATACAGGTCATTTGTTTTCTATTAAAAATCTTAATTCTCATTTTTCTTCTAGTTATTTCTTCACATTTGTGCTCATGTTTACAGCAAAATTATTTTTGGAAGAGTTGCCTATACTTATGATCATAAATCTCTCTTATTCTAAACTCATTTAAACCTACTGTAGTTAGTTATCTGCCCCCTTTTTAAACAAGTCTTGTCAGTTTTACCAGTGACCTTCATGTTGATAAATACAAAGATATTTTTTGGTCCTCATCTTAACAGAAAACAGCGGCATATGACATACTGGTTAATCACTCTCCCTTCTCTTCTTCCCCTAAATTTTAGGTTATCTAATTGCCCTACAGATTGCTCCTTCTGTCTTCTCTTCTGGTTTTCCCACTCTGATCCACTGATGTTAGAGTGGTCCAGGGCTCTCTCTCCTGTCTTTCTCTCTCCTGTCTATTTTTTATTTTGATTTACACTCACTTGGTAATCTCATCCACTGTAATGCTACAAACCCTGCATATTTGTTCTCAAATGTTTCTCTCCAGGGTACACCACTCTCCTTCTGAAATCCAGACATATATCCATTCACCTACTCTATCTCCATTTGAATGTCTAGTAGACATCTCAAACTCAACATGGCCAAAACTGAACTAATTTTTTCCTCCAACCCTCAGTACTCTGCTTCTCCAAGAACTTTTAAAAATCACTGTAGATGAGAGTTACATCTTTCCAAATGTTCAGACCAATAGTTTTCCTGGGTTTCTCATTTCTCATTTATTAAGAGTTGAAGTTCCTATGTTTTAGAAGGCCCTATGTGGTCTGTCCTCTCTTATATCCTCTTCTGCCACTCTTTCTTACTGACTTTGCTCTTACCACACTGAACTCACTGCTATTTCTCAAATTTCTCACATAGAATTATTTTAATCTCTTCCTGCAATTTCTTTCCATACACCTTTCTCATCTCCTTCAAAATCTTTGCTCACATGTTACCGTCTACATGAGGCCTGCTTTGACCATTCTATTTGAAGTTTGCCACACTCTCCCCAAAGTGTCCCTACCCTCTCATTCAGTGCCATTTTCTTTTATGTTATAGAACCTATCTCTTTTAAACATACCATAGAATTTTCTTATTCATTACATTTATTGATTTTTGTCTCCTTCAATAAAACATATGCTTTATAAACAGGGATTTTTATCTCTTTTGTTCTCAAACACCTAGAAGAATGCTTGAAACATGATAGAAGATATACAATAAAATTTTGTACATACCATATAATTTTCTTATTCGTGACTTTTATTGATTTTTGTCTCCTTTAACAAAACATATGCTTTATAAGAAAGGGATTTTTGTCTTTTTTGTTTTCAAACTCCTAGAAGAATAATTGAACCATGGTAGGTGTACAATAAAATTTTGTCGAACAAATGAATGAATTACTGGATCAGGAAGACCGTTCTTAACATTGTTAAAAAGCAAATGGTTGAGCAGAAAACAATAATATGTTGACTATGAATGTAAACATTGAAGAGCTGAAGGTTGTTTTGAGATTTGTGGAGAGGAAACAGTATAAACTTCCATTTTATCAAACCATCTAACATTTGTAAAATGCAACTTTTGGAAACTGCATTTTTTTTTTTTTTTTTTGTGAGACAGAGTCTCTCTCTGTTGCCCAGGCTGGAGTGCAACAGCGTGATTTCAGCTCACTGCAACCTCCACCTCCCGGGTTCAAGCAGTTCTCCTGCTTCAGCCTCCTGAGTAGCTGGGATTACAGTCACATGCCAACATGCCTGGCTAATTTTTGTATTTTTAGTAGAGATGGGGTTTCACCATGTTGGTCAGGCTGGTCCCAAACTCCTGACCTCGTGATCCACCCACCTTGGCCTCCCAATGTACTGGGATTACAGGTGTGAGACACCGCACCTGGATGGAAACAGCAATTTTATTAACATGTTAATCTGACTTAAAATAACTTTTTATCATGTTTTAAATATGCCAAAATTATGTATTGCTGAATTCCCTTTTTTATCGTGGAACTTTGAAAACTTCATTTGGATTAAGACTTTTAGTTTTCAAAGCTTTAATGGTCTCAAAAGAACAGATTCTAATTTGTAATTCTATATACAAGTCTGAGGCTGGACATCAATATACTGGAAACTAGTCCTAGAAACATGTTAAATACTACTAGTCATAAAATTCAGATTCTATAACATTTATTTTAAATTTTGAAAATACTGCCCATATTTAACATCTTATTAAAGTATATGCTTAAGAGATATCTGTTAATTTATTTTTAAGATGAATAAACAGACAACTGAGATTCCAAATCCCACAATATTCTTTCAAGATAATAAAAAACTAAAAGCAGTGTAACTAAAGGTAAAAAGAGCCATGTTCTTGCATAAATAAAGCATGGAGATTGTCATTGGCAGGGGCAATTTTTGGGTTTCAGCTAGCAGTTTTAATACCCACTATTGAATAGAGAAGGGAAAAATAACTTACAGATTCTAGATTCTGACGTTTTATTTGCTTGTCAATTTTCTTTCTGCAACAGGGGTCACTGAATTATTTTTCCTAATAATTTTTATCATATCAAATGGGTGTGCTGATCCTTCCATTTACCATTGGCCCTTTTATCAGATACCCCAGATTCCTCTTTTATTCCTCTGCAAAATAAATAAATAAACCAATCATCATCTGCATGTTTGTGAATTGTCCCTTTTCAGGCTACATATTTTACTTTAATCTATTTCCATGTTCTTTTATTTTATATTCGCTTCTTCTTCAATTTTTCCCCCTTCTGATGTTTCCCTTCATGATTAGGGATTTTGAATACTTTAATATTCCTACGTTTTCTTTCTCTATTTGTTTTGCTCCATAAGAAACCAATGATTTTTACAGTTGCTAAACTGAGAAGAAAGTCCAGGTCACGCACAGCTTGGTTTCCTCCTTCTTCCTCTTGGCAAGCAAGAGTTTCCTTCTATTCCACAGGAGGCAGATTTTTTTCTGCCCTCATCCATGGTCATATTTGACTAAGTGACTGAATTTGCCTATGAACAATGGCATATGAAGACTGGGAAGCTAGGAGTGGTCTACCCAGAGACGAGAGGAATCTTATATAACTGACATTGTTTAGAATTGCTGATGAATGATTATCACAAGAAGCAGATCAATGTTTAGTCAATATTATTGTTTTTTTAAATCACTAAAGATGTTCCACTCCCTTATTACCACCACCTGAGTTGGGATGCTCTTCCTAGCTACACTTCATAATGAATAAAATCATTGCTCAGGGAAGCACACTTCCTTGCCTGCCCCAGGTGGTCATCCACAGAATACTTTTATTTAGACTGAGGAAACAGCATTGTGAGTGTGGAACTGAGTTATTTGTCTCATGTTGATATTATGTTATGAATAAATAGTTATTATGTATCTTCTATATACAAGGCATATAATTCTAATGGCAAAAGGAAATTTCAATAAATATTAAAAACTGTTAAATTTGTAAGAGTGAATTAGGATCATAATGCTTGGACATAACAGAACTCTGAGTGTTTTCTTGTTTGAGAGAAACCTTGGGTAGCATTTTGTAGGCTGCATATAAATTTTCATGAATTTATGGAGGAAAAATTAATCTTCGAGGCTTTTTAAAATAGAACATCCTTTAAATAATAAATATTCTCTCTATTGTTTTGGCTGTTTTATATTTTTCAGGATAAACTAATACAATTAATGATACTGTAAAAACCTATAGATTACATAGATTTACAAATGAGTGGAATGACATATGGATGAAAATAATTTGTTACATTTTTATGCAATATGAATAATTTTATTCAGGGTATACAACAGTTATAAGAGACTCTTTTATCTAAGAAATCACTTCTGATAACTTTAATAGATAAAAATAATGCTTTTGATATCAACTGATTGTTCTCTGCTACCCAGGTATCCCATAAGCATAAACTAATTAAATAATGATTTGCATTATAATATTATCATTATCTACCCTTTATTGAACATATGCTGTGTACTACGCACTTTGCTGAGAGCTTACAGTAGAACTCATCGGTTGGAAAAAACTATCCTCAGTCTTTCAATTTTGTTCTTGACTCTCTTACTAACTTTATGTTGCCGTATAGTTATGAGCTTATGCGTCTTTTTCTCACCATACTATAACCTCCTCATGTGGACGTTCAATTTGTAAATCACTGTTGCATCCATGTAGCTTGACAGATAATAAACAATCAACCAGTATATTATGTACCATAACCAACCTCTTGACTTCTAACACTTAATTGGAAATGAGATTGGGAGAGAGTTGGATGATCTATGGCATTTTCTGAAAACATCTAGAAATCTACTTGAGAAAATGTCTAGGTACCAGAGCAATGTAGAGAGACAGCTAGATATGAATTAATGACCCTATAATTATTGCAGTTACCTCTTGCACCACATTTTTACTCTCCCTCGAAGCACAAGGAAGATTTAGTGTGAAATCTGGTTGTTTGAAAGCTACTACTACTTGACAGCTAAATACATTATGTGGACCAGAGTATCACCTTATATAAGGTGAATCAATAAAGTTCAAATAAAGTCGTTGACAATGCCGATCCATCTACCAATTATATGGCATTGCGCTACACTTCCCTGACAGGCTTATGCTTTTATATCCTATTAAAGCATCGGAAATAACTCTAAGAGTACTTCCAAATAAACTACAAAACAAAGTACTCTAGATATATTGAGTGCTTTTTTACAGAGCATCAGTTTAATAGTCCATTTTCTACTTTTGACTATGAGAATATTGGTGACCCCACAAATCTGTAAGCATGTTTTGGCAGAGTTTTTAAACTTGTATATTTACTGTGGCATCTCTTGTTTTATTTTAATTCTTAATTTACTGGCCTTAAAAATTTACAAATAACCCTTTACACTTTGCATGCAAAAGAACACTGAGTAAAATGCAACTTTCAATTTTGTGCTTCATTTTTCTTTGGGAAACAAAAGGAGAAGGTGATTTTACTTGGCTAAGAAAATATCTCGAACCATTCTGAAAAATAAGATAAAAGTGAGTAAATTAAAAAAAAACTTTACATGTATAAAAATACATTTTATGTTTATGTATAATATTTCGTGAATGTCCAGATGTTTTTACAATTTTAAAAATAATTCTAGTATATTACAAATGTCTTGGAGTTACCCTAAAATTCAAGAGTAAGATAAATACTTTGATTATAGCTTGCCAACAAGGTATATGTCTTTGGAGAACTATCTAGCATTTCCTTGGAAGTGCTTAATCCAATCCCTGGTGGGTTGTCAGATGTCTGAAAGCAATAGGTGGCACCATCCTATACTTTGAATGTCTCGTGACACCAAATCATCAGCCTGCTGAATTCTCTGTTGGTTTTATTATTTTTAGATGCACTGCATATCTCTTCCAGTAATACAAATCACACTCCTACAGGTGCCAGGTTTTGAAAATCTGTGACCTGCCACACTAGACCTGTTATAGCAATTCCTAAAATAAAGAAAATACCTCACACTCTACTCCTCAAATATTCCAAATATTACAGTCCTGGAGTCATAGTTGGCTGCTGCGGCATGTCTGCCTTGGTTGACTTGCAGGTATAGAGGAAGTGCTTGCTATGCTATCTCACTCCAAGTATGAAAAGAAAAAATAACCCACCTGGTTTTCATCAAAGAGCCTTTGAATATTGTTCCTCCTGAGAAGGCTGCTAGCTACTGTGCTTTCATGCTTACCCTTTCTACTGAACCTGTCTCAAAAGCCTTTAAAATTCATTGATGATACGATGTGTTGCTCAGTCACTGTACTTTCTGTAGCAGGCATCCCAGCTTGAGACCAAGTTACACTCACCCTAAGATTTATGTGAGGGAACAAGGTGCCTCATGGGAAAGAACTTGTTCTAAGGATATTACGATACAGAGTTTTGTTTCAAGGATGGTAGGTCAACATCAGAGATAAAGGGCCATATATCTCCCTTGGTTAATTCCTCAACCCAGCTGACATGGCCATATACCTCAGTCCACAAGCAAGTTCATGAGAAATAAAAGACAAGTCTCAAATAAAAGCTGACTTTGTTCTTTCTGGTATTATCTACTCGAGAAATTATCTACTTGAGCACATGCACTTCAGGTATGTAATTGCCAGTAGCTTTTACAACACTGGGAAAGAAAACCATTGATTTTTGCAATAACAAAAGACAAACAATAATAGTCTCAATATTGAGCATTGGTAGCTCCACGGTGTTAATTAGAGAAAACAACCCTTTGGCAGAAACTTTGGGGATTGATGTTTTTGCAATCACCATGGGCAGCAGGAGTATAGCTTTTGATGAGGTCCAATAAGGGGACCTTGTCTCCTTTGGTAAGCTCTAGCAAGGTTAGTGGCCCCATCGATGGACATCAGGGCATGACTTCTACTTTTGTCATTGAAAGTAACAAGCAACAGCAGTATCACAGTGGACTGCAGTTAGGAGGGACAGGTTAAAAAAGATTCCTTAAAGTGGTTACAAGAAGGAATGGCCCATGAAATACATGTGCAACACACCCCTGGAAGTTTAGAAAATTACTCGGTATGAAATTAAAGATATCTTATTTTTTATAGTATGTCAAGGAGAAATACAATGAATGTTTCAATGATCTTCCTTTTATTCTCACTCTTGTACTGAGAAGGACAGAATATGTGAATAACATTTATATGGTTATTTAAGACAATTTATTTTATTTTAATTAATTAATTTATTTTTTGAGACAGAGTCTCACTCTGTCACCTAGGCTGGAGTGCAGTGGAAGGATCTCGGCTCATAGCAACCTCCACCTCCCAGGTTGAAGCGATTCTCCTACCTCAGTCTCATGAGTAGCTGGGATTACAGCCGCCGCCACCACGTCCATATAGTTTTTGTATTTTTAGTGGAGACAAGGTTTTGCCATGTTGCCCAGACTGGTCTTGAACTCCTGACCTCAGGTGATCCGCCCACCTTGGTCTCCCAAAGTGCTGGGATTACAGGAGTGAGCCACCATGCTTGGCCAAATTAAAATAATTTAAAGTAAAAATTAAGTGAGGGGCATAGTTATAGAATCCTTAGGAGTATGAATTGTGTTTAGAATACGGGATTGGGATGTGTCCTCAAATAGAAAAAAAAAGTTAAAATACCCTCAGAGGTCCTTGATACTCATTCAGTTAGATAAAAATAGATGTATTTAGTGTTATGAACTGGGCATGGTCACAACAGGGAACAATAAAAACATTTATATTATCAGCAAGTTTACAGTCTAAAGGATGAGAAAGATGAAAGAGATAAATAACTTAGAATATAAATTCAAGATTGTGTAGTGGTAAATATTATGAAAAATAATAAGGATAACATACCAAAAAGTAGCAAGTAATGCTATGTTGGATATGGTACCAGGGAAGGCCTGTGTGAGCAAGGGATCTTGATAAAAATTAGTGTATGTGATGTAATAAGTCTCGTTCTTCATAAAGACTGTAATTTTGCTGTATTTTATGTGTCTCTTCTTAATTTCCAAGGCATATTAAATTTTGAAAATCATTTGTGTACTGTTTCACAATGAAACACAAAACTATTGTATCATTTTCCTCTTCAACATATGTAGTCATTTCCCTCAGTTATTTGGATGAATGGGTATTATTCTTTAAAATAAAGGTCTACATTCTTCAAAACTATGCTTATATACTCTGTCTTCATCTCATTTTATGATCTTATGTTTTATAATTATTTATCTACTCAGTAAAGACAAAATCTACACTGATTCTATCTAGATATATATTTCTACAAATACACTCATAGTCTATAAAGTAGTTATGGAAACAAAGATGTACTGTTTTAGATACAAATAAGGGATATACATAGGCATATCACACATACACATAGAGACCAATTGTTATATATTTTCTATTAAGATATTTGACCTCAGGTGTGGTCTGATATTACAGAAATATATCTTATGCTTGGAGACCTCTCAATCTATAGTTTCACCTCTAGAGAGATCAACAAGGGTTGTCTCTGAGTAGATGTGCTGATCATGCTGTCATTTCAAGTCCATGTGGTTTTTTTGTGATTAGCATCAAAGGAAAGTGAGTCGGCTTTACTTAGAGTCCTTTGTATTGTAGATCTGCAGTCACAGATTTTAAAGTTTTTTAAAGACAGCATCATCCTTTAATATTTTTTCACTATAATAAAATCAGAGTATGTTATTTAATTAAGTATTCATACTTTTAAAAAATAAGTATTTAAAGTGATCAAAATGCATGCAGAGTAATTGGTATATATGTTAAAGAAGCAAATGAAATGGTGATATTGTTCCAGTTCTTTAGAAGAGTGACATTTGTTTGTGGATAAGAGTCATACAACAAGGTAAATCACGACAATAGAAGTACTAAATTAAAGTTCAAGAACAATGATGTACAAGACAGAACAAGATGGAACAAGTGATAAGGGAATATCACTGGTATGTACTGTGCCTACCATATCACAGGTGTAACTTTGAAAGTTTGGTGAAGAAGTGAGAACTTGATCTACAATCTTAACAGAGTTTATTGTGGGAGAAATGGAAAGCCATGTATGGGTGTTAATCAGAGGAAATCAGACAATAGAAATGTTGTAGAAAGTAATATTATGCAGTAGCATGGAGAACAGATTGGAAGAGGGAGAGATTCTCTGATAAACCTTATATTTAAGCATTATATTTAGATAGAAATTAATTTGGTGAGCAATTGTACTTTTAGGTTTAACCCAACAGAAATTGGTATTTATAATAATACACTTATTTCCTAACAACACTATTATATTACTGTAATTCTTTTCAGTTATTTTATTTCCCAAGAGAATTCTTAATTGCATAAATTAAATACATTAATTAATTCCTTTCAGAAATGAGGAGAGTGCTTCAAAAATTAGATATATGATGCTAATGGAGAATAAAAGCAAATGTACAGAAGTCCACAGGGAAGGCAAATAGTCAGATAATGGAGTGAGGACAAGGTTGGCAATCTTAGCAAAAATGAAACAACAGATGGGGCATAATTTTTGTGAGTTCTCACACAGATGGTTCACCAGATGGATTCTGCCGGGTTCATACAGCTTATGTGTATTTTTCAGCTGCTTATCATGATAGGCAAGGCCACTTCTGTGCAGGCAAAATCTTTCCTTGGTTTAGGTTGTTGAAATATAACACTGCAATAAATTGGTAGTTGGTGACATAATACCAAGTATTTTTATTAACTGCTATTTATACCTAGAGGCATGCATATAAGGTTATGTTGAAGATACTAGATTTCAGAAAGAATTTATAGGTCGTAATTTAGAAAATATTGTACTTCAGGAACTTCAGGTAGGTTAGAAGATTTAGAGACTTTAATTTTAATTTCAACTATTAACTGAGTGTATCATCTTTTGAAATTTTATTTTTAAAAATAACTTTCACTTAACACAGCAAGATGTAGGATTTAATAAGGTTATAACTAAAAATGATTTAAATAAATTAGGAAAATGCCTCTGTAAATTTTATCTAACCTATAATTGGCATTCAACATAAAATATTGTATTTTAGTTGACATTTATACTAGTAAATACCCAGTAAATACTAGCCTACTAAGTGATAAAGCCATTATCTTTAGCACACTGCTATCATAAGTGTATATGCTTGTGTATACTAATTTTGAAATAAATATTCAGCATCCTTCAGAACTGTTTTCATTGATTAATGGAACTCCTGAGAAGGAATATCCTTTAGATATAAGGGAAAATCAGCAACAAAACATTTAAACATTATATGTTGTCAATTAATAACCCTTCATTAAGGTATAGTTATACAAATCTGTGGCGCAAACAAAGGCTCTACTTTATTTGGAGGCTGACCTTTTTGCTGTTACAAGATGAAATTTTAATTTATGGGAATTTAAATTCTGGCAGGAGGGATTTACCCTATTGATGCTATCCTAAGGTATTGATTTGTAACATCAAAGGAATCTGATCTGTCTTGAAACACTAAAGAGGGCTGGAAACTAGTAACTTGGGGATATTTCAGATAGAGTTCTCATTCTCTTTAAAGACATATCTATCAACAGCAGGGTGCTTACATAAAACCTATAGAGAGTTGTATTATTTCCTAAATATATTTATATAGATTATTTCATTTGAATCTTTCAATGGTCATTTGAGGTCAGCATGGCAAACGTAATCATCTCAATTTTACAAATGAGGAAATAGAGACTTGAAAACTCTGAATAACTAACTACCTTTTTTGCACACTTAAACAGAAGAGTCCAGACTCTGGCTTACTATAATACTATCAGTAGAGGCTCTCTGAATACCTACTATGTCCTGCAGAAATATAAGTGTGCTACTCAGCTGAGTCTTGACATGAAGTACATAATGATAATAATCCTAGAGATTGTGTCTACACATAAATTAATCAAAACATGTTTAAGATTTTATTTATTCATCCAATGATTAGTTTTGTGACTTAAATTATATACTAGAATATTTTTTTCTTACATTGAGATTTGAGGCTTCGCAGGACAGGGATAAGGCACTTACTATCAAGAAATATTTATATACAAGGTATATATTGCAGCATAATATAATCAGAGTTAGTGGCTAGGTGCTTTGAAAGCAAAACAAAACAAAAATAGTATCTAACCCTGTCAAAGGGAGTTAGAGTGTAGGAAAGCTAAAGTGACATCTCTGGTAATTCTGAAGAAGTTGAAACAATGTAGTCAGAAGGGAGACAACCCTTCCTGGGAGAAAGTAGCCCATGTAAAGTCAAAAGTAGCTCATGTAAAGTCAATGCATGTGAAAGTACTGATACGGTTTGGCTGTGTGTCCCAACCACATCTCACCATGAATTGTAATAATCACCATCTGTCATGGGAGGGACCTAGTGGGACAATTGAATCATGCGGGTGGGTTTTTCCCATGTTGTTCTCATGACAGTAAATAAATGTCATGAGATCTGATGGTTTTATAAAGGGGAGTTCCCCTGCACAAGCTCTCTTGCTTGCTGCCATGTAAGACGTGCTTTTGCTCCTCCTATACTTTTCCTCCGTGTTTGTGAGGTCTCCTCAGAAATGTGAAACTCTGAGCCTATTAAACCTCTTTGTCTTTATAAATTAGCCAGTCTTGGGTATGTCTTTATTAGCAGTGTGAGACTTGGGAGATTTGAAAAGAGGTAAACCTGGTAAAGTTTGGTCATTTAAATGATAATTTAAGACTACTTCCAGAGGATAGATTTGGACTTTCTGCAAAAATACAATGTAAGGAAATAATAAAAACTAGGGTAAAAGAAGTAAGAGTGAAAAATACCAATAGAAATACTGAGATGTTGGGATTGCAAGGATTTAATAATTGATTGCAATTGGAAAGGCAAAAATGAAGGGTTAAAAAAAGATACCCTGGACTCTTATATTTCTAACTTGAACCATTGGAAGGATAATGGTATATTTAGTTGCAATAAATAGAGAAGAATGACTGAATTTGATTGTTGGTTATGTATTAAGATGAAGAGGGGGATAGAAATGCAGTAAGATAGAGATTTAATGTTGTTTCTAACAGGTTAAGTTAGAATTTGCTGAGGAATATCCCAGCAGAGATATTTAGAAGGTGTTTAGTTATGCTGGTATAGTGGTTTAGGTACAGATTTATTAGAAAGCACCATAATTCAGATATTCAGGTGTTCAAGACTTGGTCTTGAATAGCATTCCCCAGGAAGAAGTATACAAAGTAAGAATTAAAGACAATGAAAGTAAGATGCAAGAAAAGAATGAGAAGTCTCTAAAGTAGTTATGTTTCCAGCTATTATATGTTCCTTTATGTAATTATTTTTTCTTCTTCTTTGCCGTAAGGAACAAAGGGTGTGAATTCCAAGTTTATCTTTTTATAGTTTCTTTATCCTTGTATGTTTAGTGCCTATAAAAGGGTCTGAAACATGGAAATTAGTAAACATCATTTTATTGCATGAAAGAATGAATGGCATTTCAACAACATTCAGGAAAGTCTGTAGAGGGAGAAAAAAAGAAGATTAAAGACATTGCAAAGACTGGGGAATAATAAACTAAAATATATTCTCAGCCACCTTATCAAATTATAACCTTAAAAAATATGAACAATTGAATTGACACATTCTGGTTAATATCTGTTTATCCCCTCTGGAAACTAAAATTTTATACTTTTGTAAGAACAGAATAGAAAAAATATATAAAAACATAAATCTAGCTAGAAAAAAATGATTCATTCATCATTCAGTAATCTTAATTTTCTGAATAAACATTTATATACCTAATATCAAATTTAAACCACAACTCAAGCACAGATTTCGTGGCTTGTTCAACATGCTGGCTGTGTAAAAAATTTATCTGTATCACAAAAATTGAATCATTAAGTAAATAGAAATATATTAAAGGCAGCAGTTCTACAATATTTTCTTCTATGTACGTGTAGGTGCTGTTTCCATTTTCTTATGCTGTAAATGAGCAATCGCTGTATAATCAATCCATTTGACTTTAAGGTATTTATATTTCTGAATAACATTATTTTGGTCATATCAACCAGAGTTTTCATTACATTGATATAACCTAAATCATAAATCCATCTGCCATTGTGACAAAAGTTTTCACTCTGAAATAAGTTTACAAATGTTTTTATCAACTAAAAACGTAGCATTGAGGGTATTATCACAAGTTTCTCTATTTTATTTCTTGCAAATACCATGCCTTAATGTAAAAGTTGCATGTATGTAAATATGTATTTATATATTCTGTGTAATAAACAGACTGCTTGAATTATGCACCAATACTTGCTGTCTTGAATTTGTTTACAAAGAAAATTATCCTTCTAGACTGTAATCTCTTTAGGAAAAAAATATTTTAGTCTGCACTTCACTGTGACTCTTACCCAATGCTATCTGTATACTGCTTGCTGCCAAAGAGTTTTCTTTTTATAAATGTAATTCAGAGTTTTTGACTTCCCTACTTGAAACTTCACTGGTTCTATAAATGACTAAAGGATAAACCTAAACTCCTTAGTGTATCCTATAAGTTTCTCCGTAATTGGGCTCCTGCCTAAGCTCTGGATTTATCTCTTGTTTTCTCCCTGGCTGTTTCTTGCCTCAGTGCTTTTGATCATGTTGATCCCATGGCTTGCAATGTTCTCTCATCAGTCCATACTCCCCTTTCTCCTGCAGGTCTGCTTGCTTTAAAAATTAATCTCATGTCTTTTCCTAAGGAAAGTGCATTCTGTCTTGCCTCATCCATGTGAAAACAACTTCAGGGTCTGAGTTTTTGCCCTCACCATACTGGATTCAAATCTTTACCCCACTACCCTTCATGCTTGGTATTTCATATTCTCCCCCACTGCTTTCATCCTTGTCTATACCTATATGTATATCTGTAACTATACCTGTATCTATATATCAATCTATATCTTAGGTGGTCATTTACAACCTAGAACTGGGTTTTATTATCTCAGAAACTAATGGCATATTTGGTTCATGACATGGATTTAATAAATATTTCTACTTAAATGAAATATTTAAGTAGAATATTTAAGTATTTAAGAATACTTAATGAAATATTAATGAATATAAACACTATCATGTCAATGTGAAAAGAACAGAAGAGAGTAATAGGCAGGCAGATATCAAATCAGTAGCATTTAGAAAATAAACAAAGGGCACTGGGGTCAGGACATCTTGTTAGTTCTAACTTTGAAATATATTTGAAATCTGACTACTTTTGAGCATTCACCTCCACAGTTATAGCCTTAGTCAGAGCTACAATCCTCTGTTGCTTGCTTCTTGCAAAAGTCTCCAAACTGGCTTCCCCAACTATGACTCTTGACTCTCACATTCTACTTTAACATAATAGCCCCCCCAAAAATTTAAATGTAAATCAGATAATTTTATTCATTTGTCCTGCTCTGGTTTGAATGTGGCACCCCAAATTCATGTGTTGGTAATGTAATCCCTAATGCAACCGTGTGGGGAAGTGAGGCCTTTTTGGAAGCTGTTTAAGTCATCAGGACTCCACCCTCAGGAAGGAGTTAATGCTGACATAATTAATGCTGATATAAAAAGGGATTAGAGAGTGGGTTCTCTCTCCTTTGCTTTTCTGCCACGGGAGGACACAAGAGTTCCTCCCCTCTGGAAAATACAGCATTCAAAGTGCCATCTTGGAAGCAAGACTGGACGTTTACTAGACAACAAACCTGCAGATGCCTGAATCTAGGACTATGCATCCTCCAGAATTGTAAGAAATGCATTTCTGTTTTTTATAAATTATCCAGTTTCAGGTATTTTGTTACAGCAGCACAAACTGATTTGTGTAGACATGCTGTAACATCTTGCCCTACTCATCCTGAGTAAACACTGAAATCATTGCTCACAAAGTCTTTTATAATCTGAAATAATACCTTTCAGCTCTCTCTCTCATTAACTTTGCTCCAGCCACACTGGCATTCTTGTTGCTTCTGCATCTTGCTAGGCACATTTATTTTTATAAAGGCCTTTTAATCTAAGGATTTCGTTACCATAATATGCTTTTTTGTCAAGTGTCTGCTTGAAAAAACTCATACCCTCTTCAAATCTTTGCTCACACTTCAGCTTTTTAATTCAGTCTTGTCTTTATTTCGGTGGCTGTAACACAAATACCATAGATTAGATTGATTAAAAATGAGCATTTACTTATCACTGTTCTGGAGGCTGGGGAGTCTCAGATCAAGGTATCCACAGATTCCTTCTCTGGTGAGGGCCTGATTCCTGGTTCACAGATGGATGTCTTCTCACTGTGTCCTCACATGGCAGAAGGGGCCAGAGAGCTCCCTTGGGTCATTTTAAAAATTAAGGTACTAATCCTATTCCTGTCAGATCCAGAATATAACCTAATCATCTCTTAAAAGCCTACTCCTAATACCTTCAACTTGGGGCTTAAAATTTCAATATATAAACTTTGGGGGAACACAACATTCAGTCACTAAAAAGCCATTTTGATGAACTTTTTTAATGATGTGATATCCCACTCATCCTTACCCTACCTCCCAGGCTACCTCTACTTCCCCATGCATTGGTGACTATGAAAATGTACTGCTCATATATCCTGCAGATTACCATGTTAATTGACTAACGGTTCATTTATTTCGCTTCTGGATCAACTCCTAAAAATACCTCCATCCTCTTGTTTTCTATGTGATATTGTTTGGCTCTATTCCCCCATCAAAATCTCATCTGTAGCTCCCATAATTTCCATGTGTTGAGGGAGAAACCCATTAGGAGATGATGGAATCATGGGAGCAGGCCTTTCCTGTGCTGCTCTCATGATAGCAAATGGGTTTCACAATATTTGATGGTTTTAAAAAACATCTGCACAAGCTCTCACTTTGTCTGCCAACATTCATGTAAGATTTAACTTGCACCCTTGCCTTCCACCATGATTGTGAGGCCTCCCCAGCCACGTGGAACTGTGAGTCCAGTTAAAAGATCTTTCTTTTGTAAATTGCCCAGTCTTGGGTTTGTCTTCATCAGCAGCATGAAAACAGACGATTACAGTAATTTGGTACCAGTAGAGTAGGGCACTTCTGAAAAGATACATGAAAATGTGGAAGTGACTTTGGAACTGAGTAACAGGCAGAGGTTGGAACAGTTTGAAAGGCCCAGAAAAAGACAGGAAAATGTGGGAAAGTTTGAAACTTCCTAGAGACTTGTTGAATGGCTTTGCCAAAAATCCTGATAGTGATATGGACAATAAAGTCCAGTCTGAGGGGGTCTCAGGTAGAAATGAGGAACTCACTGGGAACTGGATCAAAGGTGACTCTTGTTATGTTTTCGCAAAGAGACTGGCAGCATTTTTCTTCTGCCCTAGAGATTTGTGGAACTTTGAATTTGAGAGAAATGATTGAGAGTACCTGCTGGAAGAAATTTCTAAGCAGCAAAACATTCAAGAGGTAACTTGGGTGCTGTTAAAAGCATTTTGTTTTAAAAGGGAAACAGAGCATAAAAGTTCAGAAAATTTGCAGCCTGATGATGCAGTAGAAAACAAACAAACAAACAAAAAACACTTTCTGAGTAGAAATTTAAGCAGGCTGCAGAAATTTGCATAAGTAACAATGAGCTGAATGTTAATCCCCAAGACAATGGAGAAAATGTCTCCAGAGAATGGCAGAGATCTTTGTGGCAGCTACTCCCATCACAGGTCTGGAGGCCTAGGAGGAAAAAGTGGTTTCATGGGCCAGGCCCAGGTTCTCTGTGATGTGTGCAGCCTAAAGACTTGGTGCCCTGTGTTCTACCTACTCCAGCCATGGCTGAATGGGGCCAATGTAGAGCTCAGGCTGTGGCTTCAGAGGGTGCAAGCCTCAATCCTTAGCAGCTTCCATGTGGTATTGAGCCCAAGAGTGCAAAGAAGTCAAGAATTGACGTTTGGGAACCCCTGCCCAGATTTCAGAAGATTTGTAGAAATGCCTGTGTGCCCAGGCAGAAGTTTGCTCTAGGGGTGGGGGCCTCATGGAGAACCTCTGCTATGTCAGTACAGAAGGGAAATGCAGGGTCAGAACCCCCACACAGAGTCCCTACTGGGGCACTGCCTAGTGGAGCTGTGAGAAGAGGGCCACCATCCTCCAGAACCTGGAATGGTAGATCCACTGACAGCTTGCACCATGTGCCTGGAAAAACTGCTGACACTCAATGCCAGCCTGTGAAGCAGCTGGGAAGGAGGCTGTACACTGCAGAGACACAGGGATAGATCTGTTCTAGACTTTGGGAACCCAGCTCTTGCATCAGTGTTATCTGGATGTGAGACATGGAGTCAAAAGAGATCATTTTGGAGGTTTCAGATTTGACTGTCCTGCTGGAATTCGGACTTGTATGGGGCCTGTATCCCCTTTGTTTTGGCCAATTTCTCCCGCATGGAATGGCTGTACTTAACCAATGCCTATGTGTCCATTGTACCTAGGAAGTAACTAACTTGCTTTTGATTTTACAGGCTCATGGATGGAAGAGACTTGCCTTGTCATGGAAGAGACATTGGACTGTGGACTTTTGAGTTAATGCTGAAATGAGTTGAGACTTTGGGGGAACTGTTGGGAAGGCATGATTCGTTTTCAAATGTGCAGATAGGAGATTTTCAAGGGGCCAGGGGCAGAATGATATGGTTTGGCTCTTTATCCCTATCCAAACCTCATCTTGTAGCTCCCATAATTCCCATGTATTGTGGGAGGGACATAGTGGGAGATGATTAAATCATGGGAACAGGTCTTTCCTGTTCTGCTCTGGTAATAGTGAATGGGTCTAACAAGATCTGATGGTTTTTAAAACAGGAGTTTCTCTGCACAAGCTTTCTCTTTTCCTGTTACCATCCATGTAAGAGGCAAGTTGCTTCTCTTTGCCTTCCACCATGATTTTGAGGCCTCCTCAGGCATGTGGAACTGTAAGTCCATTAAACCTCTTTTTCTGTATAAATTACCCTTTATACAGCAGCATGAGAACAGACTAATAGATATCTTTATCAGCAGCATGAGAACAGACTAATAGAATGTGTTTCCCATAAACTGCACCAAGCCATTGGGTAAGCATAATTGGGGGTTTAATGGAGTCCCATTCCTCCAATGCATAGGGCTCCTTTAATGGGAGATTTTGCCTCAAAGATTTTCCATCAGACTATCCAAACATTTCTTAGAACTATGTGGCAGTCAAGACTCTTCCTACCCAATTCTCCTTCCTCCCCCTTTTCCTTTGCTAGAGTCATAACTTCATCACATTTTGAAGGCTCTTCCTGCTTTCTCTAGCTTCCTTCTCATTCTCCTTCTTAGAATATATCTCCAATAAATTTCTTGCACCTGTATTCCTGACTTGGCATCTGCTTCTTGGAGGACCCCAACACATATCTTGCTATACTTTTTCTTTTCCCTATGGCACTAATTTGTGCCCAGGTATTAATTTATAAAGGTGACTGAGGGAAGACATGGAGTGATCATTACCATTGAAAAAATGATTTTTATTACATACAGTTCCCCAGATGTGGGAGTAAGCTACACCATGCATGTTACAGGATGAAATACAAGGCTCAGTCAGGAGGCAAGAGGAGTCAGTGAAAAGCTTGGCCAAGAGCTTTATTGTGTTTTCAGCAAAAAAGGTAAAGCAGAGCAGGAGAAACAGCTTAGGATTAGCTAGTTTGAATAATGTCAGCGGGCTCTGGGATATGGGGTGATCAATAGTCATCTGGTACCTGGCACAGAATGATTTAGGGTGAGGGAAATATTGGCTTAGTGGGTGAAAGTTATATAAATGTTTATGGATATAGACTTTTGGGATTGTTGGAGGTTTTGTAATATGATTTTTGTGTTCCCAAAAAGGCTGAATCACAGGGGAGATGAAAACAACTTTGAGTGTTATTTTGGCCCCATGATTAATGGATGCCAAACAGACAAATACAGAATCTTTAAAAACACAGGACAAGTACACGCTACATTTTATCCTAGGTTGGCAAGCTACAGTCCATGGGTCAAATCCAGCTGTTCATCTGTTTTGCAAATGAGGTTTCACTGGAACACAGCCATGCTAATCTGTTCATGTATTGTCTATGGCTACTTTCACTACAATGGCAGAGTTCAGTACCTTCAACAGAGACTTAATGGCCTAAAGAGCCTAAAATATTTCTTATCTGTCACTCAGCAAAAATTGCTAACACCTGTCCTAGCCTACCGTATCATTTAATATATTTAATATTTTAAATGATATTTATAATTTATAAATATTGATAAAAAATATTAATACATTTAATGTTCATTGTTTGTTGTCTGATTTTCCCCAATTGAATGTAAGCTGTGCTGCTGTATGACAGATATATTGTTTTGTTTTTTTCACTAATACATGTCAGAAATCCATATTGGTACTTGGCACTTAATAGGAATGGAATCAATATTTACTGGTGAATAAATGAAATTAAAAAAACTAAATCTGAACTCTTTATATAGAAATTATGTTCTGTGAACAAGTCTCCTAGCCATTACAAATATCAGTTTTCTCATATAATAATAGGGCTTTGCACATACAGTTAGTTTAGGAAACGAATGATATGGAAAAAGAAAAAAGGTAATGCATTCATGTATATGGTGAGCATTGAATAAATGTCAGATATTTATTACATAAGAGAAAGTACTAAGTTTCATTTTTCTGTCTAGTGGTAAAAATCTCAGCTTACTAAGTGTTAATCCATGTGTGTACACTAGTGACTTGTTTTAAAAAAATGTATAGGTTTTATCTAAAGCAGGGTTAATATTTTTTATCTTTCCCACTGGGTATTGAAAAGACAGATGAGATTATATTTATAAGAGTACAAAATGTTGAAGGATAAAAAATGCAATATGAATTTAGATCATTTTTATTCTTTTAAATTCAAATAAAAATCAAGTAAGAAGATAACAATCTCCTTGTGTTTTACTGTTCATATGTAAGGTGTTATAAGAATAATTGGATTTGGCATATTTGGTGAAGCAGTTGAGCCATTTATAAGCTTTACAATGATATTTGAATTTTTTTTTAAAGTCGTAGAAGCTAGGCTTCTATTTATATTTCTGGGAGTTTCAATCTCCATTAGCAGATATATCAGATCTTCTATAGATAAAACAACTCAGTTTAAGCAGATTTGGGAAAAGGGCATTTTTTTTCCCACAATACCCACAAAAGTCTTAGGAAGCTAAAATTGTGTATCTGGTGTTTGTGTTCGGATTAGTACAATTTCTTTCTCTTCTTGTTCATTTCTACTTCTTGTCACTACATTTTGCATCTCTTGCACTTCAGCCATCCTTCTGATACTGTATTTGTCAAATTCATGAATTAGATTCTGGACCCCATGTTGAATGATAATTCTCAATTCCTACTTTACTTCATCTCTCAGAAGCATGTAAAATGGATAATCATTACCAATTTTTTATTTTTTATTTTTGAGATGGAGTCTCTCTCGTCACCCAGTCTGTAGTGCAATGGCACTATCAGCTCACTGCAACCTCTGCCTCCCGTGTTCAAGAGATTTTCCTGCCTCAGACTGCAGAGTAGCTGGGATTACAGGCACCTGCCACCACACCTGGCTAATTTTTGTATTTTTAGTAGAGAAGGGGTTGCACAACATTGGCCAGGCTGGTCTTGAACTCCTGATCTCATGATTCACCTGCCTTGGCCTCCCAAAATGCTGGGATTACAGGCATGAGACACTGCCCCTGGCCTACCATTTTTACCTTCACATTTGAAATCATACCCTCTCTGTTTTAGTCTTATTTCCCTGGATACTGATTCTCTTTCTTCCTAAGTGCTGTCCTCTCTCTGCCCACCTCACAGGGTCCAGCACACCCTCTTTCTTCTTGTTTTAAACCCTCTCCTTTTGGTGTGTTCCTGTGACTTTAGTCAACATTCATGTTCTGATGACTTTCAAAATCTCTTGTTCCATTTGAGATCTATTTTCTGAGCTCCAAGCACTTATTTAAACATTCATGTAGAAAAAGATGAGCATTTGCACCTGAAACTCAACCTTTCTAAATTGAGATAAGGTTTTCACTCAAGGAAATTTCTTAATATTCCTATATTTTTGTCTTAGTAAATGAGATGATTTACCTCTCATTTTTAAGGCAAGCAATTTGGAAGTCATCTTAGATAACTCTTTCTTACTATATAAAATGTACACTTTTAAAATAAATGAATAAAAGAATAAAATGAACACTTTTTAAAGCTGTCTACTTCTCTCCCTCTCCATTGCTACTTTTCTACTCCATACATCATTGTCTTTTTCATGGATTATTAAAATACTCTTTGTTATCACAGAAGCCAGGCTAATTCTCTTTCATGTACAGAGATGTAGAATAATTTGTGGCAGACATCTGGTAAATATTCTAATCATTCACCCTTAAAATATCTCTGTTTGTGTTATCTAACAAATCCCCATATATTATTATTCTGCTTTAGATTTGATTTAGGTTTTTATTTATATATAGCTTAAATTTAGTTTGTTTTTTAGAATTAGAATATATTTTATTAGATATTAACTCTAATTAAGATTTAGATTACATGTAGTGTCAGATATAGATTTCATATTGCTTTTTCTAATTACTGCTAATAGGAAGGTTGAAAATCTTCTTAAATATTTATTTGTTTGTGTATCTACTTCTGATAAATGCCTGTTTAAATTCTTTCTCCAAGTATCTATTGCCAAGGTTCTCAAAATTTTGGTCTCAAGATCCTTAACACTTAAATAAATTTTGAGAATTCTGAAGCACTTTTGTTTATGCTAGTACTATATACCAATATATATGCCAAATAAGATATTTTAAAAAGAAAATATTTAAATTCATTTAAGAGTACAAGAATATTTTCATAAAAATATTTTTTAAATATAAAATGAATGAGAAGAGTGGCATTGCTTTACATTTTTGAAAATCACTATAAGTTTGACAATGGAATACAGCTAGAAAAATTTTATATTTGCTTCCATATTTAGTCTGTTGCTATATTAGTTTATTTTCACACTGCTAATAAGACATAACTGAGACTGGGCAATTTACAAAAAAAAAGAGGTTTAATTGGACTCACAATTCCACATGGCTGGGGAGGCCTCACAATTATGGCAGAAAGCAAAGAGGAGCAAGTCACATCTTACATGGATGGCAGCAGGAAAAATAGAGAGCTTGTGCAGGGCAATTCCCATTTTTAAAACCATCAGGTCTTGTGAGGCCCATTCACTATCAGGAGAACATCATGGGAAAGACCAGCTCCCATTATTCAATCATCTCCCATCAGGTCCTTCCCACAACATGTGGGAATTATGGGAGCTACAAGATGAGATTTGGGTGGGGACACAGCCAAACCATATTATTACACCTCTGGCCCCTCCCAAATCTCATATCGTCATGCTTCAAAACCAACTGTGCCTTCTCAACAGTCCCCCAAAGTCTCAACTCATTTCAGCATTAATTCAAAAGTCCATAGTCCAAAGTCTCATCCAAGACAAGGCAAATCTCTTACACCTATGAGCCTGTAAAATCAAAAGCAAGTTAGTTACATCCTAGATACAATGGGGGTACAGGCATTTGGTAAATACTGCCATTCCACATGGGAGAAATTGGCCAAAACAAAGGGGCTACGGCTCCCATGCAAGTCCAAAATCCAGCAGGGCAGTCAAATCTGAAAGCTCCAAAATGATCTCTTTTGACTCCATGTCTCGCATCAAGGTAATGCTGATGCAAGAATTGGGTTCCCAAAGTCTAGAACAGCTCCACCCCTATGGCTCTGCACTGTACAGCCTCCCTCCCAGCTGCTTTCATGGGGTAGTGTTGAGTTTCTGCAGCTTTTCCAGGCATGTGGTGCAAGCTGTCAGTGGATCTCCTTTTCTAGGCTCTGGAGGATGGTGGTCCTCTTCTCACAGCTCCACTAGGCAGTGCCCCAGTATGGACTCTGTGTGAGGGCCCCAATTCTACATTTTCCTTCTGTACTGCCATAGCAGATGTTCCCCATGAGGAAATCACCCCTACTGCAAACTTCTGCCCGGGCTTCCAGGCATTTCTATACATCTTCTAAAGTCTAGGCAAAGGTTCCCAAACCTCAAATCTTGAATTCTGTGCACTCTCAGTCTCAACAGCACATGGAAGCTGCCAAGGCTTAAGGTTTGCACCCTGTGAAGCCATGGCCCAAGGTCTACACTGGCCCCTTTCAGACAAGGCTGGAACAACTGGGATGAAGGACACCAAGTCTCTAGGTTGCACTCAGCATGGAGAACCTTGGCTTGGCCCATGAAACCACTTTTTTCTCCTCGACCTCCAGGCCTGTGATGGGAGGGGCTGCCACCAAAGTCTCTGACATTCCCTGGAGACGTTTTCTTTACTGTCTTGGGGATTAAGATTTGGCTCGTCATTACTGATGCAAATTTCTGTCGCCAGCTTGAGTTTCTTTTCAGAAAGCGAGGTTTTCTTTCCTATTGCACCATCATGCTGCAAATTTTCTGAACTTTTATGCTCTGTTTCCCTTTTAAAACAGAATGCCTTTGAAAGCACCAAGTCACCTCTTGAATTCTTTGCTGCTTAGAAATTTCTTCCACCAGATATCCTCAATCATCTCTCTCAAGTTAAAAGTTCCACAAGTCTCTAGGGCAGAAGCAAAATGCTGCCAGTCTTTTTGCTAAAACATAACAAGAGTCACCTTTCATCCAGTTCCCAGTGAGTTCCTCCTTTCCACCTGAGACCACCTCAGCTTGGAATTTATTGTCCATATAGCTATCAGCATTTTAGGCAAAGCCATTCAACAAGTTCCTAGGAAGTTCTAAACTTTCCCACATTTTCCTGTCTTCTTCTGAGCCCTCCAAACTCTTCCAATTTCTACATGTTACCCAGTTCCAAAGTAGTTTCCACATTTTTGGGTATCTTTTCAGCAATGCCCCACTCTACTGGTACCAATTTACTTTATTAGTCTTTTCATGCTGCTGATAAATATATACCTAAGACTGGGTAATTTACAAGAGAAAGGGGTTTAATTGGACTCAGTGTTCCACATGGCTGAGGAGGCCTTGCAATCATGGTGGACCATTGTCAGACTCTCAGTTAATCTTTCCTAGATGTAGACAAGGAAAGGCCTTGTCCACTTCCCACCCACCCACCCAGGGCTGGAATGTATTATATATTTAAATATATTTCTTGGTTTATTCACTAGAACTGACTATAGGTTTCTTGGTCTAGAATTCTAACAATATTCAGCATTCTTTTACTAAGTACCTTCTGCCATTAATATACTATTAATACAAGCCAAAACATTGAGGACCTATAGGAATAAAAAGGAGAAAAGCAGATCATCTATTAAGGTTTCTTAAAATAAGAAATTAGAAGTGTATATAAATACATATATTAATGATAGTGTAGATGGTTGAGGATACTTGTTTCTGATGTCTTTTTATCTCTTTCATCAATTGTCATCATTCTCTTCTTTAAATTTTCTAAAATAATGTTCTTAAATTTCTCAATATTTAACATTTTATACATTCATGGAGTTAATTGCAAGAGAAAGATAGTGTCATATTGTGATTAATCATAAAAAAAGTATATTTGGTCTTTGTACAGTTTCCTGGCACACAACTCCTAAAACTCTTGTGATAAGCATCTTTGTGTATGCTAATAAATGTGCGTTTCTGGATAGCCTCAGGATGAGGACTCATTGCCAGGGGAACCAGCCATATGATCAGAGGGTTGGAATTTCAGGCCCAGCCTCTGACCTCTAGGGAAGAGAGAAGGACAAGGAGCTAGAGGTTGTGTTAATCCCCAATGTCCAATAATTTAATCAATCACCACTATATAATAAAGTCTCCATAAAAAGCCAAAAGGACAGGGTTCAGAGTGATTCTGGGTTGGTGAACATATGAAGGTGCTAGGAGCATTGTTCTTGCATAATGTGTGGAAGCTCTTTGCCTCTTCTTTCCTTTTTTTGCTCTATGCATCACTTCCATCTGACTGTCCCTCAGTTTCATGTGTTTATAATAAACTAGTGATCTTGTAAGTAAAGTGTTTTCCTGAATTTTATGAGCTATTCTGGCAAACGATCAAACCCAAGTTGGTATTTGTGAAAACCTCCAATTTATAGTTGCTCAGTCTTAAGCATGGGTGACAACCTGAACTTGGGAATGGTATTTGCAGTGGGATGGGGCAGCAGTTCTGTGGAACTGAGTCCTTAGCCTATGGGACCTACCATTATCTAACAATGAATAGTATCTGAATTAAGTTTAATCAAAGGACACTCAGGTGACATCTGTGGAAAATTGGAGAACTGAGTTGTGGGAAAGATACCCATACAGCGGAGAGATACCCATGACACTCAGAGACGTGTCATGGAAGTATTGGATGTATAATAAGAAAAACAGAGTTTTTTTTTTTTTTTCTTTAGTTGGTGTCAGTTTAAGTAAAAGCAGTTATTTTTTTGGTTACTTTTAAAAATAAAATTGCAGATGGTCCAATAGTTCTCCATGTGTGTGGTCCAAAAGGTCTAAACTATTGTCATAATAATAGTAAAACTCATTTTATTTTTCACTCTGTGATAGTTGCACTGATGGTACAAAGGCAATGGTGAGTAAAGCTGCTGGTGTTTTATTACGGTAGCATTCCACTGTACAAGTGTTTATTTTAGTCTTTGCTGCCACAAATGCACAGAAAATATAGTGCTATTTTCACTTAAAAGTGTTCTTGAAGAAAAAAATTACTAAATATCAACCCCTGAGTACGTGACTTTGTAAAATAGTCTCTGTGAGAAAATGGTAAAAACAACAACCAAAAACCCCACAACTTTTCTACTGCCTACCAATCAATAATTTTTACACTATCTCTCAGAAAACCACTTAAGTACATGCTTCAGTTGTGAGTCACATTAGCTTTTTCAATGTAACAACATATTTAATGAAACTGATTAACAGATAAACACTGGCTATTTACAATTCGATTATTTGGCAGACGTTTTCTTGAAAATAAACAAGGAAAACCTTTCATGATGAGAAAAATGGCTGACATTATTATTGCCAATTAAAAATTCAAGTGTGTAAGCAAAAATTATAAGATCGTAAAACCTGTATCTGCCCCTCATGTATTAGTCAGGGCTCTCCAGAGGGAGAGAACCAATAGAATATATGTGTACATATATATATATATAAAATGAATTTATTAAGGAGAATTGGCTCACATGATCACTAGGTGAAGTCCCACAGTAGTTGGTCTGCAAACTAGGAAAAAGAGAAGCCAGTAATGGCTCAGTCTGAGTCTGAAAGGTTGAAAACCAGGGAAGCCAGCAGTGCAGCCTTCAGTCTGTAGTTAAAGGCCTGAGATCCCCTGACAAACCACTGGTGTAAGTCTCAAAACCCAAAGGCTGAAGAATCTGGAGTCTGATGTCCAGGGGCAAAATAAGCAGAAAGAAACAAACAGCACAGAAAAAGGAGGAAGTCAGAAGGCCCCACAAGCAAAGTTATCCCTCTATCGTCCACCTGCTTTTTTCTAGGCATGCTGGCATGGATGGTGCCCACCCACGTTGAAGGCGGTCTTCCTTTCCCACTCCACTGACTCAAACGTCAGTCTTCTCTGGCAATACCCTCATAGACACACCCATAAACAATACTTTACCAGCCACCTAGACATCATTCAACCCAATCAAATTGACATCTAATATTAACCATCACACACCATATGCTTCATACTTTTTCAACATATAAAGAGTTTACTGATAAGTTTGGTCATGAGAAGAAAATAGGTTTTAATTTGAAGTATGCAAATTCCTTTAAATATCAGATCCAGGGAGGCATTTAAAATGTGACAGCACTCATGCATCACTCCCACCTTGAGCTAAGTAATTACTTCTTGAAGACACTTGCTATATGAGTGTATATTAGATTAACAGATGCCAAGTAACCATAAAATGCCATGTATGCTGGACATCATAACTCATATCCTATAGTTTAAAAATACATAGCCAATCATTAATCAATGTTATCTCTACAAACCAATGAGAATTCCTGTCAAACAACCTTGTATCAGCCCACTCCTGGTTTCCTTTTGCCTGTAAAAACCAGCTTGTAACAAAGGCTGAATGGAGAACTCCCCCAGGCAACATGGAAATGTGTCCTTTCTGGGCAGCTGTTCTCATTTTGGCTGATGTAAACACTTTAAAATTATATTTTCTGCCTCAACTTCTTCCATTAGGTCAACATTTCTAGTAGGAATAGATATGATTACTTCATGTTATATAATTCAGGAAAACACTTTAGTTACAAGATCACTAATTTATTATAAACACATGAAACTGAGGGACAGTCAGAAGCAAGTGATGCATAGGGCAAAAAACTGAAAGAAGAGGCAAAGAGCTTCCACATATTATCCAAGAACAGTGTTCTCCCGGCACCTTCATAAGTTCACCAACCCAGAATCACTCTGAACCCTGTCCTTTTGGCTTTTTATGGAGACTTTATTATATAGTGGTGATTGATTAAATTATTGGACATTGGGGATTAACACAACCTCTAGCTCCTTGTCCTTCTCTCTTCCCTGGAGGTCAGAGGCTGGGCCTGAAATTCCAACCCTCTGATCATATGGCTGGTTCCCCTGGCAATGAGTCCTCATCCTGAGGCTATCCAGAAACGCACATTCATTAGCATTCACAAAGATGCTTATCACAAGAGTTTTAGGAGTTGTGTGCCAGGAAACTGTACAAAGACCAAATATACTTTTTTTATGATTAATCACAATATGACACTATCTTTCTCTTGCAATTAACTCCATGAATGTATAAAATGTTAAATATTGAGAAATTTAAGAACATTATTTTAGAAAATTTAAAGAAGAGAATGATGACAATTGATGAAAGAGATAAAAAGACATCAGAAACAAGTATCCTCAACCATCTATACTATCATTAATATATGTATTTATATACACTTCTATTTTCTTATTTTAAGAAACCTTAATAGATGATCTGCTTTTCTCCTTTTTAATCCTATAGGTCCTCAATGTTTTGGCTTGTATTAATAGTGTATTAATGGCAGAAGGTACTTAGTAAAAGAATGCTGAATATTGTTAGAATTCTAGACCAAGAAACCTATAGTCAGTTCTAGTGAATAAACCAAGAAATATATTTAAATATATAATACATTCCAGCCCTGGGTGGGTGGGTGGGAAGTGGAGAGCAGGAGTTGATATGAGTTAAACCATAACATATTGTTAACAAACTTACAGAAGATAGTGCCAAGCATAGTGGGGGAGTTTGCCTGTTAAGACAAATAATAAAAATAACTCTTTATCTGTACTAGATAAGCATAAATAAAAATGATGCAAATGCACGAAATAAAAGTATTTCACCCAAAATATACCTCTTTAACATTTTGAGATGAGTGTTCAGAGAGCCAGCAAACAGAAGTACCCCTGCAAAGCTGTCTTTTGTGGGGGAGATTTGCATCTATAGAGAAAATCTGCATTGATGCAGTCAGGCTTTCTCCCAGGCCTTTCCTTGTCTGCATCTAGGAAAGATTAACTGAGAGTCTGACAACTTTAAAGGTCTGAAAGAAATGCTTACCCTCTATTCTCTCTGAGAGCTGTTACCTGTGAGATTTTATCTACACAACAGGCCACCTTTCCTTGTCAAGCCTATTCCTTTCCCCCTCCTGTTTTGTCACTGCAAAACAAAAAGTATCTGAGACAGCTCTCAATCAATTTATAGGTTTATTTTGCCAAGGTTAAGGATCATGGCCTATGACACAGGCTCAGAAGATCCTAAGACTATGTGCCTAAGATGGTTGGGTTGCAGCTTGGTTTTATACATTTTAGAGAGAAAGAAGCTAAGGCAAAAATATAAATTAGTACATGTAAGGTATACATTGGTTAGGACCAGAAAATGGAATATCTTGGAACAGGGGGCTTCCTTGTTATAGGTAAATTCAAAGATTTGCTGATTGGCAATTGGTTGAAAGAGTTAAGCTCTGCATGAAGAGTTAAAGTCAGCTTGAGTTAATATAAGAGGGGCTATGGAAGCCATGGCTCTTGTGATGTAGATGGAGCCTTCAGGTAGCAAGTTTCAGAGAGAATAGATGGTAAATGTCTGTTATTGGGCCTTAAAAGCGTCAGTCTCTCCAGAAAAGATCTAGTAAGTGAGAACATCAGAGGAATCCAAATGCCTAGGCAGATAGGGGAGGGTCCATGGTGAAATCCCACCTTCAAGCCAAAAACAGCCTGAAGGCTAAAAGTCCAGACTGCTGGTACCAGATGAAATCCACTACCCACAGTGAAAACTTCTGTTCCTGTTTGCCTGCCCTTTCTTAATTGATTCTTTCTCAATAATGCCTTTTAACCAATCAAATGTTGCCTTTGTCAATACTACCTATGGCCTGCCCCTCCCCTATTCTGAGCCCTGGACCCAGCTACGTGAGGAGGAGAGAACCACCCAACTGCAGGGGCCCACACCCTGCATCCCCCTCTCCACTGAGATCTTATTGTCTGCTCTCCTTACTCTTCAATGTCCAGTATATTCTTATCCTTCTTGGGCATAGCACAAGAGCTCAGGAACTGCTGAACGTGGGTACAAGATATAAGACAGGCAAGTGAGGGCATGCCAGTGTGGCTGAGTGGGACCTCGGCAGGGCATCACCAACTGGAGATCCCCAGCTTGCAAAGTCACCGAAAAGAAAATCTTGCATCATTTTGCCGGCTCCTGTGGGATACCTGAAGGGTGAGCGAATGCAGACCTAAAATCTTCACTTATTTCCGAGGCTTCTTGTCCTCAGACATTTTTCTGAAGGCAGATGAAGCACTGGACCTCTGATTAGCTAGTTAAGAGCAATGGCACAGCTACAGTCCTTTGGACCCCACCTCCCCATCTCTCTCGGGGGCTGGGAATGTCGACCTCCTTCCAATCCAGTTTTTTCTATGGCATTTTTTCTTCCTTTTTTTCAGGGCTGTCATGGCCCTTATCCCTTCTTTTACAATGTTAGGAGTGTTGTTGCCAACTACAGAGATATTACTGGGTGAAATGAACATTCATCCCAGCCATCAGATATGCAATTCAGAACAATGTGGTTTCTGTCTATTCTTAGAGGCAAAGAGGAAGCAGAGATTAAAAGTTTCTCTCTCAGTTGGAGGAACCCAGTTGCATAGAGCAAGAGGCTTTTTCTTTCAGGCACCTTCACCACCCTGCACTTAAGCTGGCTTTTTATTGTCTTTTCTCCACCATGTCAAGAGTTAACACTGCCCTATGAATACAGGGAGCTTTTCTATGCAAAAGGTGTTTTCTGTTTGTTTGTTAATTTTTATTGATTTCTATTTATTTATTTACTTATTTAACCTTTTGAAAGGCATATTACTAGGCCAGGACCCCAATTCTCCCTTCCCCTTGTTTGAGGAGGATCCAGTTCCACAGCTTTACCTTAGCATTGGACTTAATGATAAGGAAGAAGTGAAGGAGCAGCCCCGCCAGCTGCTGGCTGCAGTCTGGTGAGGGACACCTGACATTTAATTTAATGAGTCCATAAACCCTCCTGAAGCACCTTCTTGCCCCAAACTTAATTCCAAGCTTCAGGTTGAAGTCCTAGAAAGGGAAACTAGATCTGAGGGATCCAAAGGCAGGCACAATGGAAGTCAAGGGGCACTGCACAGGTGAGCATGACTAATTTCTGCTGATTAGTCCCCCTGCCCTGACATTTTATGAGTAGATGTCATGCTAGCATCCATGGCATAGATGAGGTTACTGACAGCAGGGAGCATAGGCCAGCACATAGGTGTGTGTGAATATTTTCTACCCTCTATGCCTCCCCATTAACATGGGTGAAACCCAAGCCAGATTGTCACCCATGGGCTGTACCTTGCTGAGGTTGCTGGGACCTGGGCCTATAAAGACAGAAAAAAGAAAGGGATTGCCTTATCTTTTTCTTCCTCATGTACCTCGGGTATTTACTGGGAGGAAAAAAGAACTAGGAGATGGCTTTTTCCCCTCTTTCTGGATGGGTAATTGGCCATCTTCTATCTGTACTTCTCTTGCATATATCCTGAATCACTGGAACCCTTTGGAAATCAAATCAAAACAAAACAAAACAAAACAAAAACACCTACTTTTTTATTTTCCTCCTATGTCTTATCTTCGTAGATGGATAATTGTGTCCCAGTACCACAGGACACTACCCTCAGAAGCATCCCTCAAACTGGGAAATTTAATTTTCCCACACCTTAAACTCTGGCTTAAAATGTACTGGGAAGAAATTACAGATCTAACTGAGAAAATTTCTTGAGGGCAGACAACTTTTACAGTATGAAAAAAACCTCTTTCTCTGCTTCCTTTTCACAGGACTCCAGGGTAGATAAGACTCCATATCTCGGGACAAGGGAACCCAGAAGCCTGACATGCTGGAAAAGGTTAAAAGTTTTTTGTTGTTGTTGTTTTGTTTTGTTTTTGTTTTTGTTTTACCAGACTTCTGAACTCTCTCTCTCCCTATGCAAACTAGTAAAAGGAATGGTAATGATGACTATTTATATCCTCTCTAAAGTTTCGATTAATGGAATAAAGGATTTGTGAGGCTAGTCTTAAGCTGTAGTGGATCTGTTGTACTTTTTGCTAATATTTGTCTTTCTGTATCTTTCTATCAAAAAGATCATTCCCTCAGGATAGAATGTGGGCTTAGGACCCCATAAGCCCACTGTTCAAGCCAGATCAGCAAACCGTCAGTAACAAACTTTGCTACAAATCTCCATCTTGTTTTACATTCTTGGGAGTTTGACCTTGTAACCATGTGGCAATACTTTCTTTTGGTTTCTGCCATTTTACAATGATGGCCCAGGTTCAATCCTGGCTTAGGGAATGAGTACATCCTGGTTAATATCTGTGTGACTTTTGCCATTTGCTCATTCTCTTCCCCTCCGTGAACAACTTCTAGATTCCTTTCTTAAATCTTCCTTTCTCTGGGCTACATTTAAAGTTTCTAGATTTTGTAAAAACTGCTTACCACCTCTTTGAAAATAGCTTGTACACTGGCAGTTAAGTAATAACCTTAGTTGAGGTTTGTTGATTTCACCTGTGAGGTTACTTTTGGTGATTTTCAAAAGCCAGAAATATGGCTGTTTGGTGTGGTTGAAGTCGGGTAATAAGGGATTTATGCGGATTTTTTTTTCTTTTAAAGAGCACTATGGTTAAAAGTCAGCTTAATTAAAAGTGGATATACAAGCTATAGGTATATTCAAAAGACCCTTATGTTTTTTCTTCTCAGGACTTGTTTTTCTGGAAAAGGATATTTTCTCAGTTGACTGAATTATTTTTTTCCATTTTGTCTTGCCATTCTTTTTGCACACATGAGAGGCCCAAGATAACTTCTGATAGCCTGAGACTTCTTGGGAAAAACTTTACCAAGAGGACACCAGTTATCCCATTTTGGGCAAAAAAAAAAAAACTGTTTTCCTCATGGAACCCCAGGAATTGAAAGCAGATAAGATTCCTCTCAAAATCTGTTTGTCTTCCAGCTAAGTCTGTTGGGCCCTCAAAGCTGCATGCTTTCCTAGTCCTGCTTTTTGAAGGACTCCACCCAGAGGCCAATAATCCAATTAGGAGGTTGGCAAATGAAAAATCTTATAACTACTGGATCTTCTTCTCTCTGTCTGTGTAATCATACATGTGTTATGTGTGTAATGTTTGTATAAAAAAGAGCTCTAATTAATTGGCTTAAAGAAAATAAGTGCTTAGATCAAATATTTTTGAAGGAAAAATAAAAGCGGTAATGTCTTTTCGTTCATGTGACGTTAATCTTTGAAAGATAAAAACAGTTTTAGATATGATTCATAAAGCAAAATGTCATCAGAATGTAAATATGTGGTCTAAATTATGCAGGTGAGATACTGGGTTTGCTAAATGTTTTAAGGTTATAAACTGCTTCTTCAGCTTTTGAGAACTGACTCACCTGCTTTACAATTTGTAAGGCCTGGGAACATATGGAATTAACCACACCCCTAAATATGCTGGAAATAGTCGGGCTTTATCTGTGCTTAGTACGTAATTAAGATAACTTATCAGTTTTACATTAAAATTAAAAATTGCTAAGAGTTTTGAGACTACTGAAAATAGCTTTACATGCAAGGTGTGTAAGAAAAGTAAAATGTGTTTTTAGTAAAATATTATAAGGAGATATGGAAATGGGAATGTAAATTTTTGCCTAATTTAGAGGTTTAGAGGGTTGTTTTAAATTAGATAAGATAAAGCTAAAGATTTAAATAAGTTGTGGAAGGTTTGTAAAAATTAATCTTGCAAAAGAAATTCTGTGTGTGAACATTTTGACTCAATTATAATAGGTATTATATAGTTTTTCCATAAATTGAGTGTTGAAATGAAAGAACAACAAGGTTTTTTAAGACACTGATCTGCTCTTTAACAGAAGTTATAAAGGGTTATAAAATGTTTATAAGAATCTCACCTCATAGTCAAACTAGTTAAGTTTGGATAGAATTATCTTAGGTTTCATTAAAAAAAATTGGGGTTGACATTAATAGTTAGACAAATGCAAGGGTGAAATTTGGCTTTCTCTCCACTGAACAAGATTTTGATGTAATAGTGAAAAATAATGACAGTTTTTGTTTGCCTTGTGAATAAACTGCCGAAAAAGGGAAGGGAGAAATAGGAGACAGATTGTTTGGAAAGCTAAGTCTTCCTATTAATGAGTAAAACGTTTTTGCCTTTTAAAAAATTTTTGAGTCACCATTTTGGCTAAACAAATTACTTTATGGTAATTTGAAATTCCAATTCATAATATCAGTGTTTTAACCTCTTACATATTTAATAAACTTCCTAAAATCAAACTTATTTTCAAGGTTGTTTTTTCTGACCCCTAACTTTTGAATGCTATAGAGGGCCCCTGGAGCATCCAAACAAGAGGTAAACAGGATTATTTGGCATGGGATTGCCAATATAAAAAGAATGTTTAATCTTCTTTAGGTTATATTTTGGTGAATAATATTAATACATGTTCCAATATTGTTATGGGATTTTAAAAATTCTACTGTCTGAGAATATGCTATCAACTATGATTAAGGTTATTATGTTAAGTTATTGTAAACCACAGAAATAACCAAATTTATTTGTCCATTTTGTTTTTAACTGTAACTACCCTGGACATTTTGACATTCACAGACAATTGTTGTCTTGTTTTGTTCCTCTTCAAAAGATGGTTTATAATCACCTATAGAACTTTGCCAGGTGCTCTTAAATGCAGGTTTCTGATAGCCTTGAAAACTGTGACATTGGAATAGAGAAATAACATACAGGACTCATGAAGAGCTAAAATGTTTATGAATATCAAGCAGAACAAAAGTTAACTGAATGGACTGAACTGACAGAAAACTGAAGTAATCTTTTTAACTTTTTGCTGAAAACATTGCTGATCCTTGTTTTGCTTTTCAGAGTCAAAGAAACTTTTCTTTTTAGTTATCTACAGCTTTTAACAATTGAGCCAGGTAACCATTTGTGAATAAAATTTGTAGCCTATTTGTTTCTCTCTGCCTGGTTTCTCCAGAATTTGGAAACTACTGTTGAGTATTCTTAATTTATGGTGATATAGTCATTTGCATAAGTGCAATAAGAATCCATTTTCTTTTGTGACAGGACACGATTGGAGAAACTGGTTGTTTTTACCAAGGCTTTAACTGGAAGGGTATGCTTCCCTTTAAGGAATCAAGGTTGACTTGCAGAGCCAATAAAAGCCCCTTGGGAATATTCACCTCATATCTTGTCTACACAGTCTCCTTATAGGTTTCCTAACCTGTGGTGAGTAAAGTATGTCAATTTCTAACAGCCCCAGGAGCCCCATGTTATCTTGGGACCTCCAGAAGTGTGGAATTTACCCAACTCACAGATGTTTGAGGGTAAAAACCCATGACTGCATTTGTTTTTAAAAAGTCTTATGTGAGATTCCTTATAGAACAGAGTTTCATCAAAGCCAATTTAAAAAGCCTATGTAAAAAATAATTATTCTTGCTGCACTTTATGGAAATTATCAAGCCAAGGATAAGAAAAAAGTTTATTATGCAAACAACTGAGTCCTATCATAATTTGTATTTACAAAAATGAACACTGGAGAGAGAAAAAATATATTTCAAAACTTATACACTTGTCATTAAATTTCCATCTCATTAGTTGTTTTTAAGTTTTTGCCTACATTTTAAACTAACTGTGCTTATTCCTGTGAACCAAACTGTAATCTCTGGCTGCAGCTCAGAAAAAAACAAAAGGGATGGGCCATCAAAGTGCAAATGATAATGCAACCAGAGCTTTGGACGATGGCTCTTTTTTACTGGGGACCTTTACACAGGCCTCTGAGGAAGATCTGACTGACATTTTCCCAAAACAGTGCCCCTTATTGGCAAGAAGCAGTTAAGATTTGTCTTTGTCCTTGTTCTAATGGCAATTTTATGTACCTCTTCAGAAGGGGGAAATGAGATTGGCAGGAGGCAGCCAAATGCCTATGCAGATAGGGGCAGGTCCCCAGTGAAGCCTCACCTTCAAGCCAAAACAGGCTAAATGCTGAAAGTTTGGACTTCTGGTCCAGGATCAAACCTATGACCCAGAGTGAGAACTTCTGTTTCTGTTTACCTGCCTTTTTCCAATTGATTATTTCTGAATAATGCATTTTAACTAATGGAATATTGCCTTTTCCCATACTACTCATGGCCTGCCCCTCTCCTATTCTGAGCTCATAAGAAGCCCTACACCCAGCCATGCTGGGAGGAGAGAACCACCCAACTGTGGGGTTGGAGGACCATGCCCCTGTGTCCCTTCTGTGTTGAGATCTGTTCCGTCACTCAACAAAATTCTCTGCCCTTCTCATATTTCAGTTTCCAGCTTATTCTCATTCTTCTTGGATGTGGTACAAGAGTTCAGGAACTACTGTACATGGATTCAAGCTACAACACAGGTGAGTTGGGGTACGCCAGCATGGCCAAGGGGGTCCCAGGTGAGGTTTTGCCAGCCACAGGTCCCCAGCTTGCAAAGTGACCAAGAAGAAAATCCTTCATTGTAAGGGAAGAAGAATATAATGCAAATTTTCCCCACAAGAGACAGCTTTGCAGGTCTATTTCAAAACATGTCAAATAAATATATTTGGGGGTAAAATACTTTGATTTAGTTCAAGGCCTGCTTTCTGGCATGTGATGCTATACCAGAGTCAGGTTGAAATTTGGTGTCTTATTGTCACAAAGAATCTGTTTTGTCTGTCTTTAGATCTTTGTTTTCGTGTTAATTCTGGTCAGAAGTGTCTAAACTCCAAAGGGAAGAGGGTATAATGAGGCATTTCTGACCCCTCCCTTCCCATCTTAGCCTAAACTACTTTTTCAGGTTTCTTTGAGATTCTAGATGCTATACCTTTCAGCTGTGTCTGCTTTTCACATATTTAAATATTAAGCCCTAAAAACTGCAAATGCTTTGCTGGCCCAGCTCCTTAATGGGCTCAATCCTGAGCTCAACAGTCCAGTTGGAAAATAGACTAAAATAAAAAGCCATCGTGTAAATAAAATTGGTCTTCTTTTAGAAGCCTATGGCAAATTTTTATAATTTTTTGCTACCTTGACATCCATTTTTAATCTTTCCCTAGCTATACACACAAACTCCTTCTTGAAAAAGCTTAAATTCTCTCTCTCTCTCTCTGGGCTTTGAAATGTAAATTTGCTACCCTGTTTTCTCTAAAACTCAGTGAGGGCTTCAGCCATGTGGGACAGATAAACCTTAACCTTTTCCATTTACAAAGGCACAGTTCAAATCCAATTGTCCTTTTAAACTTGTGAGTTTTAGAGGTCTCATGGCTAAAATTTTAAAATCAAGCCGTAGTCTTTCTATTTGTCTGCATTTTTATGTATATGTGCTTACCTGTCTCTGTAAATTCTCCTTATGGTACCAAATTGACTTATAAATAAATGAGTTCTCATAAATTAAGTAAATAATCCCAAATGCTTTTCAAATTCACATTGCTTTAGTAATCTCATGGTATATGAGATAAGTTTAATGTTGTTGGTTTAATAAAAATAACTATGTCTTTTGAGTTATCAGCAATACATGCATGTGTTTAACTTTAAGGTCCTTCCTTTTATAATACTTGCCTGACATACAGTAATATAAAAATAGTAAACAAAAAATTTAACTTGAGATGATGGCTGGATTTCTCTAATGTTTCATGACACTTTTAAAACATAATTGTTAAGAATAAATAGACGTAAATGGAATAAATGTTTATCAATTAACTTTTAATAATACTTATGTGTTATAATATGTTTACTTATAAAGATTTCTCAAATTTTTTGGCAACTGTACTTTTAGATTTTTGCTAAGCAAGGTGATATTATATACATTCATTGAATATCTAAATTATTTCCAAATAAGATATAGTGCCAAGACATTAATTACTATAATAAATATAAGTTTAAGCTCATATATTTTGGCTTATTTCAGAGAAACAAGAAAGTTATTTAGATCTATTAGTAAATATGACCTGTTTCCCATTTTTAAAATGTTCTTTTGGAAAGCCCGTATTTCTAAAAGTTATAAAATATGTAATCATACACTGTTAGTGTGTGGCTACCAATTAAAAATTGATAGCTTCCAAGGATTTTTTTTACTGATATTAAGACTTTCTAAGAGTTAGCATTGTAATCAATATTTGTAATAAAAACTACTCAATAGAAGAAAAATACATCTGTATGCAAATTCTAAAAAAAGTGCTTTTGATAAAAAAGACAGTAAAACATGAAAATGTGTTTTTTATTAAAGAAAAATCACTTTTTTCTAGTTAGGAAGTTACTTAAAGGTTGCTTTAATATAAATGAAATAACAAATAAAATTCAATGGGTATAAAATGTTGGGAAAAGAAAGACAATGAAAATATTGTAAGAGGTTATAAAAGGTTTATAAAAATCTTATTTTTTGTGGTCAAAGCTGATTGAGATTGGATAGACCTGTTTATAAGGTTTTCTTAAGATGTACTTTAGCATCAATAATACACTGATGTAAAGGTAGAATTTAGTTTATTTTTTGAATACTATTTTTATATAGTATTAATAAGAAATAGCAAAAGATTTTATTACCTTTTAAGTAAACTGCAGACAATTAATAGGAGAGATTTTGTTCCATGCTGTCTTCAGTAGGTGTTCTGATTATTTTGAAAATTGAGTCTCTTCGCTATTGAAGAGTAAAGGTTTTTGCTTTTTGAACTCTTCAAATTATTTCTTTGGCTAAATAAATATTTTACAGTGACCTGTAATTCTATTTTGATCAAGTGTTTTAAATACTTGATATTTGACAAACTTTCCAAAATCAGTTTTAAAATTCTAAATTAAGTTTTTGACCTCAAATTTAACTTTTGGACTCTGGTATATAAAAGTCATATGGAAAACTATGTTAAATAAGAAAGTAAGAAATGATGTTTGACTTTTTATAGTTATATTTGTGTAAATGTGTTATTACTATGTCTTCCAAAATTGTATGAGGTTCTCAAAATTCATATACATATTGGTATATGTTATCAGTCATAATTATAATTATTATGTGAAATTATTGTATGCCATACAAATAACTTAATTTCCTCGTCAATTGTGTCTTTCGCCAAGGTTATTCTAAGTCTTGTCGACATACAACTATTGCTTTACTTTGATTCTTCTCACAAAGTGGTTTATAATTATCCATAATCCAAAATTTGTATCTTCTTCAAGGAAATTCATGGAAAAGACCCTGATAATTATTCCTGAGTACAGATTTTTGATAACTTTAGAGACCATACTATTGGACTAGGTAGAAGCTTTCAAAACTAATTAAAAAGCTGATGTGTTTATGAAAATTGCTAACTACATCAAGTAAAACTATAGTTAATTACATGAAATTGAACTGGTAGAGATCTAAAATGATTTTTATGACTCTTTTTGCTTGAAACATTGATGATTCTCTCTATCTTTTGTTTTCCAGAGTCAAGAAACTTATTATATTTGAGCTATTAATAGTTACAGCAATTTGGACAAAGTATGCTCTTGTGAGCAAAACTGAAATATTTACCTTTCTCTCTCTACCTGAATTCTCCAGAATGCAGAAACTATCAGGGATTATCTTTATTTTATGGCAATATAGTTATCTGTATAAGTTCAATAAGAATATGTTTTCTTTTCTAATAGAACACAATTGAAAATGCTGGTTATTTTACCAAGGCTTTGACCTGAATGACATATTTTCAGATATGAACAAATTGCTTTGAGAAATTGAATTTGACTTACAGAGCTGATAAAAGTTTCCTTTAAAAGACTGGCCTGGCACCTTGTCTACATGGTTTCCTTACAAGATTCCTGACCTTGTGGTGTGTAAAGAATGTCACTTGTTAACACTCCCAAGATCTGCAAGATATTTTAGAAACTTAAGATTTTTTTGTGACCTCGAGATAAATGGAATTCACCCAGTTTGAATAGGTATCACAGGCACAATCTAGTGGCAAAAATTTCTCTTGGATTTTTGGCCTTGAGGGGCTTTTAAAAGTCTAATCTGGTATTTCTTATGAAAAAGTTCTAGAAAAGCCGGTTGAAAACAGTCTATATGTTCAATTACTATTTTTGATGTACTTTATTAAAAAAAATCAGACCAAGTATAATAAAACTAAAGCTTATTTCAAAAATAAATTGGTATTAATATGTGGTGAAAAAATGGGACTGGAGGGAGAAATATTATGTTTTGGAAAAAAAAAACAACTAAATTACACCTATTATTAGATTATAGTCCTAATCATTGTTTTTGAGTTGTATTCTTTGCCTATAATTTGGGCTGAATTCTTTCCTGGGTACAAATGTCCAAACTAATGTGTTCAAAATTTCCTCCCAGTTTTCTCACATGAAATCACTAGAAATTAAAACTTTGATTTTTCTGAAGCCCTGCAAACTAAAGCTAGACAACTTAATATAAACTTAGCAGAGATCACTATAACAGCTTATATATAAACAGCCTTCATGCCTGTTGATGTGTGAACTACTCAAGAAGTTTATTTGAACATCTGATTCAAACTACAGTTCAAGAAAAATCTTTCAAATTACCACTGCAATCTGAAGAGATTTCAGAAACTCTACAAAAACTAGTTTATATACTAGTCCAAACATTAACTTTCAGTTTCCTTCTGTTTCCATAGAATTGCTTCTTATAAAACATCTGTTTGCCTGCATGATATATAAAGGGCTAGCCCATCTACAATGTCACCTCCTGGATGGGACACAGCTGTTCAGCCAAACTGATGTATTCTCAGCACTAGGAGACTGATTCAAGCAGATATGAGATAATACACTTAAATTTGTTCTTGTCTTCTATTCCATTTTTTTCCCTTCTTACGCCTAGGTTTTTTTTTTTTTTTTTTTTTCTAAGAACCTCTAATCCAAATCTTTCCACAGTAATGAATCAAGTCTTTTATGTGTGAAACTTCTAGGAAAATTTCAGATAGGGTGAATAAAGTAGTGCCGGGAACTTTAGCCTCAAATATGGCTCCATGGTATGAGTATTTGAAATTAAAAGCACTTGGAGATCAACAGACTTTGGCAGAATCTTTTCCCCTATCTACATAAAGACCAGAGGAACTCACCAAGGAAGACACTTGTTTTTTTCTTCCTTTCCCTTTTATTTCATTATCTATTGCACAAAAGAAGGCAGGAATAGAATGACACCTGGACAGATCTTTTCACAAGATAATGTCCGTTTCAAACTCATTCAATTTCTAAAGAGAACAATTTACAAGTTAAACTCCATTTCTAGATGCTTTCATTCTCTCTGGTAATAATTTATTTCCTCTCCACAGAATTACCTATGTTCTGCATTCCTTCCCTCCCCTCTGAAATAAGAATATATAATTTGGGACCCATTGGGATATTGACTAATTACTCTATGAATCTCTCTCATGTACACATTAATAAATTTGTATGCCATTCTTCATTTTAAACTACCTTTGACAGTTGATTTTTCAATGAACTTTATGAGGATAAAGGAGTTTTTTCCCTTGGCCCCTACATGAGCAAAATGAATTTATCAAAGTAATTAAAAAAAACACAGAAATCAAAGAATACAACAGTACGGTGATTATATTAACTTTCACTTTAAGACAACTTCTATACACAATAGTATTTGTACTATTCATTCTGTTAACTTTATTATTCATCTTTTTAAAGCAATTATTGATGTTAAAATTGGTGGGATGAAATAATTGATGTTAAAATTGGTGGGATGAAATAACAAGAAAATGTCTATTTTTTTTTTTTCTGAAGCCCAAAGAGACCTGGTAATGAGAGGCAATGCCATATTTCTCAGGTTACTGAAAAAATAAAATTGAGCCATATGCTTGTGCTTTTGTTATGAGTTATATTTATGAGATATGCATAGTGAAATTTTTCAAACTATTAGAAAACACTTGCTTATTATCCATTTAATGTTTTCTATGCTCCTGTCTCCCATTAGAGAAGATTCAAAAATGCAAGAAAAAACTAGCAGAGTGACAATATATTTTATAGACAAAAATCTTCAAAAGGAAAGAAAAAATATTGAGGGAAACTCAATCCATGACAACCATGCCAAGATAATCACATTTCAACAACCATTATTAAAATACTTTATGTCAGAATTATTCTGCTTTTTAACAGTTGATTACACTGAGCCTAGCTTACAGGGTTACTTGACTTTATTACACACAAGGTTTTTTATAATGATTGTTTCATTGTCAGATCATTGTTATTTCTGGATAGAATAAGTTTTCTGCTATGGAAGTGATTTGGTGGCCTACAATTATAAACCTGCCTCAACTGATTTTGTTAGCAGTGATGAATCCGTATGGGTCTGTAGCAACTTGAGTCTTGCCTCCTTGGACAAAATAATTCAGCTGAAGGGTATAAGGCAGAGTGAGAGACCAAGGCAGATTTTGGAGCAGGAATGAAAGCTTATCAAAAAGTTTTAGAGCAGGAAAAGGAAGTAAAGTACACTTGGAAGAGGGCCAAGAGGGCTACTTGAGAGATCCAACTGCTCCATACGAACTTTGACTTGGAGTTTGTACATTGGTATGATCCCGGGGTTTGTGTTTCTCCTCCCTTGATTTTTTCTTAGGGCAGGCTGTCCACATGCACAGTGGCCTGCCAGCACTTGGGAGGGACCGCATGTGCAGTGTGTTTACTAAAATCGTGTTCATGCTCATTTGAGGCGCTTTTCCCTTACCAATCAGTTGTTCCTAGAGGAAGGTCAAATATCAGTTAAACTCTGCCATTTTGCCTCTCAGTGTACATGCTTGAGCCTACTCGCCGAACTTCTGAGATCTTATTGGGAAGCTGCTGATCACCGGCTTAAGGTGTATTGTTTCTATTGGGAGACTGCCTTTCCCTGGCACCACCTGTGACCAATGATTATCTTAGTTTAACAACCACCTGTCACCTGGGGTAGGGGACATTCCTAGGGTAGTGGACCTTCTCCTGCCCTGCTCATGTTTGTCTAGCTACCTACTGTAAAAATTTCACATTTCCAATGAAGTATTTCAGTCATGTCTTCTTCTTGTTGCTTCCAGAAAAAGAAATAACTTTAAATAATTTAGAAATCCCATCTTCAAATTATGCTTTTCTCAAGATTTGCTACCTTTATTTGCTTTATTTCAGCTTAGCAGTCATGCGTTAATCTAAGTTTACCAACCATGCTGTTTTTCTTGAGACTGAGGAAATTTCCTGGACAGAGTTCTTTCAGTGCTAAAATTAGGAAACTCCTAGGCAAAAACAAGGATGACTGGTCACTCTATCCTTACCCTTTATCTAAATAGATCATGGTTATCAATCACTTTCTATCTCTAATCTTTAGATACATTAATTAGCTTCTTTTAGCTAAAACTTTGAGATTTAGTTGTTACGTATAAAATGAAAATTAATAATTTTACCCTCCTAAAGTTGTTGAAGGAAATAAAAATAATTCAGTAGACTCTAGCACAGGTCTATACTCATAATAGATGGGCAATAAGTGATATTTCTCTGGATATTCTGCTCTATTCTTAAGAAATGGAAAACATTGCTAGATACATACAATACATGAGGAATCTTGGAAATGTTTATGAAAAATGCATAATATGTGAAAACTATGCATGGATTTTAATTTTTTTTGCAGCAAAATAAATTCATGTAAACTTGTTATAACATGTTTGAACATGATCTGCAAAACAGTATGGTTGGTAATCCTAGATGAGGACATGACTGATACATTGAAATAAAGCAAATCAAGGTGGTAAATCTTGAGAACAGCGTAATTTAATGATGAGATTTCTAAATTATTTGAAGTTACTTTTTTTTTTTTTTTTTTTTGCTAGAAGCAACACGAAAAATAAGACTTGATTCTGAAATACTTTACTATAAGTGTTAAACCTGTTAAGGCGGGTTTATAATTATAACCCACCAATTTTAAACCTCATATCCATTTGAGGTAATAAGAAAGATAAGACATCAGTTTGAAAAAAGCCCCATCAGAGTAACATGAATTCTGCTAAAATTAAAGAAAGAACAAACATCAAACTTATAGTGAAGCTTGAATGGAAGGAAAGTGAAATTATTGATGCTTTACAAAAATTTATGGACATAATGCCCCAAAGAAATCAGCAGTTTAAAAATGGGTAACTTGTTTTACAGGATAAAACAATGTTGAAAATGAAGTCAATAGCTGCAGACCATCCACACTAATTTGTGAGAAAAAAAATCATCTTGTTCATGCCTTAATTGAAGAGGACCAACAATTAACAGCTCAAATGATAGTAAACAATATAGACATCTTAATTGGTTCAGATTACACCACTTGACTAAAAATTACACTTGAGCAAACTTTATACTTGATGGGTGCCAAAACCATTGTGCCCAGTCAGCTGTAGACAACAGTAGAGCTTTCAGTGGAAATTTTGAACAAGTGGGATAACAATTATAAAGCATTTTTTCAAAGAATTGGAACAGGTGATAAAACATGGCTTTACCCAGACTATTTTGAAGGCAAAGCACAAGCAAAGAAATAATTACCAAGAGGTGAAATTGGTCCAGGTAAAGCAAAAACAGACCAGTCAAGAACAAAGGTCAAGGCAGCAGTTTTAAGGGATACGCAATGCATTTTGCTTATTGATTTTCCAGAAGGCCAAAGAATGATAACATCTGTTTATTATGAGAGTGTTTTGAGAAAGTCAGCCGTAGCTTTAGGAGAAAAGCACCCAGGAAAGCTTCGCCAAGAGCCCTTCTCCACCACGACAATGTTCCTGCTCACTCCTCTCTTCAAACAAGGTCAATTTTATGAGAATTTTCATGGGAAATCATTATATTTATACCTTAAAGTCCTGATTTGGCTCCTTCTGACTTCTTTTTGTTTCCTGATATTAAAAACAATCTCTAAAGGAAACCCATTTTTCTTTAGTTAATAATGTAATGAACCATTGACATGGTTAAATTCTCAAGACCTGCAATTCTTTTGAGATGGATGGATGAAATTAATGGTACTATCACCTACAAAAGTGTCTTGAACTTGATGAAACTTATAATGAGAAATAAATTTTACAATTTTACTATTTCTCCTTTAATTCAATTTTCCACAAATTTTTGAAGTCCTCCTGTGTAAATATCTTCCAAAATAAAAGCAAATAACATTAGAAAATTTGTGTAATAAAAGTAAAGTCAGTTCTCAGAAGAAATAATATAACATAAGCATATAAAGAAGTAGAATGACCCCAGAAATAAAAATAGATACATTCTTGAAAACAGATTTTATTTTAAATTAAGTGACCAAGAAAACTATAGCAATAAAAGTAATGTTCATGTATGGTATTGCTAAGAGTGTTAGAAATCAATATTCACATACTCTTTGTTGGAGATATAAATTTGCATTATCTTTATAAAGGCTGATAGACACTATATCAAAGTTTTCAGTAAACACATCATTTGACCAATAATTTCATTACTAGTACTCTCTCCTACAGCAGTGCTTGCATATATAGCCAAAGCTATGTAGTCAAAAATTTCCATTTCAGCACATCATTTAAAAGGAAAAAATTAGTAAGCAATCCAAGAGTTAAATATATTATGATGAGTCTATACTCATCTGCCATACTATGAAATATTACAAAACCTTTACAAACAATGATATAAATCTATGAGAAAAGTCTCTAATGTAGTATTTTTTAACAAAGGGAAGAAAAGGCCGGGCACAGTGGCTCACGCCTGTAATCCTAGCACTTTGGGAGGCCTAGGTGAGTGGATCACCTGCGGTCAGAAATTCAAGATCAGCCTGGCCAACATGGTGAAACCCTGTCTCCACTAAAAATACAAAAATTTGCCAGGAGTGGTGGCAGGCATGTGTAATCCCAGCTACTCAGGAGGCTGAGGCAGGAGAATTGCCTGAACCCAGGAGGCAGAGGTTGCAGTGAGCTGAGATCACGCCAGTTCATTCCAGCCTGGGTGAAACAGCGAAACTCCATCTCAAAAAAAATAAATAAATAAATAAAAAGGAAGAAAAATACTAAACATAAATAAGCATATTATGCCATTCACAAATAGAAAAATATTTCTTCTGAAAGATGATATGCATATGAAAGACACAGAAAGAAAGGAAGACAGCAACAGACTGACAGTTATCTAGAAATATGCACCATATCATTTAAAGTTAATTTGCATTGGAGAATGGAACTGTGAAACAGGAAAAATATTTAGCATTGTACAGTCAGGCAGGTGCCACATAACAACATTTAGGTCAATGATAGACCGTATATATGATGGTGGTCTGATATGATTATAGTGGAGCTGAAAAATTCCTATTGTCTATTGACAAAGTAGGCATCATAATGTCATAGCACAATGCATTACTGACGTGTTTGTGGTGATATTAAACAAGCCTATTTTATGTGAATTATTGATAATAATATTGTGTACTGTACACAATAATTGCTAATAAAGTAGAAATGAATATATTATTAACTTGAAGCTAGCTTATAGCAGGAAAAAGTATTAGCAAGTACAGTACACAATACCTGATAATAAATTACTGTTATTTGTGTATTTACTACACTTTTAATATTATTTTACAGTATACTCCTTTTAATTATAAATATAAAAAGTTAGCAATAAAATAGTCTCAGCAGATTCTTCAGGACTTACTCCAGAAGAATCATTGTTACAGGAGATGATAGCTTTATTTTATTGCCCCTGAAGACCTTCCACTGGGACAAGATGTGGAGGTGGAAGATGGTAATATTGATGATCTTGACCCTGTGTAGGAATAGGCTAATATGTGTATGTTTGTGTCCTAACTCTTAGCAAAAAAGTTTAAAAAGTAAAATTAAAAAAAAAAAATTTAAATAGAAAAAAGCTTACACAACAGGGAAGAAAAAATATTTTTTACATCTATACAATGTGTGTGCTTTAGGCTGTTATTACAAAATAGTGAAAAAATTTAAAAGTTCATAAAGTAAAAATGTTAAACTAAGCTTCATTCATTATTAAAGAAATAAAATATTTCAAATAAATTTAGTATAACCTAAGGGTACTTTTTTTTTTTTTTTTTTTGTCTCAGTTTGTCACCCAGGCTGAAGTGCAGTGCCGCGATCTCTTCTCACTGCAACCTCCACATCCTGGATTCAAGCTATTCTCCTGCCTCAGCCTCCCGAGTAGCTGAGACTACAGGTGCGTGCCACCATGCCCGGCTAATTTTTTTGTATTTTTAGTAGAGACAGATTTTCACCGTGTTAGCCAGGATGATGTCAATCTCCTGACCTTGTGATCTGCCCCCTCAGCCTCCCAAAGTGCTGGGATTACAGATGTGAGTCACCAAACCCTGCCCAAGGGTACATTGTTGGTAAGTCTACAGTACTGTATGCTAGTGTTCAAGGACTTCACCTTCAGTCACCACTCACTCACTGACTTACCCAGAGCAACTTTTAGTCCTGCAAGATCCATTCATGGTAAGTGTTCTATACAGGTGCACCATTTTTTAAATAGTTTATACTACATTTTTACTGTATCTTTTTATGTTTAGATATGTGTGGATACTCAAATATCACTGCTTTAAAATTGTATACAATAGTCGGTATAGTAACATGCTGTATAGGTTTGTCGCCTAAGAACAATAGGCTCCACCATATGGCTTGGGAGTGTAGTAGGCTACACCACGTAGGCTTGTGTAAGTACGTTCTGTGATGTTCACACAACAAAACCGCCTTTCAATGCATTTCTCAGAACATATCCCTTTTGGTAAGTGATACAGTACCATACTTAAATTCTTATATATTTGAATTTTTACCTTATGCATATATTACTACAGTATTTAAATAAATAAATGGTGTATTTTCCAATAAATGTTTTAAATACAATTTTCTAGAAATTTGTCAAAGTTGGGCCTCAAAAGGTGGTGAGAAAATGAAGAAATATCCATTTTGTTAATTAGTTTACATGAAGGTGGGTCATGTGACAGCCTGGATAGGTTGTCAATGTATATCTTAAATGTTTTACTCCACTGGTCTGCCATGAAGCCCTGCCTTGATATCTGGAAGGAATGATATTTTTCTTTAAAAAAAATAATAAAAACTAGAGCAGAAGTCCAAAGAATAGAAGTGTTTTAAACATTGGCATGAGCTTGAGAGGGTGAATATAGTGATGTGGACTAATGGAAAAGGGAAGAATGTTCAGGCAAAGTCAGTGGAGGGTCATTAAAGGTGAGCAAGACCTTCAGTTCCATGGGCATAAATCAGGTGACATGCCAGAGGGCAAAGTCAACAGTTTTTTTTTTTAAATACATTTTTTTTTCCTAGAGAAAAGCCAGTTATATTCATATTATTTCATAAATTCATTTAAAAAAATTATTTATTTTAACTTCTGTGAAAACAGACTGTATCTTTCAGTTAATGATGTCTTCAGTTGTGTCAGTCAGCCACAGGGAAGTTGCGTGAAAACTTATCCTTGACATCTCTTGTTAATATCAAGAAAAATCCTGCTTCAAAGAATCTTAGAATTAACTTATGAATTCAATGCTCCCAATGTTATTGAAACAGATATTTTAAGAGTGAAGTGCTCTGTCATTTTAAAACATGTAAATGGTAAATGGTACATTTTATGTTGAGGCTTTAACGTTTAAGGGAAACCTATCTGTGCTGAAACCTCTACATACATCATCTCATTTTACTTTAATCACATCCCCGTAAAACAGGTATTATTATCACAACTTTCTCAACAAGGAAATATGAGACTGAAAAGTAGGTGGTAAAGGTTAGAGTTGAACCAAAGTGACTTGTCTTCAAACACCAAGTTCTTAACTGTAAACTGTAAAAAATATTATTAATAAAATATGTTTTGAAAGAGCAGCAAGCAAACTATTCAATATTCAGCCCACTTTAATGTCAGCATCTGCCCTGAAGTGGGCACAGTGCTAGGTTATGGACCTATAAGAAAGAAGAAGACAAAATACTTGACTTAAAGATAGCAAATGGGTCATTTCCATTCATGGCAAAATAGGCTTGTGGATGGCCTACATAAGGAAAGAACTAGCGCTTAGCCTAACCAATAATAAGTTTCTGTTGTTAAGTTAATCTGTAAGAGTCTTCATAAAAATGCAATAAACATTTTGTGGTATACGCTTTTCTCACATGATGAAGTGGAATTATGAATGGGAATGAATACATTATCTATTAACTTGAAGCTAGCTTATAACAGAAAAAAGTATTATAAAGTTCAGATTGGTTTAGGAATTAATAAACTGCTCTGGCATCAAATCAAATGCCTTCAAGTGAATTAACTTGGTATCTTTCCCACATGCTTCCCATGTCTGTAATCTAAGACTTAGTTTTTGCATGTAACAGAGAATCTTACAATGAGCCCCTGGTGATAAGCTTTTATTAGAGAGGCATGTTCACGTTGTATATGTTATCTGAGATTTTTATATGGCTTTTCTTTATTATGAGTCTACAATTACTATGCAACTCTGAGATATAAAACCTAGTTTTATATTTGCAGAGTGATTTTGGCAATTATCTCATTCTACATGGAAAGGTAATATAAGGTAAAACACATTTACTCTGGCAATAGAATTGTTCCAGTGGATATTACAGTTATTTGTAAATGTCTGAGCAAATTTAAATTGTCCCTTTCAATTTATATACACATTGAAGAATTAAATCTGTTGATTCTTTTGTGACATATAACAGTAGTACAATGTCTCATAATTACGTTTTGGGCTAGGAACTACCAGGGAAAATTAAAGTGTAAATTGGCCTTAAATTTATAATATTCTGTATTTAATATATGTAACAAAGCCTCTCCTATATTCTTAATTTTTCAGTGGTAATCACACATATGTATTGTGTTCTTTTAAATTTTGAATTAAGCTATATTTTAACAAAACATAGAAACTTATTCTAGAGAAATCATATTTATAATTTAAAATGCTAAAATCTCCTTGGTAAGGTTTAAATGATTAATTTAATACTTTGACTACATACTACATAAAAATATTTTAAATAGCTAAGATAAATCTAAAACCAGAAATATTAAAGGCCAGATCAATTATTTCTGAGAGGAAATGTATTCATTTCTTAGCACTGCTGTGACAAATTACCACAAACTTGTTGGTTTAAAACAATGAAACATATCCTCTTTCAGCTGCAAAGGATAAAATTCTAAAATGAAGATGTTGGCAGGACCGTACTTCCTCTAGAAGCTCCAGAGGAGATACTTTTCCTGCTTTTTCCTGTTGCTGGTGGCTGGCTAATGGCATATTACTTAACTCTCTGCCCCTGTCCTCATATTGTCTTCTCATTTTTGTGTCTTATTCTCTTCTCTTTTCTTTCTTTCCTTTTCTTTCCTTCCTTCCTTCCTTCCTCTCTCTGTCTCTTTCTTTCTTTTTCTTTCTTTCTTTCTTTTTTCCTTCCTTCCTTCCTTCCTTTCTTCCTTCCTTCTTTTTTTCTCTCTCTCTCACTCTTTCTCTCTCTCTTTTTTTTTTGATGGAGTTTCACTCTTGTAACCCAGGCTGGAGTACATTGGCACCATCTTGGCTCACTGCAACCTCCGCCTCCTGAGTTCAAGCGATTCTTCTGCCTCAGCCTCCCAAGTAACTGGGATTACAGGCAACCACCACCATGCCCGGCTAATTTTTGTATTTTTAGTAGAGACGGGGTTTCACCATGTTGGCTAGGCTGCTTTCGAACTGCTGACCTCAGGTGATCCAGCTGCCTCGTCCTCCCCAAGTGCTGGGATTACAGGCATGAGCCACCACGCCCGGTCTCTTCTATTTCTGATAAGGACACTTGTCATTGGATTTAGGATTTAAGGCCCACCTAGACAATCTCCTCCTCTCAAGGTCATTTGCATAATCACATCTTGCCATACATAGAGTAGTATTAACTCTTTCTCCACAGAAGACAATATTCACTTGTTCCATGGATTAGAAAATTAATATTTATTGGGGAGGCATTTTTTTTCTGCTTACCACATTAAAGGATGCAAAATTGACTCCCATTTTCCTCATTTCTCTTCTGAATATTTTGCTCTAATCACTTATCCTCCTTTTTCACACAAAATATTATTACAAAACAGTAACAGCTATATTTATATTCTAATAAATAAATAATTCCATAAATTGAATAATGTACAAATTACTAATTACTAATTTCAATCTTTAAATTGCTCAAAGCTAGGTATCAACAGCTGCCATGCTTAACCTATTATCTTCAACTGTCCCAAAACAGGGTTTAATGGTTTAATTGAATTTATTCTTGATTCAGTTCCTTCTTCAAATAAATTTTCCATGTATCTTGCTGAGAAATGTAAATAAATATGAGGTAATAACAGTGAGTGTATGTATTTATGTATATGTATGTTCAAGAGTCCAGATATAAATTTAACATTAAAAGCCAGTATCTGAATATTATCAAGATTAAAAGTGAATATACACTATAAACTCTTTCAGTTTATAGGAATAAATTTAGGAAAAGGAATAAATTTAAAAATTAGAAAAGAAATTTAGTAATTAGGGGTAAATTTAGCAGGAGAAGTAAGTGCAAGATTTGTAGATAGTCTGAAAACTATAAAATATTTGTGAAAAGAAGTAAAGACCCAAAGGATTATAAATCATGCTGCTATAAAGACACATGCACACGTATGTTTATTGCGGCACTATTCACAATAGCAAGGACTTGAAACCAACCCAAATGTCCAACAATGATAGACTGGATTAAGAAAATGTGGCAGATATACGCCATGGAATACTATGCAGCCATAAGAAATGATGAGTTCTAGAGAAAGCATCATCCTCAGCAAACTATCACAAGGACAAAAAACCAAACACCACATGTTCTCACTCATAGATGGGAATTGAACAATGAGAACACATGGACACAGGAAGGGGAACATCACACACCGGGGCCTGTCGTGGGGTGGGGGGATGGGGGAGGGATAGCATTAGGAGATATACCTAATGCTAAATGATGAGTTAATGGGTGCAGCACACCAACATGGCACATGTATAAATATGTAACAAACCTGCATGTTGTGCACATGTATCCTGAAACTTAAAGTATAATAATAATAATAATAAAAAGAAGTAAAGACCCAAGTAAATGGTAAGAAATGCCTGTTCATTAAAGAGAAGATGTAATATTGTTAACAAAACAATACTTGCAAATTGATCTACATATTCAAAACAATCCCTATTAAATTTCCAGCTTTCTTTTTTGTAGTTACTGACAAGTTGATTTTTAAATTTATATGGAAATGCCAGGGATACAGAAGAGCCAAAATTATAGTAAAAAGGAAGGACAAAATTGGAGGACTCATAATTCATAAAATTTGTCTTCAAAGCAGAAGTATGCATGTGAATGTGGCATTAGCATATGTGTAGACAGTGGAATAAAATGAAGAGTACAAAAATATTATCGGATGGAATATATTTAATAATTTTGGAGAGTTCAAAATTATTGAATATATCTTGTTGCTACAGATTGATGAAATAAAATGGAGAGTCTAAAAATAAACCCTTATATTTTTGGTCAATTAATTTTAGAAGCAGTGCCAAGGTAATTCAATGGGGGAAAGAATAGTTTTATACCCACAAATGTTACAAGGGGCAACTAGATATCTACATGTAGAAGAATGAATTTGTACCGTTACTTACTATACCAGAAAATAATTTTAAATGGATCATAACCCTAAATATAAGAACTAAAACCATAATAGTCTTTGAAGAAAACATGAAAGTAACTCTTCATGACAATGTGTTAGTCAGTTGTTTCTCAGATCTGACACTAAAAGCACTAGGGACAAAATAAAATATTGATAAATTGAATTTCTTCAAAATTAAAAGCCTTTGTGCTTCAAGGTAGATCATCAAGAAAGTGAAAGAAAAAGCCACAGAGAAAATGTTTATAAATCATATATCTGATAATGGAATTTTATTCAGAATATATACAAAGCATAACTCAATAATAAATAAAGCTCAATTAAAAATGGGCAAAAGTCCTCTCTCTCTCTCTTTTTTTAGTCTTGCTAAAGGTTTGTTAATTTTATCTCCGGAAAACCGAATTTTTATTTTACTAATCTTCTGTATTTTTGTCTCAATTTCATTTATTTCTGCTCTTATCCTTATTATTTCTTTCCTTCTACTAATTTTGAGGTTGGTTTGTTCTTGCTTTTCTAGTTCCCTGAGGTGCAGTGTTAGGTTATTTATTTGAAGTCCTTCTACTTTTTTGGTATAAGTGTTTATTGATATAAAAATCCCCCCTAATACTGCTTTTACTATATCCCATAGATTTTGGTATGTTGTATTTCCATTTTCACTTGTTTCAAGAAATTTAAAATTTTTTCATTGTTTTATTGACTCATTGGTCCTTCATAACATTTTGTTTAATTTCCATATGTTTGTATGTTTTACAAGGTTCCTCTTGGTATTGATTTCCAGTTTTATTCTAGTGTGGTCAGAGAAGATAGTCAATATGATTTCTGCTTTTTTTTAAATTTGTATAGACTTCTTTCTAACCTAAGATATAGTCTGTTCTGAAAAATGCTCTATGTGCTGATGAAAAGACTGTGTATTCTGTAGCAGTTCTGTTCTATAAATGTCACTTAGGTTTACTAGATTTAGCATGTACTTTAACTTCACTTTGTTATTGTTGTTGATTTTCTCTCATTTCTGTTCATTACTGAGAATGAGGTATTAAAATTTCCTACTGTTATTGTATTGCAATCTATCACTGCCTTTAATCTATTAATGTTTGTCTTATATATTTAGGAGTTCCAGTGTTGGTTCCATACATATGTATAATTGTTATATCTTCTTGCTGAATTGACTCTTTTATCATGATATAGTGATCTTCCTTATCTTACTTTAGTCTTTGATTTGGAGTCTATTTTATCTGATATGACTATAGCTACTTCTGCTCTTTTTTGGTTTTCAGCTGCATAAAATACCTGTTTTCACTCCTTCACTTTCAGCCTACATATGTAGAAGATATAACAACTGAGACCTAAGAAATACAAATACTCATTAGAGACTATTATTAACAACTATATGCCAACAAATTGGAAAACCTAGAAGAAATGGATAAATTCCTGGATACCTACAACCTATGAGACTGAACCATGAAGAAACAGAAAACCTCAGGAAATCAGTAACAAGTAATGTGATTAAAGCTGTAATTCAAACTCTCCAAAGAAAACCTAGGACTTGATCGATTGACAGCTGAATTCTACTAAACTTTTAATGAAAAGCTGATGCTAGTCCTACTCAAAATATTCAAAAAAATGTAGGAAGAGGGAATACTTCCAAACTCATTCCATAAGGCCAGCATAACCCTGATACCAAAACCAGACAAGGAAACAACAACAATGAAAACAATAATAAAACTACAGGGCAATATCACTGATGCAAAAATCCTCAACAAAATATTAACAAACAGAATACAACAAAACACTAACAATATCATTCATCACGATTAACTGGGATTCATCCTGAGGTTGCAAGGATGGTTCAACATCCTTAATAAATGCAAAACACTACATCAATAAATGCAAAACATTACATTAACAGAATCAACAATAAAAATTATATAATTCTTTCAATAGATGCTGAAGAAGCATTTGATAAAAACATCCCTTTATGATAAAAATGCTCATCAAAATGGGTATAGAAGGAAAATGCCTCAGAATAATGAAGATCATTTATAAAATACAACTATCATACTGAATGGGGATAACTCAAATGCCTTTCTTTTAAATACTAGAATAAGACAAGGATGCACACTTTCACTATTATTCACCATAATACTGGAAGTCTTGGCTAAAGAAATTAGGCAAGACAAAGACATAAAGGGCATCCAAATTGGAAACGAAGAAGTCAAATTAGCCTGGTACACAGAGAGTGTTATCTTTATAGATAGAAAATCCTAAAGACTCCACCAAATTGATAAATGAATTCAGCAAAGTTGCAAGAAACACAAGCAAGATATGGAAATCAGTAACACTTTTATATGCCAACAGCTAAAAATCTGAAAAAGAAATCAAGAAAGCAATCCCATTTACAATAGTTGCAAAAAGATGAAGTCCCTAGGAATAAATCTAACTAAAGAAATAAAATATCTATTCAAGGAAAACTATAAAACTATGATAAAAGAAATTAAAGGAGACACAAAAAATATTCCATGCTCATAGATCAGAAGAATTAATATTTTTAAAATGGAAATATTACTGAAAGCAATTTATAGATTCAATGCAATCGTTTTCAAAATACCAATGACATTCTTTGCAGAAATATAAAACAAATCCTAAAATTTATATGGAACCACAAAAGATTCCAAATAGCCAAATCAATCCTGAACAAAAAGGACAAAGTTTGAGGCATCACACTACCCGATTACAAAATTTATTACAAAGATATAGTAACCAGAATAGCATGGTACTGGCATCAAAATAGACACATAGGCCACTGAAACAGAATAGAGAACATAGATATAAATCCACACATTTATCACAGACTCATTTTCAAGAAAGGTGCTAAGAATTTGCAATGGAGAAAGGAGAGTTTTTTCAATGCTCATCCATATGCAGAAGAATGAAACTAAGTTCTTATCTTTCACTGATATGGTTTGGCTGTGTCCCCACCCAAATCTCATCTTGAATTGTAGCCTCCATAACTCCCACGTGTTGTGGGAGGGACCCGGTGGGAGATAATTGAATCATAGGGGTGGTTTCCCTCATACATGGTAGTGAATAAGTCTCATGATCTGATGATTTTATAAGGGGTTTCCCCTTTTGCTTGGCTCTCATTCTCTCTTGTCTGCCGCTATGTAAGACATGCCTTTCTCCTTCCTCCATGATTTTATGGCCTCCCCAGTCATGTGGAACTGTGAGTCCATTAAACCTCTCTTTCTTTTATTTTATTTTCCTTTTTTTTATCATACTGTAAGTTCTGGGGTACATGTGCAGAACGTGCAGGTTTGTTACATAGGCATACATGAGCAAAGGTGGATTGCTTCACCCATCAACCCGTGACCTACATTAGGTATTTCTCCTAATGCTATCGCTCCCCTACCCCTCCACCCCCCAATAAACCTCTTTTTGTTTGTAAATTATCCAGTCTTGGGTATGTCTTTATCAGCAGTGTGAAAACAGGCTGATACACTCACCATACACAAAATCAAATAAAAATGGATTAAAGACTTGAATCTAAAACCTGAAACTATGAAACGACTAGAAAATAATATTAGTCTGGGCAAAGATTTTTTTTTACGTAACCTCAAAAGTACAGGCAACCAAAGCAAAAATAGATAATAGGGATTCCATCAAGCTGAAAATCTTCTGTACAGAAAAGGAAACAAGCAAAAAAGTTAATAGAGAACCCATCATATGGGAGAAAATATTTATGAACTGCCCATCTAACAAAGAATTAACAACTAGAATATATAAGGAGCTCAAACAACTCAAGAGCAAAAAAAAAATAAGCTAATTAAAAAATGGACAAAAGACCAGAACAGACATTTCTCAAAAGAAAACATACACATGGCCATGGGTGTATGAAAGTAATTCTCAGCACCACTAATCATTAGAGAAATGCAAATTAAAACGACAACGTGATTTTATCTCACCCCAGATAAAGTGGCTTACATCAAAAGACAGGCAGTAACAGATGCTAGAGAAGATTTGGAGAAAGGCGGACCCTCATACACTGTTGGTGGGAATGTAAGTTAGTACAAACACTATGTAGAACAGTATGCAGGTTCCTTTAAAAAAACTGAAAATAGAACTTCTATTTGATCCAGCAATTCCACTATTTGGTATATATTCAAAAACAAAAGGAGATTGATATATCAAAGATATATCTGCACTCCCATGTTTATTTCAACACTGTCACAATAGTCAAAATATGAAATCAACCTCGGTGTCCATCAGTTGATGAATGGATAAGGAAAATGTGGTTTATATACACAATGGAAAACTATTCAGCAATAAAAAAAGAATAAAGCATCATTATTTTCAGCAACATGGATTGAACTGGAAGTCATTACAAGCACAAAAAGACAAAATTGTATGTTCTCATTCATAGGCAGGAGCTAAAAAATTGGATCTCATGAAGATGGAGAGTAGAGTGGTGGTTACAGAGGCAGAGAACAGGAGTGGGGAAGGGAGATAAAGAGGAAAAGAAAAAGTATATACATATTTTATTATCAATGGACTGTACACTTAAAGATGGTGAAGATGACAAATTATGTATGTATATTTTTACCTCAAGAAAATTGTTTAAATGGGCAAAATATATGAATAGATATTTGTCCAAAGAAGATACACAAATGTCCAATAAGCCATGAAAAGATATTCAAAATCATTGACCATTAGAGAAATGCAAATCAAATCTGCAATGAGATACCAGTCCACATTCAATGAGATGGCTATAATAAAAATAACTGGCAATAGTAAGAGTTCATGCGTGTGTTAGTGCATTTTGCATTTCCGTAAAGGAAGAAGTGAGACCATATAATTTATACGGAAAAAGGGGCTTATTTGGCTCATGTTTCTGTAGTTTGTATGAGAGAAGAATAGTGCCAGCATCTGCCTCTGGAGAGGCCTTAGGAAGATTACAATAGTGGCAAAAGGCAAAGGGGGATCCACCTGTGTATTGCCTTGTGGGATAACAGGGGGTGAGAGAGAAATGGGGGGAGGTGTCACACCTTTAAACAACCAGCTCTCACATGAGCTGATAGAATGAGAGCTCACTCATTACCATGAAGACAGCACCAAGCCATTCGTAAGGGATCTACTCCCATGACCCAAACACCTCCCACCAGACCCCACCTGTGACACTGGGGATCACATTTCAACATGAGATTTGGAAGGGATAAACATCCAAATGATATCAATGAGGATATGGAGAAATTGGAACCATCATACATTTTGTGTGTGTGTGTGTGTGTGTGTGTGTGTGTGTGTGTGTGTAGTAATGTAATGTGGCACAGTTGCTTTTGAAAAAATCCTGATGGTTCTTTAAACTCTTAAATATAGAGTTCTTAGCATACAGCAATTCCATGTCTACATTTACATCAAACAAAAATAAAAATGTATGTCTGCATAAATATTTGTACACAAATGTTCATAGCAGCATTATTATGATAGCCAAAAAGCAGAAATAAATCCAGATGTTCATCAACTGGTGAATGAGTCTTGAAAATATGGTATGTTCACACAGTGGGATATTATTAGGCAATAACTAAGAATGGAGTAATAATGTCCACTAAACTATGGATGAACCTTGAAAACAGCATGCTAAATAAAAGATGCCAATTACAACAAGAAAACATTATGTGATTTTATTTATATGAAATGTCCAGAATAGGCAAATGTATAGAGACAATAAGTAGATTAGTGCCGCTAAAGCCTGAAGGCAGAGGTCAGATTGGAAGATGGAAAGTGACTACTAATGTCAGGGTTTTTTTTTTTTTTTTTGAAGGGGTGATAAAAATATCTTAAAATTTGAGCATGGTCATATTTTCACAACTCTGTGTTTTAAAAGCCATTGAATTGTAAACTTTACCTAGAATAATTATATGGAATGTGAATTATGTCTTAAAGCGTTTAACACAAACCAATAAAAATTTAAAGCTAAAAGACTTTCTCAGAAGAATTTCTAAAATATTAAGTTATTTATGTGGACTTCTTGTTTCTTCTTCTGTGTCTTGATTTTGTTTGTTGTTTCTTTCCTGTAGCATTGGCCAAAATGAGGAATAAGGAGCAGGACGGAAACTGATATTGTAGAAGTTTGGGTAAGAAAGACAATTTGAATTTTCCTCTAGGGGCATACTGCTCAAAGTTGCATCATAAAACTCTGTCAATGTGCACCAGAGAATAGTTAGTGTGGAAATAATATCACAAGTGATTTTAATAATTATGTTTAAATCTGAAAACATGGTTTTGCTTGTTTGAAAGGTGGTTGCCTGTTACATGCTAGTCACCTGATATGGGAAACCTGGAGGCCAGCACAGTGACAACTACATTCTTCATTGCTACATCCTACTGCAATGTATTGCAGGTTATGTGGACTTACATATCACATCCCTCAACTTTAAGGAACTGAACCCCCAAAGAGTGTATACTTTAATTATTATAAACAAATATTTCACGTAAGCATACGTGAATAAGAAGAGGATAGTTTTGACAATCAGTCTTAGTATATATAAGCAGTCTAATGGAACTATTTTGAGGTTAAAAGAATAATCTATTCAAGAATAGTTATTTTTTAATATTTTACCAAGAAAATTTGAAGTTAAAAAACCTTATGATGTATTAATTTACCTATGATATGAAATAGAAAAATTGATGAACCTATGAAATGAATTAACATCATAATGTAGAGGTAATTCAATGTAACACATAATTTAAAGTTAAAGTTTTAAGGAGGTTATCAATATAGTTAACTAAAGATAACAAATAATTATTACCATGCTTTATAATACCACTTAACAAGATGAGAATTTATCGGAAAGGTTTTTTACTTCACATAGGGATGCTGGTTAACTGTTCATGTAGTACTTTAGATGAGGTAACAAAACTTGACTATTCCACATTTGTTGACTATATCTGTCATAACAAAAGACAGGTTAGGAGTATGTAACAGAGATTTTGACAGAGAAATGGAATACGTAATCATTCCCTTTAAAGCAAGGGAAACATTTTTAGAAAGATAAAGAGAAAGCAATTCTTACTTAAAAAAATATTATGTTATGTAGAAAGCGTTTTTTAAAATGCATGTTTTTGAAATGTTTCCACTGTTAGGCAATTTGCTACTTAAATTTATGATGAAGTTCAAAAATAAAAACTAACAGATATGTTCTGTGGGGCGGGGAGCAGAAATTTTGGAAACAAATATTCTATCCTATGTAAAAATCTTTCAAATAAAGAGTTACAGCAGGTTTTGAAAATGTTGTGAATAAAAAATCAACGTATTTGAGATAAATTTTTGCATAATGTGATATAAGACTGAAAAAGATGTTCAGTGATTTAGAGTGCACAGCAAAGGACACCCTTCTTCCATTTGGATATACATAATCTGCTATATATCTTTTCCATTTATGATAGCCAATATAATCAGATATGCAAGTAAACAAAACTTGGACGTTAAACCTTTAAATGCAATATCACAAAATTATTTTAGCAAATTTTTAATTTAAAATGTAGCATTTTCAATCACAGTGAGGACTATGTGAATTTTATGGCATTAATCAATATCATTAAATTAATATTATTAAATTAATATATAATCTAGCTTTATCATACCCATTCATAGTTTGCGTATGTCAGATATTTATCACACATTAGGATAAAAGTACATGTTTATAATTTACACATATAAAAATACAAAAACTGAGTGTAGTAGACTACATTATTATCCCCTAATATGTACTGTTATTCCCAGAGGAAATTACACATCTAGGACCCATTGTTACCAATTTTTGCTATGTCATATTGGGCAATGAAATATGAGTGGTGTTATAAAGACATTTAAACAATGAATAAAAAGATGTGTATTAGTGTCCCATGGCTGCCTTAACAAATTGCCACAAACTTGTAGCTTAAAATAAAAGAAATTTATTTTTCTCATAGTTTTAGAGGGAATCTGAAATCTAGGCATCAGTGGGGTTGGTTCCTTCTTTGGAGGCTCTGTGGAAGAAATTGTCCCATGCTTCTTAGATTCTGGTGGTTGAGGACCATCCTTTTCATTACTTCAATTTCTGTATCTAACATCACATAACCTTTTACTCTGTGTGTGTCTATGTCCTCTCTCCTTTTTATGAAGACAACTGTCTTTGAATTTAGGGTTATACCTAAATCCAGGATGATTATACCTTGAGATCCCTAACTATATCTCCCAAGACCTATTTCCAAATAGTCATATTCTGAGGTTCTGGGTAGACATTAATTCTGGGGGGACTCTATTCAACTTGTATTAGATTTCTGAGGTTGCCATTGCACAATACTGTAGACTGCGTGGCTTACACAGCAGAAACTCACTCTCTCACAATTCTGGAGGCTAGAAATTCCAGATGAAAGTGTCTGCAGGTTTGGTTTCTTCTGAGGTCTCACTTCTTGGCTTGCAAATACCTTAATCGCTGTGTCCTCACATGCCTGGCCCTCTGTGTTTGTGTCCTAATCTTCAATCCTTATGAGGACATTAGTCTTAAGGGATTAAGGCTCACTTTCAGAACCTTATTAACCTTCATTGCATTTTAAAGACTCATTCCCCACATACATTCACATTCTGAGGTACAAGGTATTAGAACTTTAACATATGACTTTTTGGGACTATGTAATTCACCCATAACATAACCAAAGTAAAATGAGCAAAGAAATTGGACACTTAAAAGATAAAGATATACTAATAATAAATAATTACATGAAAAAGTTTTCAATGTCAGTAGTCATTAGAGACATGTAAATTAAATCAAAATAATAAGGACTTACTGTTTTAGATTTAATATATGAAGAGTTTTGAAAATGTCACTCTTCTCTTTATGACTAAAGAAAGCTGAACAGATGGAAAATTAACACCTTTTCTTGGACATACTGGAAAACTGAGGTTGTACAGCAAACCATATTGGGAAATATTGAGAGACAGATGAATCCTAATAGTTACAGCTGAGACTTGCTCACATGAAGCAGAAGGTTCTGGAGTTATAAAGTGCAGTGAGAAACTACTAGAGACAGGCTTAGGCAGCCCTCAACGTTTGTCGGTTTTACCTCCAGGAACCCCACCATAGTTTTACATTGAAGATCTGAGAAAGATCCTCTCAGTGCTCTGGTGGGTGGGTGTATGGGGGAAGAGTAATTATTATGAAAAGCCAAAAAAGCCTTTTTTTTTTCTCCATTAAAAAGACTTACTTCCCAAGGGAAAAGGCGGTAAAACCCAAGAGCACTGGAAAGCTATATGGGGATGTTAGAGCACAAAGAAACAGACTGATTAAAAGACAAATTTTGTTACAAAATCAGAGCAAGTTTCTCTCTAGTCCTTGTACTGTTACTCCAATAGGATTCCAGTATAATAGCAGTTGATTACAGTTGACAGGGCCGAAAGATGCAGACTCTTTCTGAGAAGCAGTTCTTAGGGAAGCTCAGTGACAGGAGGGGAGATAGAAACAAGGACCCTAGAGGAATTTAAGCCCATGGCCCTGAGAGTTACCATAAACATTAAGTGCAATCCAACTCCTGAGTCAAATTAACATAAATCCTTGAACTAAAGGCTTGTCTACCTCAGTTCCTATTACATACAAAATGTTGGACTTTGCGCAATAAAGTCTCTTCATGATATTTCATTTTAAATTATACATTGAATAATGAGGACCATTATAGAGAGAAACTCTACAGACTTTGGTGCTATAAACATTATTCTTTGAGTATCTGAGGAATCACATTCTTAGAAACATAGAAAAGGTTGTGCATATTATCTGAGCCATATTGAACTGAAATCCTGATTCCACTACAATTTTATGGCCACTTGCATTGAAATGATAAAAATAGTCACTGGTATCCTTATATCTATTATAATTCAACAAGTTGTGTTAGCATTCCAACACTTACATTGTTTTTAACTCAATGATGAAAGGCTATGTTATTAATTGTTAGGATATCTCCATTATTTGATTGTTGCTTTTTTGGTTGTAATGGACAGTAAGATTTGATAAATATTTCCTAAAATTGTAATTGCTCGCTTTGTAATGTATGCCATTCTTCTCTCATAGTTTCAAAATGTAGCATTTTAAAGATATATTAAATTGTGTTCATTTACTAAATAATAAATTCCTCCTCAAAGGACACAAATCACTGTACATTTCAGACGAGGATATTACCCCATTATGAGTAAACCACTTGCAAACTGAGGCCTCTAATTAAATGTCAAACAATAAATATCTACAGTGTGTATATTCTTAAGCCCTTAGCCTCAGCAAGAGAAACAACTGAAAGCTACAGAGCATTCTTCTCTCTGAAAGCTACAGAGCACTACCCTGAACAGATCACTTACTACTATATATTCCTTATTTTTTTCTTTTCTTTTCTTTTTTTTTTTTTTGAGATGGAGTTTCACTCTTGTCATCCAGGCTGGAGTGCAATGGTGCGACCTTGGCTCACTGAAACCTCTGCCTCTCAGGTTCAAGTGGTTCTCCTGCCTCAGCCTCCCAAATACCTGGGATTGCAGGTGCCTGCCACCATGCCCAACTAATTGTTTTTTTTTTTGTTTTGTTTTGTTTTGTTTTGTTTTTTGTATTTTTGGTAGAGATGAGGTTTCACCATGTTGGCCAGTTCTCGAACTCCTTACCTCAGGTGATCCACCTGCCTCGGCCTCCTACACTATATGTTCTTATAACTGGTCCAGACCTCATCATCATGGCTTTGTAGATTCTATATTCTTTAGAAGGAATTATCATTTGAAACTAGAAACTCCATTGTCACAAGAGCAGAATGGGCTCATTTTCACCAACTGGCAACAGAGAGGTGGAAGCTCAGAGTGTATGCTGTCAAAAGTCAATTATATTTTATACTTAAAAGGGTTCTAAATGCAGCAGATTTCACCAATGATTGCACTAAAATTTCAGAAATCACCACTAAATAACTTGATTTTTAACCAAAAGCCATCTGTATCCAAAAGCCTATTGAAATTAAAAAAAAATAAATAAAACTACAAATTCCTATGGAAACAGAATCAGCATCTCTGAGGGAAAGGTCTTATATTTTTGAGCCACACATAATTCTAGCATAGCCTGTCGAAGGATGAGTGTTCAGAATCTCTGCTCTGTATCCACCCAGCAATGTTCATCATTAGAAGGCACTTTCCCCAAAGTGGTGCTGGAAATCTATGATATACCGACTTTCCTCTCATGAGACAGTCAATTCCCTCACTCCCCTCTCTGATCTTTTGTAAATTATGTATCAGTGAAATATTTCATCATGTATGAGTTTCTGCTTTTTACTTAGGCAGTTATGACAACTTTGCCCTGAATAAATGTGTATAGCACTCATAACATTTCTTCCTACTAGATAATTGGGCTGGATACAAATGTAACTAAATTTCAGAAAATCCCTATGGGGAAAAGTAGTTATATGCAATCTTTCCAAAAAATTTCTAGAGCAGTACCAAAATATCACAATGCAAAATAAAACCGGGAATTTAGAAGAAATAAAAGACATTTAAACTTAACTACATGCTTTGCCTATAGCCCCTGGAAAAAAAATACTGTGTTTGAAATTAAATAGACTTTTAATCCTGTATTTTTTCACTTTTCCCCACCAGAGAGAATTTATTAGAGATAATAATACCTTTCACCTGTATAGTATATTTCACTTTTCAAAGTGCTTTCCCATGAATTATTTAATTCTATGAAGGTCAGTTGACATCCCATCTATATTGAACTTTGTTATCAGAATGTGCTTGACCTTTGCCTCTGCGATTCCCAATGTTTGAAATGCTTTTTGCTTCTTTGTACCTTTCTGTCCTTGGCTATTACTCTTTTTTCTGTTCCTAACCTAGAAATTGTCTCTTCAGGGAAGTTTTTTCTACCCTGGCCTCTGGTTAAAAGCTTTTCTCATTTATTTATACAGAATGGTGAATTCCATTGTCTAGAAATTCATTTTCATACAATATTGTGATTTACCAGTTTCTGATGTGTCTTTTCCCATGGAATATAAGTTCCTTTTAAACTGAGTCAGACCTGCTCATCATCTTTTCCATTATTGGGAGACATTTAGAAGGTGCTCTGTAAAAATCTGTTGAATAAATGAAAGAATAAATATTAACGAATGTACATATTTTAATATCCCCTTTGAAACTAGATATAAACTGATATGGCTTGGCTGTGTCTCCAGCCAAATCTCATTTTCTCTCTTGCCTGCTGCCATGTAAGATATGACATTGCTCCTCATTCGCCTTCCACCATGATTGTGAGGCCTCCCCAGCCATGTTGAACTGTGAGTCCATTAAACCTCTTTCCTTTATAAATTACCCAGTCTCAGGTATGTCTTTATTAGCAGCATGAGAACAGACTAATACAGTAAATTGGTGCCAGTAGAATGGGGCACTGCTGTAAAGATACCTAAAAATATGGAAGCAAATTTGGAACTGGGTAAGAGGCAGAGGTTGGAACAGTTTGGAGCGATCAGAAAAAGACAGGAAAATGTGGGGAAGTTTGGAACTTTCCTAGAGACTTGTTGAATGGCTATGACAAAATTGCTGATAATGATATAGACAATAAAATCCACACTGAGGTGGTCTCAGATGGAGATGAGGAACTTGTTGGGAACTGGCGTAAGGTGACTCTTGTATGCTTTAGGAAAGAGACTGGCAGAATTTTGCCCCTGCCCTAGAGATTCGTGAAACTTTGAACTTGAGAGAGATGATTTAGGGTATCTGACAAAAGAAATTTCTACACAACAAAGCATTCAGGAGGTGACATGGGTGCTGTTAAAGGCATTCAGTTTTTAAAGGGAAACAGAACATTAAAGTTCAGAAAATTTGCAGCCTGATAATTTGGTAGAAAAGAAAATCCCATTTTCTGAGGAGAAAATCAAGTCAGATGCAGAAATTTGTATAAGTAACAAGGAGCTGAATGTCAATCACCAAGACAATGGGGAACATGTCTCCAGGGCATGTCAGAGGTCTTCATGGCACCCCCTGCTATCACAGACATGAGGACATAGGAGGAAAAAATGGTTTCATGGGCCGGGCCCAGGGTCCCTCTGCTGTGTGCAGTCTAGGGACTTGGTGTCCTGAGTCCCAACCTCTCCAGGCCCACGTATATTTGGGTTGTGGCCTCAGAGTGAAAGCCCCAAATTTTGGAAGCTTCCAAGTGGTATTGAGCCTGCAGGTGCACAAAAGTCAAGAATTGAGGTTTGGGAACTCCTGCCTAGATTTTAGAGGATGTATGGAAACACCTGGATATCCAGGCAGAAGTTTGCTGCAGGGGCAGGGCAGTGTGGAAGGGAAGTGTGGGATGGGCACCCGTACAACAGTCCCCACTGGGGGGCTGCCTAGTGGAGTGAAAACAAGACAGCCACTATCCTCCATACCCCAGAATGGTAGCTTCATCAACAACTTGCACTGTGCACCTGGAAAAGCCACAGACACTCAACACCAGCCCATGAAAGTAACTGTGAGGGAGACTTTAACCTGCAAAGCCACATGGGTGGACCTGCCCAAGACCATGGGAACCCACCCCTTGCATCAGCATTACCTGGATATGAGACATGGAGTCAAAGGAGATCATTTTGGTGCTTTAAGATTGACTGTCCTGTTGGATTTTGGATTTGCATGGGGCCTGTAGCCCCTTTGTTTTGGCCAATTTCTTGCATTTGGAATAGCTGTATTTACCCAATGCCTGAACTCCCATTATATTTAGGAAGTAACTAACTTGCTTTTTATTTTACAGGCTCATAGGCAAAAGGACTTGCCTTGTCTCAGATGAGACTTTAGACTGTGGAGTTTTGAGTTAATGCTGAAATGAGTTAAGACTTTAGGGTACTGTTAGGAAGGCATGATTGCTTTTGAAATGTGACAACATTAGACTTGGGAGGGGCCATAGGCAAAATGATATGGGTTGGCTTTGTCGCCATCCAAATCCCATTTTGAATTGTAGTTCCCATAATTCCCACGTGCTGTGGGAAGGATCCAGTGGGAGATAATTGAATCACGGGGGTGGAACTTTCCTGTGCTATTCTCATGATAGTGAATAAGTCTCGGGAGATCGGACAGTTTTATAAAGGGGAGTTTCCCTGAACAAGTTCTCTTCTCTTATCTGCTGCCATGTGAGATGTGCCTTTCACCTTCTGCCATGATTGTGAGGCCTCCTCAGCCGTGTGAACTGTGAGTCCATTAAACCTCTTTCGTTTGTAAATTGCCTAGTCTCAGGTATGTCTTTATCAGCAGCGTGAAATTAGACTAATATATAAACCAACACTGAGTGAAGTAAAAATGTTGGTATATAAAATTGTAGATTTATATAGCCAAAACAGAAATTATTTGAGGTTTTTCAAAGGGGAGAGATGTCACCTTATTCAAGGTATATTTTAAGTGCACTGCAAAAGAGGGAAACAAATATTATCATCTCAATTTTGCAAAAAGAAAAGAAAAGAAAACTGTAATGAGATGCCAAACTGCTGTTTGTAGTGTTTTTGTATGGGTTACTTCAAAAACCAAACCTGAGAGAAAATCTTGGGTGCAGGTGGCAAGAAGTCCTAGAAATTAAATGCACTATTTTGTGTGTGTGTGTGATCCCCTGAGAATCTAATCATGTGGTAATAAAAATAACAATTACGGCATATAACACTGATCAGACACATTTTATGTGGCAAACATTGCGATAGGTCCTTTTAATGGATTATCTCATTTTAGTTTTTACAGAAACCTTGTAGAATAAATAATTTCATAATCCTCAGTTTTTAGAGGAGTAAACTGAGGTTTAGAAAAGTGGTTTGTGGTAGAGATTACATGGCATAAAATCTGATGGTTTGACAAAGAATCCCTGTTTTTATATTTTCTGTGTGTGTGATTTAATTTCTTGGTTATCTTATCTATTAAAAAGTATAATAGTAAACATCTCATGGGTTTGTTTTCATGATTAAATTAGATGATGTATCTTACATGTGGCTGACAAATACGATGTTCTCTTTATGAGAGCTCTTATCCCTAGTAATTATTTCTCCAGATAACAAGATCTATGATGGAAGTGATGTATCTGCTTTGCTCAATATTCTTCTTAGTATTGCCTTATTAAATGGCTGAGTGATTGAAGTTTTGTATGTCATTTGCAATCATTTAGTATGTGTTAGAATCAAAATTCAAACATGTCTCAGGTCAGGAGATTTCATGCTCTATAACCATTTGTTTCCACATTTCTTAAAATAGAATTATTCCAATTAAGCATATAATCAATAATCTATATGGGTTGAAATAATGATGCAAGATTTAATACTGGTTTATAGAAAATTGCCTTTAAAGTTCCAACATGGGATGCTAGGTACATATATCCCTTAAGAACAATTTTAAATCCCAAGATACACCTGAGATATCTCTTTTTGTTTTTTCTCTCTGCCGTTTCCTACTCCCACTCTCACTTAAAAATGTTTTTTTTCCATTTTCTTTTATATATATATATTTAATTATACTTTAAGTTCTAGCATACATGTGCACAACCTGCAGGTTTGTTACATATGTACACATGTGCCATGTTGGTATGCTGCACCCATTAACTCGTCATTTACATTAGGTATATCTCCTAATGCTATCCCTCCCCCCTCCCCCCACCCCACAACAGGCCCTGGTGTGTGATGTTCCCCTTCCTGTGTCCAAGTGTTCTCATTGTTCAATTCCCACCTATGAGTGAGAACATGCGGTGTATGGTTTTTTGTCCTTGTGATAGTTTGCTGAGAATGATGGTTTCCAGCTTCATCCATGTCCCTGCAAAGGACATGAACTCATCATTTTTTATGGCTGCGTAGTACTCCATGGTGTATATGTGCCACATTTTCTTAATCCAGTCTATCATTGTTGGACATATGGGTTGGTTCCAAGTCTTTGCTATTGTGAATAGTGCCGCAATAAACATACGTGTGCATGTATCTTTATGGCAGCATGATTTATATTCCTTTGGGTATATACCCAGTAATGGGATGGCCAGGTCAAATGGTATTTCTAGTTCTAGATCCCTGAGGAATCGCCACACTGTCTTCCACAATGGTTGAACTAGTTTACAGTCCCACCAACAGTGTAAAATGTTCCTATTTCTCCACATCCTCTCCAGCACCTGTTGTTTCCTGACTTTTTAATGATTGCCATTCTAACTGGTGTGAGATGGTATCTCATTGTGGTTTTGATTTGCATTTCTCTGATGGCCAGTGATGATGAGCATTTTTTCATGTGTCTTTTGGCTGCATAAATGTCTTCTTTTGAGAAGTGTCTGTTCACATCCTTTGCCCACTTTTTGATAGGATTGTTTGTTTTTTTCTTATAAATTTGTTTGAGTTCTTTGTAGATTCTGGATATTAGCCCTTTGTCAGATGAGTAGATTGCAAAAATTTCTCCCATTCTGTAGGTTGCCTGTTCACTCTGATGGTAGTTTCTTTTGCTGTGCAGAAGTTTTTAGTTTATTTAGATCCCATTTGTCAATTTTGGCTTTTGTTGCCATAGCTTTTGGTATTTTAGACATGAAGTCCTTGCCCATGCCTATGTCCTGAATGGTATTGCTAGGTTTTCTTCTAGGGTTTTTATGGTTTTAGGTCTAACATTTAAGTCTTTAATCCATCCTGAATTAATTTTTGTATAAGGTGTAAGGAAGGGATCCAGTTTCAGCTTTCTACATATGGCTAGCCAGTTTTCCCAGCACCATTTGTTAAATAGGGAATCCATTCCCCATTTCTTGTTTTTGTCAGGTTTGTCCAAGATCAGGTAGTTGTAGATGTGTGGTATTATTTCTGAGGGCTCTTTCTGTTCCATTGGTCTATATCTCTGTTTTGGTACCAGTACCATGCTGTTTTGGTTACTGTAGCCTTGTAGTATAGTTTGAAGTCAGGTAATGTGATGCCTCCAGCTTTGTTCTTTTGGCTTAGGATTGACTTGGCAATGAGGGCTCTTTTTTGGTTCCATATGAACTTTAAAGCAGTTTTTTCCCATTCAGTGAAGAAAGTCTTTGGTAGCTTGATGGAGATGGCATTGCTGCTGTATTTGTTGACTTCTTCTTTCCCTGAAACTTTACATAAGAGATAACCAATTTACAGATTTTTCCTTATTTTTCTTATTTTCCCCAGTGTGAGATATTTGAGCAGCATCATTCTTATTTCTTAGATTTGGTGGGAGGAGGTTGTTTAGGTGCGGCAAGTGATTAATATATAATGTGACAATAAAAAGCCTCCTTTCATGGTTATGTCCACTTGCACCACTTGCAAAACTGTATTTTATTTTGAATTATATATTGAATGACTAGGACAATTATACAGAGAATCTCTGCAGACTTTGATGCATTATCCTTTGAGTATCTGAGGAATCCTTGGAGTAGCTGAGGATGAGTAGCAACACAGCTGCATTTAGATGCTAATGTTAGTACTTTGTACATAAAAAACAGAAAAATGATGCAACCACATTTGAGAGCAAATTCGGTTCTAGACTCCACTGAGCAATTTGTAACAATAGTAGGTCTTTGCAGAAGCTCTGGAATGGAGAGAAGTGTGGAGCTTGGGAAAGGATGAGAAGGATTAAGATGAGGCAGAGGCTGGAACTGTGACAAGGCTTTCAGCAGGTAAATCTCTCAATTCTGTGAGTTCAGTGAGGTGCAAGAAAGACCAGATGTGAAGTGCTGGAAGTGCTAGCTAATCTTGTGGCTAAATGCAGAAGGAAGAAAATTTTCTCTTAAGAACCAGAGATAAGCAGTTGCTAAGCCTATCACATCTTTCAGATGATATTAACTGGTGGCAATAATGTATTTCGTGCTGTTGTATATGAGTCAGAAACCTCAGTATAGACGACGATACACAGTAATTTTTCCCAAACATTATAATATTCAAATGGCTATAATTATGAAAATCCATCTTCTTAGCATTGAAAAAGAAATCCTTTATGATCAACAAAGTTGCTTCATGGTCAAACTAGATTTTAATTTGTAATATTAGGAGCAATAAAGTAATTTTCTCTATGTGTAATTAATATAATTTTGTCCCAATTATTTGTAATTTATTTTTAGTATAGTTTTGTCACAAATTACAGTATTCTAATTTTACTTTTGAAATTATTTTCCTGTCTTTATTTGTGTATAATTAACTGAATTATAATGAAGCTAAACGTGTACAGAGAGAAAAGAGTTCTTTTGTTTAGAAAATTTCCAGCAGGCTTGACAATATAAACTTTGTAATTTAAGGCCTCAAGCAGGGAGAGGGAGGCATTACACAAATGCATTGTGTGTTTTTTCCAACAAATATCCAAATAATTTTAAATGTAGTTACTATAATTTACCAATGGCTGGTTTAAAAAGTTTTCATAGTAAAACTGTGTCACTTTTTATGTCATATCAAAGTAAACAGAAACGGAAAAACCAACCCACCAGTAAATTGCTAATGGGTTAAGAGGAATTTAAGCATATGTATGCTATGTATGCTGCAATGAAATATTGGTCTAAGCGGTCATTTGATTAGCTGGCACTTTTTCAATAACCTTTATAAAGCTCCCAGCAATCTTCAGTCAATGAATTTATCCAACAAGGTAGATATGTCTTTGAAGTGTTCAATCTGGCCATTACATAAAAGGAAGTAGCAATTATTAGAATCTGATTGTTTGGATATGTGATTCAGACCATGATCAAAGCTGTTCATTACTCTCAGGGTATGTGATGCAGAGCATTCAAAAGCTCTTCATTACTCAGGAAACACCTTCTTTGGCTTTGAAGTTTGACTTTTTTATCTTTTAACCAAAATTGCACCAGATATGCATTCATATAGAATAGTCAATTCCCATCGTCATTCTACTGTGGTAGAAGGCTAACCAAAATAATATTCCACGGGTACCTATGATATTTCAATGATGCATGTGCAAATAACCTTTTGCATTTCTGTGGTATCATTTCTCCAAGGGGCTCAAAGCACTTAATAGGGCTATTAAATCCTCCCAACCTGACCTTTGAGGAAGAAGTAGAGATCTCTGACAACATAATTCACATGCAGTTACATATACTGAAGACCAAGTCTTGCCTCTTATAAAGTTACTGTATATAATAAGACTCCAAAAATAGTATTGACTGTTAATACAGGTATTGATAGATCTGCTCAATTTGCTCAATATCTATCTGTTGAAAGCACAGACTGAGACACTGTTTGACATACTTAATATCTATGCTCTGACACTATGATAATAGCTGCCACTTATTGAGTGCCTATCATGAATGATTCATTGGGCTAAATATTTTTATGCATTCCTTATAATTTCTCACAATTAGCATTTGATATAAATGTATGTATGAGAAGCTTCAGGTTTATGGAGTAGGCTGCCAGAATTCTCATAGCTGAGAAGTGTTGTTGGTGCTGGAAATTAAATCCAGTTATACCCAGTTCTAGAACTGTTGCTTTATCATTATCTCAAGCAGTTCTCTTTTGATGAAAAAATCACCTCCTTAAATTAAGATTATCATTCACACTGACAAAACTGATTTTTCTCAAAGCCTTCATCAAATAATACTAAGCAAATTATTGAACGTTAGGGCTGCAAAACATATTGAAGTCATTATTTCAGAGATGAGACTTTAAAAAAGACTAAAAAATAAATCAAAAGGTACTACCTCTTACATAAATAATATCTTAGCTATATATTGATATAACAACAATATAATAATATAATGACATCATCTATCTATCTACCTATCTACCTAGACTTATTAAAGTTAATATTATTTATTCAGGGACTTTGACTATAGATTTAAACATGAAAGTACATAATCCAAAGCTTGGGACACTCCACTGGTATAAGAGAATAGAAGTTATGATTTTGATTTTAGTATCCTCAGTGAAGTAAATAAGGACAATAGAAGTTACTAATCTTCTTTTAAGTTACTAATTATGAATACAAATTGTAAAGATCCTTGACTTTCCCTATAGAGTGTGTTCACTTCCATCTTAATGTAGGTAATGTCTGCCTTCAACTGACATCAAACAAATTTAAATATTTCAGCCAAATGAATATATTTAAGTCAAAACTACATACATGGGCCTTGTGGGTAATTCTCTACAATTATCATGAACACAATTAGCATGTACACAATATCATGTGTGCAATAAATATCAGTACAACAATTGTTTCAAAACACCTGGTTATATGTAGTGGCTTAAAAGCTTTCACAGTCAAGGTGCCATTCAGTTTATGTTGATATTGAAATGTGAGATCCATTTCTAAAATACATGAGAACTTTCAGTAGGATTATTAAGTAAATATCATTACCATCATTTAAGTGACGGTAAAATACAAACCTATTGTTCTGATTAACACTATAAAATATTAGTAACTACACAATATGGCAAATATTCAAATTTTGGTAAGAATATAACCATCTTCCATCTTGAATTACTTGACATTTAAAATAAAACTCACATTTACTCGTATTTTTTATATATCTATCTGAATACTGATCTATTTACTTATCTACATTTATATCTTTTCTGTTTTAAGATATTGCTAAATGTGAGAATTTTTCAAATTATCATTTTCATATTTATTCTTTGGAACTACAATTTTTTTAGTGTTTATTGTTTTTGTTATTATTTGTATGGAGATATTAATATCCATATTGAGGAGTACCAAATATAAAGAGAGATTATTAGTTTATAAAATCACTAAATTTCTATTTAAAGTGTCTAGTCAACTTGATGGCAGAAAACATAATCTTTGTTGATTTCACAAAATCTTAGTCAATTCAGAATTTCCTTCTCTGTTTTTTTTTGTTTGGAGTGGCATCTACATTTCAAGGGATAGGGCATTAAGGTCAGGAGCGTCGTGTAGCTTTTAAATGACTCCAAAAACTTACAAAATTTGCTACATGAATAACATATATTTTTGCCATGATAAAATCATGGAGTGTGATCCCTCTTTTCATGAGAATGTATGTCACACCTCAACAGAATACATGTGTTTGTTATTGGCCTCAGCTACTAGACTCCAAAACACATACAAACCCAACATTTGACAGACACATTGAGAGCATAGGCTGTGGCAGGGCTACACATCGCCAGCCTTTGAGCTATTCGCTGAAGCCTTGCTTGCCAACCCTGGTACCACTGATTAGTGTCAATGAACTTTGTGTATCCTTGCAGATGTCGATTTTGTTCATCAAACCGTGTCTTCCAAGAACCTTTCATAAAAAGGTACTTCTCAGATTTCGATTAGACTTTATATCTACAGGGGTCCGCTTTCATCCTAATTGAGCAACTAAACTTTGATTATTTGACTCTAAGGAAAATTGAAACTTGAACAACTAGACTTTGATAATTTGACTCTAGAGAAAATTAGAACTCACCTGCTATTTGTCTAATGTATCTTGTCTACCTAGTGTAGTCCCTGTGAAATTTGTTCTGATTATTCTCCATCTCTTTGAGCATAAAAAAAAAAAGAATCTCTTTGTATGGCAATTAACTGTGATTTTTGAACTCCGATCACAAATAGGATAAGATTTTACAAATTTCATTATCTCCTCATTTTAACCATACAAACAAGGAGTCATTCACCATTGTTTGATGTCTGTCTAAGCAGGCATTTGTTGCAAATCATTCATACCATTCATGCTATCTTTGTACTTTCTCATTGGAACCCTTTAGGGTATCCTTGTTCCAAGTTGTTTGGTCTACACTGATTTCTACTGCAATGAATTCTCATCATAGTCATTAAACAGTTTGGGTTCTCCTTTACTTCTTAATAATTGCATAAATATTTCTTTTAAAAAAGAGAATTTAGTTATTTTCAAGAATTAGAGGGCCCAGAAAATACTTAATGGGATGCTTCAAATACAACTTACAGCCGAATCTAATCTTCTGCTAATACACCACATTGATTGGTGGGGATAGGACATTATCTTCCTTGCCAAGTCCTATCTGAGAAATAAGGCACACATTTGTTCAATTCCTCAGTACCCGAACTTATCCATGGTTTTATCACTACCACCTTCACAGTTTTGTTCCGAGAGGACTAGGGTGTTGGGATTGTTCGAAGCCTCACTTCAGAACTAAAGTCTTCAGATTTATTTCTGATTTTATTCCTTTCTCAGCCCACAGGAGAGAAAAAGAAAATCAACAAGACAAGAGGTTAGGCAAGTATTCTACCAAAACTGCTATTTATAGGAGGTCCTTGACATTGGAATCTAGAAAGCCACAATATGGCTTGATTTTTGTTTGCTTGCTTCTGGCTTCGCTTTGAGTTATGCTCTAACCTCTCTGCAGATTGTGGGCCAAGTTATAGTTGGAATGGTTGAAGACAGCAGAATATATAAAGGGAGTAGTAAAAGATAACACAGACAAGAAAATACATATATCTACATTAGTTAATGCTGCAAAACTTTATCTTACCTTATAATCCTTGAATTAAATATACTTTTTTATATTTATAGCTACTCATAATACATTTCCCACCTTCACAGTAACTCTTTGAGAAACTCGAGACATGATCAAGTTGTTACATTTTATCTACAAGAAAAATTTGTTATTGAAATTTGAGTGATTCCATTACATTCATTTAGCTAGTTTGTGCCCCTGAGAACAAATACCATTGTTATTCCAATATTCCAAACTTCAAGAAAAATTACAAAATTAGCATTAACATGGCCGGGCGCGGTGTCTCGTGCCTGTAATCCCAGCACTTTGGGAGGCCGAGGCTGGTGGATCACGCGGCCAGGAGATAGAGACCATCCTGGCTAACACGGTGAAACCCCGTCTCTACTTAAAAATACAAAAAATTAGCGGGGTGTGGTGGCGGGCGCCTGTAGTCCCAGCTACTCAAGAGGCTGAGGCAGGAGAATGGCGTGAACCCGGGAGGCGGAGCTTGCAGTGAGCCAAGATCCTGCCACTGCACTCCAGCCTGGGCGACGGAGTGAGACTCCGTATCAAAAAATAAAAAATAAAAAATGAATAAAAAAACAAAAATTAGCATTAACACTAATTGATAGTCAACTAAATAGTTAAATCCATAATCATAAATAATTACTTGTATAATTGCCACTAAATACCAATTGTATGTTCATATCTCATTATATCTAGAAAAAAAGATAGTTTTTTAAAATTAGAAACATTATTTTGAACATCAAGATATAGTTTTCTGATTCAATTGAAAATTTTTTAATCCAAGTTTTCTACTTAATAGAATTCCAACTATTACAAAATAAAATTTAATCATTAAAATTTTCTCTATGATACTTTTTATTGCTCAAATTGTTCATTTTTACTTTCATTTATATTTGGGTATATAGATAACTCTTCATGTTAGAAAAATTATGTAAGATTTTACCTACTTAAAGTTTTACTGTGCTGCAGACATTAAAACTGACATCAATTTTAGCAAAATTCAACTATAATTTTTTTCACATTAACTTCAATCAATTTAGAGTTAGTGGTTTAGAATTTAATAATGATAATATTGGAGCAATCACTATAGGAAGCCATCAAATTGTCCTTGAAAAAACTTATGTTGCAGTTATTTTGGCATGTTATCTCAGTAAGGCTCCCCATATTCATTCTTCCCAAACAGGTAGATTGATTGGATATGTAAGTGAATCATTAATGACAAGTAGCTTAATTAGCATACAGAAAAAAATTTAACATATTTTGAGCACATATACATGGCTCTTATTTGACGGTACTACAGATTACTTGTACCATGCTTTTACTGTATTCAGAATTATTATACGACTCTCTTCTGATACCACTATATTTGTTTATGCCCTCCATTTTTTGAATAAACAATTCATATGCTCCTTTAATGTGTCAATAAAATGAATACAATTGGACAAACTTCACTATTTTCATCTCTCAAAACAAAACCTTGTTATAAAAAATAAAAATTTAAATCTTTTCTTGTGTACAAATAAGGCTATAAGATTGTATCAGCATTTGGTGAGCCAGAATATATATACTTTTTAGATAATATGTTACCATTCCATAGCCCTACCTAAAAAGCATGTATGTAAAAGTCAAAGTACACAAAGGCAATTGATGTTTTAGTCAATTGCATTCCTATATGCCAGTAATGAACAAGTAAAATTTAAATTAAAAAATTATTAGCTCAGAGAAATTATATTGCCTACTTTTAAGAACTATCATAAAGCTGTAGTAATCAACACAGTGTAGTAATGGTAAATGATAGACATAGATCAATGAAATGGAATAGATAGCACAAAAATAAACCCGTACAAATACAGTCAAATGATTATTCACAAAGATGCAAAGTTGTCTCAAGTAGAGAATAAGTCTTTTCTCAATAAATTCAACAAATAGTGCTAGAACAATTGTACATTTCCAAACGTCACCAAAAAAAGGAAAATGGATCTTAACAAAATGAATCTACAATTTTATCTGAAATGATTTTAGATTCATTATGGAAACTTTACATTTATTTTGCTAAGAGAAAGATGTCAGACCCAAAGGGTGACATGTTACAAGAATTAATTCATATGATATTATTGAAAGAGTAAAATTATATAAATAGGAATCAAATCATTAGTTACCAGAGAGAACTGGAAAGTAGTTGACTAAGAGGACACACACACTAATTTTGGGGATAATGAAACTATTCTCTAACGGTTCTGAGGTGGTGAACGTTTATGAGTGTGGAAAAATCTGTAGAACTGTACATTATAAAGCAGGAACTTCAATGTATACAACTTACATACATACAGACACACACTTGCACACACGTCCACACACAACCAGAGGTTCAAAGATCTCAGCGAAGAATGCAGACTTTCAGACTTTAGACAAAAGCATCTAATTCTATCACAAATAACTTCACTGAAGGGGTGAGTAAAAACAGGAACTGATTTAAGTACTTTTGAATTATGATATTTTCACTGCAAACTGTACAATTAAAGACAAAACAAGCTGTAAATAAATGCTATATTCTGCTTGCTAAAAATATTTCTCAAATTGGTATGGGTTAATAATTCTGAAATTCCTTTCCATGTATACTGGGGTTGAACAAACAAGTAAATAAATGGTGGATGGCGAATAGCTAGAGCCAAGTTTCTCACTGTTGGACAGTGAAGTTACAAAGAAGAAAGGGGAAGACTGGAATAAATTGTATTCTATTGAATTAGCATTGGAGATATCAGTAGGGGTTATTTTTAGCTTAAAACTACATACATACCTATACAATTTATATATATATGGACAGAGAAATAATTGTAAATATATAATTATACATAAATTTGAATAGATTTATACAGCTTAGAATATATATTATATTATTATATTTTATATTTATGAATATTATAAAATATATAGATATGTGTATTTTTATAATATATATTATATTAGGATACATATATATATAGAGAGAGAGAGAGGCAGAGAGACAGAGAGAGAGAGAGGGAGACAGAGCTGGCACCACTAAAAGTGGTGACATCCTAGTAGCTACAATCACCAGTACTTGTCTTCTAATGCTATTTTCCAATAAACAAAACAAAAACTTCTTGAAGGAATGGTAATTTTTAGGATTAGGACAGGGCAACTACAAAATGAGCTTTGAGTCTCTTTGATTATATTTCACAAAAATGATTATTTAAATGTGTTCAGGATTTGAATTCATACTCTAAAAACATTTTCAGAGTGATTAATAAGACATCTGAAGTACATTAATTATTTCTTTAGATACTAGTACAGTTGACAGCTTTGAACTGATTCATTGTTTGGTTGGTTGTCTTTATTCTGATAATGAAGAGTTTCAGCATCACCACCATAATATTGCCCACAGGAGCATTAACTATACAGATAATAGTTCATTCAGCTATTTTTCTCTTACGTATTAGATATCACCTTATATTATGTCTTAGGGAATATTGTTATGACTCTGTAAACTTGGCAAAAATGTCTTTTATTTGCTTTCAGAACATCTATACTTCATGTAACTGATCACTTTGTACTCTCATTAATACGTCTCCTTCAACAGACTATAAATTTTGCTACATGAAAACAATTCATGTCTGTCAATAGATTCCTAGTGAGCAGCTCAGTTCTGGGTACATAACTTACATCACAAATATATTTTAATGAATTAATGCTTAATAGTTCAAACATGCATGTGTTTATATCCAGAATGTAGCACTAATCATTCTGACTGCCTTAGATGTCAAACCAATTAATTGCTCAAATGATTAGAAATTAGCAAATCGAATTTAAAACTGTATTAATGGAAAATATTTTAAAACTACAAAATGGTTATCTAAACATCCTTTAGAACATTTCTATAAATAGTGCTCCATATGGTATTCAATTAGAATATCTTCCCCTCTGAGAACACAAGGCGCATTCTAGCAACAAGGTCCCTTTCTGTGCTATTAAATGAGGGACATGACACTCTTCTTGTGAAATACCCAGCTCCCTTCATTCTCTCTTACGTTAGTAATTCAGAGCAAACTATTTTCTTTTTACTTAAAAAATATTTCCCAAGTGCTTTAGAAAATGCAATGTATTCCTCCCATTGAATTTATTAGATTTATTAGATACAGATTTATTACACCTTTAGTAATCAAAAGGAAACAAAGAGAAAGGTACAAGACCATATAAGGAATGGAAAGAAGTCTCAAAATTGGTGAGCACATAACTGTTGACAATTTATATATAGCTGTTTTTAGTAAGTTTGACTCACAAATACATCTTCAGGTGCGGTAAGCAAAAACCAGAAATGCATATTTGGAACTTTAGAAAGACAGTGGAGCTTCAGAAATAATTCCAAGAATTATTACTATTAATAATATCTGCAACAATAATGACAGTTAATATCCTCTACAAATGCACTATGTATACCAGAAACTGTGCAATTAACATTACCTAGAGAATGTTATTTATTGAGCATAACTTTTTTGAGTTACACGTAATTGCACTGATTTTACAGTTTAACAAGGAAGAGAATCCCTGAAAAGAAAACATGGAGGCTAGGAAAAGAACTTTGGGAATCTCAATGACTTTAAACAATCTAAGCCTCTCAGATGTGATGAGTAAAGATTCATGAAGATTTGTCTAAAGCATCATATGGTACCAGGAATTAAAGAGGGTGTGAGGATGTGGAAAAGAAAGTATTTAAGACTGTGTCAGGAATTTATGAGTGTGGTTTTAAAGGGAATCAGAGGTAAGAAAATGTTGAAACTGTGAAAAACAGAAGGTGCCTGTCTTAACTCATCTCAGGATCTGACCCAAAGTAGATTCTCAGCTATGATTTGTTAAATGAAAACCTATATGAAATGTATTCAGAAAGATCCCTGGGGAGAATTAAAAGAAAAGATTTAAAAAAAATAGGTGAGAAGGCTAACCTTGGAAATATGTAGATGCGTTTTTTTTTCTATAACTTACATTTTAAAAAATCTGCTAAGAGCTAGTAAAAATAGCCACTTGGAGAGGAAAAAGTAAAACGAAAATTGAGGAAGTTCATTATTGACTGGTCTTGCATCTTGGGAAAGTAGGTGGCTAAGCCTGAGAGGGTGAGAGCTGTAACAATGGGAGGAGGGCTTGACAAGAGTGAAGGATTTGCCTTGGTACAGTGGCACTCTGGAAAATGGAATAGGCAGGCAATAAGAGATAAAATATTCATGAAAATTACATGGCATACGGGAATATCTTAAACAAATTAGACACCAGAAATTAGCAGGTGCACTAGAGGAGATTGAAAAAATACTAGATGAACAGCTGGGGCTAAGTCTGTGTGCACCAGAAAATAGGCTGGAGAATATTTTCCTAAAATATCATCATAGCTAACTGGATTAAAATCACCTGAGGGGCTTGTTAAAAATGAAAATTCTTAGGCCACAAGGCAGTCTTTCTGAATCAGAAGCTCTGCAGGTGGGCCCTACAATCTGTAATTTAACAACTCCGGGAGTCAAATTTATGCACATTAAAGTGATATACTACATTAGGAGAAAAGAGAGCATGAGAGAGCACACGGGAGGGAGGGATAGAGAAAGAGAGTGAGAGTATGTGTGTGACAGAGAGAAAGAAGACATTGTAAAGGCACAGGTGTTTTTCTATGGCTAAAATGAGGTAGGAAGTTTACCATAAAGTGGGATGTAGAAAAGATTCTACCTGTGTTAACCATTTGGATGATTAGGAGACACAGTTTTGATATAGCTGAACAACTGAAACTTAATTACTCTGGCTTAGTTAGAAATACAAGTCTAATTCTGTCATAGGTAGGGGGACATACAGTTATCAGAACGGTTGTGTTAATGGCAGATTTTTAGAAACTTCTTCTTTCATAGAGACCTGAAACTTCTTGTCCCTCTATATAAATAATTTATTTCTTATGGAAATAAAATTCTTAATAATTGTTACTGTTCTATTTCTTAAAGAAGCATCACAGACATCACTTCTTTAATCTGTGTGTTTCCCCATGTTTTCACTTATGGAGTGATAAATAAGTTTACATATTTGAATATACATATTTCTATATTTCCTTCCTTTGTTCTTTGGTTCAGAAGCCTGTAACTTCATTATATTAAATATATATTTCCATATCTATTTAGTAAAAGCTTGGTATTTTTGTTACACCTCGGAATGTATTCATTGGCAGTGTTAATGGCATTAATCAATGGGCTGAGTAAAACCCATTATCAGGAAAGAATCACTTTCCCCATCAGCCTCAGGAAAGTTTGTTCATAGAGTTGAGGGCATTCCCTATAATTCTCAGGGAATATGGCTTATAATTTCCTACAGAGGGTTATCTGTAGACTGTGACATTTTGTATTCCTTTACCCTCATCATTTGTCTATCTCCAAAACAAGTGAGTCGTGCAAACTCAGGACCCAGAGATACTGACACAAATGCTGCTCTTCATATGAAATCATAAGGTTAAAATAAACACAAATAAAATATTTATGTTGTTGGACATTGATTTTAACATAGAAAAAATGACATGGAGAACACTTCAATTGATCCCTGTCTCTTATTTTATTATTTTACTTTCTTTTTTTGTGTGTGATGGAGTGTAGCTCTGTCACCCAGCCTGGTGTGCAGTGGTGTGATCTCGGCTTACTGCAACCTCCACCTCCCAGGTTCAAGGGATTCTCCTGCCTCAGCCTCCCAAGTAGCTGGGACCGCAGGTGCCTGCCACCATGTCTGGCTAGTTTTTGTATTTTTAGTAGAGATGGGGTTTCGCCATGTTCGCTGGACTGGTTTTGAACTCCTGACCTCAGGTGATCCGCCCACCTTGGCCTCCCAAAGTACTGGGATTACAGGCGTGAGCCAGTACACTTGGCTCCTCTCTTCTAATTTTCTGAAATTTCCTGTTCACTGAAATTAAGAGTTGAATTGTAAGCAGATTTGAATACGGGAATTACCACTCAGAATTTATGTAGACCACAAAACAAAGTGACATTAAATATTAAATAGTAACACCAGTAATTCACTGTAGTTTAAATCAATATAATTAGATAGAATATAGGCTTTTGGAACTAGTAGAAATAATAATAAGTCAAACAATAAAGCAGTGTCATAAGTATTTTTTAATATGGTACTTTAATCCTCAAATTCAGCCTAAGAGGGGTTTTACATTGTTTGCACTTAGAATCAGTAGGAGGAGACCAATGATTAAAAGTCTCCTCTCCTTGTCTGAGGAGAAAAACATAGTGCCTTTAGTGGGCATAGTATTTAACCAGGAGGGGCTGGGAGAGAGAAAGCACATGGTAGCGTGGGCAGACCTGTGATGTCTACTTCAAAGTCGAAAGGAATCTGTACTACATAACACAAATTCAAACCCTTAATAATTATAGAGTTATACTGATGTACATACATGTTATTATATATATACCCACATGTATATATGCATATGTACAATTATAATCAGTATATCATTTTTACTTTGACAAGTTTCATTCAAAATTAAAAAGAAAAATTTATAATTAGATTATTTAAATTCAATTATTTAAAAGACTTCTTGTGATACTCTTTCTCAATCAGTAACATTAGGTAACAGTAAAAACAATAGAGCCATATAAGCTGGTCTGTTTATTCCTCTCTGCTTGTAAAATATTTGGTAGCTTTTAATGTCAATTACCAATTGTATCTACTAAACAGGAGCTAGGTGACTAGCACCATGGAAAGCAAATAAGACAAAAACAAATACAACAGTGTGAAATATTTTCTAAAAACATGTTTTTCCTGTTATTCTGATGAAATTAATTGTTAAAAGAAGACATTAGTATTTTCTTTGTCATTTTTAAGTCAACCATTTCATAATTCAATACTGCAGAAGTTTCCATTGTCAAAGATTTATTCAGATATTCAGATGATTAGAGACTTTAGTTCTTCAACGATTTCACTGCATTTTCGTATACTGAATTAATAACATAACTGTCTTTTTATAAACAGATCTAGCAGCTTAGTGTGAACTAACAGAATTTCAATTTAAGTTGTCCAGTATTGTTACTGCTTATAATAATTTTTTAAGAATATTAGTTTTGTGTCAGGTTGTGAGCTAGATACAGAATGTGCATTTAACCCTCACAACAATTTCATCAGGTGGCCTTAAGTCTTTCTCTATTGCACAGATGTGGCATCAGAGGCACAGAAATATTAGTAATAATTGAGAATTCATACAACTTGTTTAGAAACATAGATCTACATACCTTAGAGAACAGTTTTGGCTTTTTTAAAGCCCACATTCTATAATACAGCATAATCCAGAAAATTTGATGGAAATAGTAAATTGGAGCTTGATTAAGAAAGTAAGCAAGAGATAAGGAATTGTAAGCAGCTCACTCATTAAGTTACATAGAATTGAAAATGCATGGAAATTCATCAGGGATACATTCCTGATAATCACTGCCATTTAGATGCCAAGAGGAAGAAAAACAATTAGATATTCATAATGATAATGAGAAGCACTATTAGTTTTATGTATTGAATTAAGTCAATCAACCAGTGGAATATTACTAGAATTTATGTAATTATACTATTTTAAAAATGCAGATTAATAATTTACTATTCAATAATTATAGCTCGCTGATAGTTATTATGCTCAATACACAAAAGAAACAAGGTAAAAATCTAACCAATATATTCTAGCAAATGTCACAAATAAAAATATATAAATGTTAGAACATGAGATGGTTTTAAAATTAATCACCTTTTAAAAATTTTCTGAAATTTAAATTTAAAGAAATAATAGCTAAACTTTTTTTTAGTATTTTTCATTGCATCAGATTATTATACAAAAGTAGCTGTTTATTTATTTTCAATTGCAAATCAGGGTGTAAATCCTCTTAAAGACAAAAAATTATCTCTCTTTATATTATATCCAGACTCAAATATTAACATGATCGCTAGTGTTACCTTTTTCCTCAAATAAAAACTAAGATTATCTGATTGGTTTATGGAAAAGGGAGCAATTGAAGTAAAACTCCTCAATTGACTTCAGTATTCACAATTCTGAAAACAGCCAGTGGATCAGGACAGAAATGGAGATACATTACACAATGTAAAAGCATTCTTTGGTTAAAAATATACATATCCTATCATCTGTATTGTGCTAGGTTTGATGGCAGCAGGATTTCTGACCACTGAAATTTAGGTAAAGCACACATTCACTCATTTAACCTGCATCTGTTGCTCAGCTAGAGTGAGTTACACGCTATGGTAGATATTAGTTATATATTCTGAACATAAAACCAGTTGTTCCTGTCAATATGAAGCTTTTAGGAGTAACTTCTATATCGTTTATTTCCCTCATTTTTCATTCACTTGAAAAAAATATTCTTACTGTATTCCTAAGTCACAAGAAAATATTGAATGTATTGAAAGTAATGATGTTACACAATAAAGCCTACTGCGAAGTATGAAATCAAAAGTGCTAACAAAGTTATTAAAGAAACTACAAAACAATATTGAGAGGTGACAGCATGCTGGCAGCCCTTGCTTGCTCTCAGCACCTCCTTGGCTTCGGCGCTCACTCTGGCTGCGCTTGAGGAGACCTTCAGCCCAAGGCTGCGCTATGGGACACCCTCTCTGGGCTGGCCGAGGTCACAGCCGGCTCCCTCTGCTTGCAGGGAGGTGTGGAGGGAGAGGCGTGGGCGGGAACTGGGGCTGAGCGCTGTGCTCGTGGGCCAGCACAAGTTCCAGGTGGGCATGGGCTTGGTGGGCCCTGCACTTGGAGCGGTGGGCTACTGTACGCCCCGGGCGCTGAGGGGCTTAGCACCGGGGCCAGCAGCTCTCCACTGGGGCCTTGGAGAACCTTTATGTCTAGCTCAAGGATTGTAAATACACCAATCAGCACTCTGTGTCTAGCTCAAGGTTTGTAAACACACCAATCAGCATTCTGTATCTAGCTAATCTAGTGGGGACTTGGAGAATCTTTATGTCTAGCTAAGGGATTGTAAATACACCAATCAGCACTCTGTGTCTAGCTCAAGGTTTGTAAATACACCAATCAGCACCCTGTGTCTAGCTCAAGGTTTGTAAATGCACCAATCAGTGCTCTGTGTCTAGCTAATCTAGTGGGGACTTGCAGAACTTTTGTGTCTAGCTCAGGGATTGTATATGCACCAATCAGCACCCTGTCAAAATGGACCAATCAGCTCTCAGTAAAACAGAACAATTAGCTCTCTGTAAAATGGACCAATCAGCAAGATGTGGGTGGGGTCCGATAAAGGAATAAAAGCAGGCTGCCCCAGCCAGCAGTGGCAACCCACTTGAGTGCCGTTCCACAGTGTGGAAGCTGTGTTCTTTTGCTCTTTGCAATAAATCTTGCTGCTGCTCACTCTTTGGGTCAGCACTGCCTTGTGAGCTGTAGCACTCACCGCGAAGGTTTGCAGCTTCACTCCTGAGGCCAGCGAGACCAGGAACCCACAGGGATGAATGAATAACTCCAGACGTGAGGCCTTGAGAGCTGTAACACTCACGTGAAGGTCTGTAGCTTCACTTCTGAAGCCAGCGGAGACCGTGAACCCACCAGAAGGAAGAAACTCCCAACATGTGCAAACATCAGAAGGAACAAAGTCCGGACACATCACCTTTAAGAACTGTGACATTCACTGTGAGTGTCCGTGGCTTCATTCTTCAAGTCGGTGAGACCAAGAACCCACCAATTCCGGGCACAATATGATTAAAATACTGATGAGATAAAACATTTAACATTACTTTTGAAGATAAAATTTATACGTGAATAAACAAAAATTAGAGCAAAGAAAGCCCAAGGCTGAATGTGAAAATTGTGCCACCTAAATGCGAAAATACAGACAGTAAATGATAGCTAAGAAAATTTGTAAAATAGTAGACCTTGCCAAGTGGCAACTGGTTGTCTATCAAAACTGGCACATTTATAACAGTAAAATAATAACATAGTACTAATTCATAGTACTTATTCAATCATTGGCGCTATTGTCATATTTATTCTAACCTATCCCTAACTACAGAAACAAATGAAATATTTAGTTTGTTTTAAAGGTAGTGTAGAGAAAAAAGATATTCAATGATGAATGATTCCATTTTGAATTAAAAAAATCTGAAATATAGTGAATTCAGTTTTTAAAAAATGAGTGCTTCATCATATCACTCTCTAAATTTTATAGGTGTTTTTGTCTCTCTGGGAATCTCCCAGTATGTTTAAGCTCCTTTAAAGGGAAATATTTTTACAAGTGTAGCATACTTACTACACAGTAACTCTCATAATTCAATGTACAATGTGAAGTTTAAGACGACCCTAAACATTTCTATTAACACAAATCACATAAATACATTAAAAATCCACTTTTTTCTCAGACATATGTTGAATATGCATATTTGTAAATCGTCATGGATATGAAATTGAATTGCATTAGATAATACAATCTCACGTGTACTCACTATGCAAGATTTGTTCAGTTTTATGTAAATAAACTAGCTGATAATTAAAATTTAATGTACATTTCTATTCCTAGGACAGATCGGCATTTAGTGGACTCCTATTAATTGGCTTTTTATGTGTTTCTTTTTGTACCACCCCATTAAATAGGCTACAATTTGAAGGTAAAGATCAGAGTTAACATTATTCACTGTTGTTTCCCCAGCACATAGCAATTTTCTTGGTATACAATAGATATTACAGGAATAGTTATAAATTCAATTGATTTATTAATCTCTTAAAATATTTTTAAATTCTGAAAGTGTCATATCAAGGACATACATTGATTAATTAATTTTGAAATTGATTATTTAAGATACATACAGTAAACTTCAAGGTTGTTGCATAAGAAGAGCTATGTTCCTTTTAGAATAGTGTGGCCAAATTTGATATTTCACTAATTCCTAAAGGAAGTTAAGTTTATGCGTCTGGATCGAAACTTATTACCTCTGACATACTGTCTGGCAAAAAAGTTAAAGTTTAGCATTGAAGAGGATAAAAATCTACTCTTGAAGTATCATTCCCCGTATCATACTACCAGAAGTAAAAAATCAGAAGCAGGAGGAAGGCATTTGGCTTTGAGAAAGAAAAATATAACGATTTGATCCTGAACTCCAATTGTACCGTAAAGCAAGATGAATAGTTTCCATCTAACTGAAGTAGCTCCCTTCTTTCCAGAAGCCGAAGGAGGTAAGAGGTGGCCTTCAGGCTTCACCCTCTTAAGCGAGTGCTTGACTGGCTCCCGCGTTGGGACTCTTTTTTCCCTTACCCATATCTAGCATTCATACCATTTATAAACTCTCTTTTCTCACAGTGATAAGCCAGGCTAGGGAGAACACTCTTCGAAGCTTCTCCTTCTTCTAGACGTAAGTGTTTTATCTTTTACATTGATATGGCATATAGAGGCAATCCCCATACCTTACAAATATACTTTTCATCATTGATTACAAAGTACATTAACCAAGCAAGTGAGTATGTTTGGAATCAGGGATAGGATGGGTCAGCATCAATTCAACCGAGTTCAGTTCTACATTTTTCAGTGATATCTATGGAAAGCTGCAGAAATAACCCATATCATGATATAATTTTTCATTGAGGCCTAGTTCCTCCCATAAGGGTGTTTAATGTAAAATGAAGTGAACTTTCAGTGTTCTGAGGGTATTATTGGGGCTGCCATCAAGGAGTTCATTTTGTTATCATTTTGAAATATATACCCATTCCCTTAAGTTTATCTTTATTCATAACTGAGATGAAAATCTGCCTAAAACATTATAAGTATCTGATAGATTTTAAAAAGATAATTATTAGATCACTAATCTGGTATTCTTGGAGAAGTCTGTGAGTTTCCACCAAAAATTGCTGAGGGATCCTTTAAGTAAACGCCTCCACCATGAGAATATATTGCCAATATTAACACAGTCTATTTTCTTTGAGTTTTGAAATTTACATAGCCAGTAACAAAGCTAACTTAATTTGACATTTGCAAATGATGTGAAGTGGGAATTTACAGAAGAGAAAAAAAGAATGACCAGAAAACATACTAAAATCTTTACCTTACTAGGCAATGTCATAAGAAAGTATCACTCAACATCCATTACAAAGATAAGAATATTAGATGAGATTAGTATTGGGATGCAAAGACACAGAAGCACTTACACTGTTGGGAATGCAACCTGTCCTACCAGCTCTAGTGAGAAGTTTGTTGATATCAACAGAATTCAAGATTCATATACCCTATAGATTTCCTTTACCTATAGTAAGTCTCACAAATGTGAACTATATAATGATAATTGAACAATGTATGAATTACCCTGAAAAACAAAATGAGTTGACTTTCTTATTGGTTGTTTTATTTCTCTTTAGCACAGAAGTTGAAAGAGGAAAAGTATTGAAATCCTCAGAAAAGCGCGATGAAAGCTAGCTTATATATTGCTTATTATTTTGTGTTGTTTTAGAAGCAGATATTTAACATTCCCATTTATGTTACTTGATCTACCATAGTATAAACATAATTTTGTTCATCTAAGCCATTAATAAATTTTTCAACAAATAATGGCTGTGTATGTGTGTGTGCACACACTTGTTTCAGGATATAGATGCAAAGAAAGGGCTTAGGTTTATACTGAAACGTGCAGAGAAGAAGAGGGACAGAGTATGTGGGGGAGGAGAGGATTCATGAGGATTCACTGCTCAGAAGGAGCAGTGGCTGAGTCAGAGATAACCATGCAAGTATAAGACACTCGGGAATTCTTTCAACACACCATAGCTTGATGCAAGACATCGATTTTACAATTTAGCCAAACATATTCATATCAGGGATAGGTTGACTTTAGTCGCCGCTTTGGTTACATACGCAAATCATTTTTCAAGTAACATTTTATTGTGAGAAACTAATTTGTTCATAAAAACTCCATGCCACATATGCTCATAAATCAACATTTATTTCCTGCCAAAATATAATGCATTTTGTTATATGTTGTGTAAACCCATGCTCAAGGCTCAAAACCAATTTTGAAAACACCAAACAACAAAAGCCAATATTTTATTTATAAGTGTTATACAGGGAACTGCATATAATAAAGCAAGGCATTGAAACAAGGTCTTCTACTCCTATGGGTCCATTTTTCACCTCTGCGAAATCACTAGATAGTAAACTCTATTGATATGAAACCAAAAATTATTCCCTTGGTGGAAAATCTTCCCAGTGGGAGGAAGGTGAATGTGTTTCTGCTGAGGACTCCACAGCATTAAATACAAATAGCTTTGTGCTCCTTGGTTGGCAAGATAGTAAGGAAATATTTTAGAAAGTGACAAGAAAGATACTGTGTAGAGATATGTTGCTAAGTGTTTAAATTGGGATCTGTATTTAATATAGAACATATTTTTTTTTTTTAAGTTATTCTTTTTAGAGACAGGGTCTCCCTGTGTTGCCCAGACTGGTTTCAAACTCCTGGTCTCAAGCAATCCTCCCATCTCAGCCTTCCTAGTAGCTGAGATTATAGGTGCAAGCCACCACACCTGGCTGGAACATCTTTTTGATGGATGCCTTTCACATTTGTGGGGGGTTATCCAAACCAATAAAGGTGTATTTGAATGATCAGTGAGGTTACGACTGATGACAAATAAATTAGAGTAGTGTGTGCAAGAAAAGGACTTAAGCCCAGGTTTTAAATATATCCAGAGAAGAAGTTGAAATATTCTCATACTGATGATACAAAGCCATTGAATGAATACATTCATGAATTGACAGATATAGGGATAGAGATCATTGCTTTTCATATGAGTAGAATAAATGACACATGCTTTCTTTAGGACCTTAATCATCACTTTTTTCAATAGCAATATTTTATCAATGTTATATAAGAAGCGATAACATGATGAAAGGTAGAGGTTACAATTTGGGTGAAAAGGCAGATAATTAACTTGTAAAAATCTCTTTGTGAGCAGCCTTTGTGCTTCATTGTTCTCTCAGTTTGAGAAATATTTAACAGGTGCAAGTTCTACCATAAGTTGTATAGCTTGACCTCCTCAGAAAATTTCTTATTTTTCCAGTATGATCCTCTGTAAACTGACAGCTTTCTGTGATGAAATAAAATAATAGTTATATTTATTTAATAAAAAAGTGACAAGTTGTGAGTATTTAGTGGCTATACTTTTTGCGTACTCTATACAGCCTCAGAGACAGGTACTCCCAAAGCATCCTAATTCAGGTGTTAATACTGCTGCTTGTTTATATTGCTAGAGGGAAAAGCTAAATTTTTGCATTTTGGACCACCTGAAACCAGTGAAAGGGGAATGCATACTTGAGCGTTGTCTGTGAAGGTGCTTAAATTTAGTAATATAAATATAAAATAAAACTACGTAAAAATTAATAAAGACAAGCACCAGCAACAATAAGGATGTCTTGTTTATTTAAAATGTACAATTTCTCTAGGTAAAAATGAAAAAGCTGGGCACAGTCGCTCATGCCTATAATCCCAGCACTTTGGGAGGCCGAGGCAGGTGGGTCACCTGAGGTCAGGAGTTCAAGACCAGCCTGACCAACATGGTAAAACCCCATCTGTACTAAAAATACAAAAAAAATTAACCGGGCTTGGTGGCAGGTGCCTGTAATCCCAGCTATTTGGGAGGCTGAGGCAGGAGAATCACTTGAACCCAGGAGGCGGAGGCTGCAGTGAGCCAAGATCACACTATTGCACTCCAGCCTGGAGATAAGAGCAAAACTCTGTCTTAAAACAAACAAACAAACAAAAATGCTTTTTATTTAAAGCTCATGATGAGATGAGCATTACAAGATAATATTTATGTCTTAAGGTAAGGAAACAACAAATTTTTTATTCATCAGAAGTGTATGCTATCCTAAAGTTTCCTTTAATAAATATATTAACAAAAAATTTTTTATTGTACTTCTATATACCAACCTGTTTGGTAAATATATAGGAAAACTTCAGAGGACTATATTCACATCAAGCCTAAAACCTAAAGTTCATATTAATTCAGACAATCTTTTTCTCATGTAAAATGATACAATCATTCTACCTAGCTCTCATAATGAATACAGTAGTTCCAATTAAATCAGAAATGGAGTAAACTTGGAGCTAAATGAATCATAAATCAATAAGTACCTCAGCCTGCTGCCTCATGGTTTATTGATTCAGAAGCTGTTTATCCCACACTCATTGTGCTTGAGTGCAATTATCATTTAATTACATTTTCTGTATGTACCAAATTGTATTTTACATGTCTTCCTAGACCAAACAATTTCAAACTTATATCTACTCACTAGCCATGGGTTTTGATTATCCTTTCTTGTTCAGTATGCTTGTCCTGATTTCTCCTTGTACATAAGACACATCTCACAATAGGACCTCATTAAGGCATATTTAACAAACTGTCCCTACTTATAATCATGTTTATTGTTCTCATTCTTTTTACACCAAGATTGATTTGAAACGTAACTAATGAGGTGTGTTAGAGAAAATATAGCATAGTTTGAATCACATAAAAGTAGTGAATTTTTTGAATCTAACTCATAAAAATGCACTTTTATTAAACCTATCAAATGCTCTAGAACTATAATATGATTATCAATTGACTTGATATGGATCATGTAAGACATTCCTTTTTAAAAATAGTTGGGCACTAAATATTCTTAATTTTATAGTATTTTGTATTAAAAATGTAATATTTAATAAGCAACCCAGAGATACAGGTAATTTTTTACTTTTATAATCTGAAGCACAAAGTAAATTTTTAATTTTTTTCTAACTAAAAGTATGTATAGATTGGGCAAGTGTCTCATACCTGAAATCTTGGCACTTTGGGAGGTCAAGGTGGGAGAATCTTTTGAGGCCAGGAGTTCAAGACCAGCCTGAGCAACATAATGAGACCCTGTCACTACAATAAAATACAAAATAAAAAATTATCTGGGCATGTTGAGATGCACCTGTGTTTCCTGGTACTCAGAAGGCTGAGGCAGGAGGATCACTTGAGCTCAGGAGTTTGAAACTTCAGTGAGCCATAATTGTGCCACTGCACTCCAGCCTGAGTAACAGAGTTAGACCCTGTCAAAAAACAAAGTTTATAAACTAAAAACTCATGAAATAATGTCCCAGATGGAGCTCTCTAAAACATCTTTAAGAAACAATAACATATGGCACATGATAGCTTAAAAAAATTACCCTGAGAGAAGATACAAACTACACCTGATCTTGCAAAGTAGGAACAGATTTCAAGGATAGATCAGATATGTAGCATCATTTATATTATTCTTTGAATATATAATCCATGTTATTTTTATTTATATTGTGAGACCAAGGTCAACACTGAGACCTGTCACCAGAAGTTAGATCTGTTTCATATAAGACAAAAAGCACGAAGTTTGCCATTGGCTCAATAAAACAGCTTCATTGACAGAGAAAGCCATGTGAAAGAATTATTATTATTATTATTATTATTATTATTATTATTATTATTTTGAGATGGAGTCTTGCTCTGTCGCCCAGCCTGGAGTGCAGTGGCACGATCTTCACTCACTGCAAGCTCCGCCTCCCAAGTTCAAGCCATTCTCCTGCCTCAACCTCCTGAGTAGCTGGAATTACAGGCACCTGCCACCACACCCGGCTAATTTTTTGTATTTTTAGTAAAGATGGCGTTTCACCATGTTAGCCAGGATGGTCTCCATCTCCTGACCTCGTGATCAACCCACCTTGGCCTCCCAAAGTGCTGGGATTACAGGTGTGAGCCACCACGCCCGGCTAAGAATTATTTATCTGTGATCCTAAATCCCAAAGTTAGAGTCTATTTTTAGATTTCAGAAAATCTTAGGAAATATTTAGTTGCCAATACATTACTTGGATCAGGTACTACCACGTAGATCATGATAAGTAAGAAATATCCTGTTCATACCTCATGAACACACAAATGAAGAATTTTAACATGAATATTCTGCCATAGTCAATAGATGCTTATTTTATGAAGTAATTAATAAATGAATGAAAACACAAGAATCTGGGAATCTATCAATGAGAATAAAAATATTTTATATGGTATTTCATTGATTCTAATTTAATTACAAGGCAAGCAATACTAGGAACTGAATAAAAAACAAGTTGCCTCTTTTCTAATGATTCTTCTCACAGATTAAAATATTGGATTTTGTGTGTGTGTGTGTGTGTGTGTGTTAAGCTAATGTAGAAAGGTGTGTTTTCTCATTATTTGTGCAGCACTATTGGAACACCTTCTGCCTTCCATAACAGGACAAAACTTTAAGGCAGTATGTGAAATAAAACATGTACATAGGAGAGCGGTAACTTTCTGCTGAGCAAAAACCACATTAAACAAACATATTTCTAGATATACATAACTATAATCTACACATACATAACTATAAAGCTATTGTACATCCTACTAGATTTCCAAGCAGTAGATAATGTTTCAGAAATTAACATTGATATACATGCATTGTAAACAAGTCTAAGACATAAACTTGTCTACAAAATCAATATCACTCTTTGAGTGAATGCCAACATGTAAAGTGTCTGTCTCTATCTCAAGTATATCCAAAATTAGAGATGAGAATTAGGTAACAACTTCTCCGCCACTCCGAAATGACATGCTATACTTCTAAGCAGCACTTGCAAAGAATGTTGTTGACTCTGTTGTGTTTGTGGTAGTGGTGGTTTCTTCAATTTTAATATATTCTCTGAACCACCATATGGTGGTGCTCTATATTTCAAAAGATGTTAGCCTGGTCCTGTCATCCTATCAACAATATTTTCAACTCCTATAGCATTTTATTCAACACTATTCATGTGAAAGTCTTTGGGTAGCTGGGTAACAGCTAGAATTAGAGAAGGGGAAAAAGTTCTCTAATAAAATGGAAGATTTTACCCACTATGCTGCTTTCTGGGAAATATCACGAATATCAAAGCATACAGATGACTCTTAAAAATTCTAAAATTAGAAAATTGGTATGAATTATTGTAAGTATTTCAGAAATATATTTGATGAAGAAATATTGTTTTTTATAAAACATAAGGTCTGTAAAATAAATGTGTTTGTATCATATTTTAGCATTTTACAGATAATTTTTAGAGGAACTTTATTTCTGGGATACAAAATGTTATGTAGTTTAAAAAGCAAACTTTAAATTTTAAGATCATATGTAAAATAAATATAATTCACCCATTAACTTATTTTCTCTGTGTTTTTCATAAAACATTTCTCCATTAAGCTTTCTGAATTAGAAAAAAATGATACGCACTGGGGGAAAAGTAGTGACAAAATCATATCTTTCCATTTAACTTTTCTGATTTTATTTATCTCCATTTTAAACTTCTATATATAGTCTAGAATTATTAGTTTGGTATTATTAGCGTTGAAAGTAATGGCAAAATCCGCAATTACTTTTTCAATAACCCAATAAAATTTAAAATCCATGTAATATTAATATAGACTGTTTTTTGTGCTCTCTATTTCTAACTGTTCTTTTTTCACTGAATTGCTATTTTGCAGTAAGATAAAAGTGTTTTTTTTCTTTCTTCAAGAATAATACATTTTTGTTTTATATGAACATTCAAATTTACTCTCATCTATGTATTTGTCTTATTCTAAAAATGCTTTTCTAGAGCAATTGATGCTAAAATCAAAATACTTCATAGAAAATAGTTTCAATTGGTGTTGTGCTTGGGCCTCTGGGCTGGTCCTAGATATTCAGCTCCCCAGGGCTTACTATTCTCTTTTGGTCTGATTCATAATGTCAAAGATGAATCTCAGACACTGGAAGATCTTCAAGCAGTTTATTCTGGCTGTGCTGGCATGAGCTGGAGTGCAGGAGCAGGCTGGTGTCGTGAACAGGAGACCATCTGTAGACTATTCTCAGAGTTTGGGGCATCCTTCCCCCTTTCTTATATCTTATTTGAGGTTAGTTATCAAGTTTAAGCTATTCTTGTAACAGTAGCTTCTTTTTAAGATTTATGAGAGTTGTGTCTGTGCTGAGATGGTCTTTTCTCCTGGAAATCCCCTGGCCAGGTTGCATCATACTGCTAAGTGACACATGGTGTAGGCCCTGTGAATTGTCTGAGTGGGCCTCATGGCCATCATGAATCTTATAGCCACAATATTTTTTATAGTATACTGCACTTTGTCAATGCTAGGATTTCTCTTTCTCCTTGAAATTCTTGGGAATTACTAGTCTTTGAATGTTTTTACAAAGTGAGAACACTGTCTCTAAAACCATTATGCTGTAATTTGTTTTCCATTAAACTAAATTGACGCAGTGTTTGCTAATTATCTCCTTTTTCCTGTTCAATTGATTAGTGCAAGATTGACCTGTTTTCTATGTGGAGAGTTTCAACAGTGGTACTTTAAAAGGAGAAAAAGAAGAAAAGAATTACCTAACTCCAATATGATTTCCCCGATACCTGTATATTCCTCCTGAAATTAGTGTTTTATTCTTCAAATATTATGGTAATTACAAGAAATTCATTAGAGAAAAAATGACCTTAGTTGGTGTTTATATAGACATGTCAGTTTATTTTTGATCAGTAAAATCATTTGGAGTGGAGGTGGTCTCAAGGCAAATAATTAAGGTTAAAAAATTTTTAAAGTGAACAGAACTTGACAATGGAAAGTATCTTTCATTAATAATTGATATAGCTAGGAATTAGTCACCCAATGAGAACCCCAAAACTTGGCAAGGAAATGTGTGTGGACTTGTGGTAAAATTGAAATAAAAAAGGAAATATGGGTATATTTTAAGACAGACCTGTGGAAATTTAGAAGTCATATGAAATGACTTCAGCAAAGTTTAAAGAATTAATTACAATGGAACCATGTTAAAACTTTAATGTGCATATTTACCCCATGTGGCTTATTGGCCTATGTCCATATCACTTCATGATATAATTAAACTGAATCTCACAAATGAGGTAGCAGGGGTCAGCACAAGAGGAAAAAGCATCCAAGAGACTTGCCTGATGCATGCTCATTAGTTAGGCTGCTAATTTTTTTAACATTCATCTCCTTCCTGCTACTGCTAATCTGATATTTGCATAGGATATTTGTGGTATGCACCCATTTGTGTACAGATGGTCACTTCATTTAATAACATAGAATTATTAACATTAAAATACAGTAACTTAGGATCATCCTTGAAAATTCTAGCTGATACACTCCACATTTTATTGGACTTTTACTATTATGTTCATAAAACAGACTTCTCAGAATGTCTGATCCTGTATACCCGTAGTAGAAAATAATAATATAAAAGTATTGGAGGGTAAATAATATGTTTGAGAATTAATTCCCAAATGCTGGAATGACAGTAAGAAAGTGAGATAAGGCTGTAATCCCAGCACTTTGGGAGGCCGAGGTGGGTGGATCACGAGGTCAGGAGGTCGAGACCATCCTGGATAACATGGTGAAACCCCATCTCTACTAAAAATACAAAAAATTAGCCGGGCGTGGTGGCTGGCGCCTGTAGTCCCAGCTACTTGGGAGGCTGAGGAAGGAGAACGGCGTGAACCCAGGAGGCGGAGCTTGCGGTGAGCCGAGATCGCCACTGCACTCCAGCCTCGGTGACAGAGTGAGATTCCATCTCAAAAAAAAACAAAAAAAAGAAAGTGAGATACGGAAGGGAAGGCAGCTGGAATTTTGTGTTCTCAGGCAAGTAACCACTGTGAGCAGTTAGAGTCAAGGGACAAAATAGCTGGAGCATTTATACACAAACAGCCAAGAGTCATTAGTTGAGGGCTTCTTGTCGGGTACACTAAATCTTCAACACTTGGCACTCGGGCAGAATAAGTTCCAGCAATCAGAGAAGACCCTCAAACTAAAATTAAAAAAATAGAATAAATAAAAATACATTTATAGTAACTTGAAGTCTTCTGGCATACATTAGACTAGCAAAATCCAAAGAAATATGGGTAGGACACCCATAGAATCTATTACACAAATGAATATACTAATCTTATGGTTATCATTAGACATCAGTTTAGCCAGATATTTATCTAAACATTTTTGCTGTTGCTGCTTGCTTTTCATCTTTCAGAATAATTGCTATTTAGAAATACCTTTAATAATTATCCAAAAGGAAACTTTTTAGAAGTTGTGAGAGTCATATTTATCATTGTACTAGGGTTCTTCTCAGTGCAAAGGAATATGTATTAAACATTATTCTCTGGAAGGTCCTACTCTATTAGATGAGACAAAAATGACTTTTGACAACAGACTGCACAAACAGGTTAGGGAAACATTTACTGAGTTCAGGATGAGTGATAATTGTGGCTTAAAACAGGGTAGCAGCAATGCAGTTGTTGAAATATTTGGGCTGGAATATTTTTAATACGGAAGTGGAAGGATACACTAACAAATTGGACAAAGACCATGAGCAAACAAGAGGAGTTCAGGAGGACAAGTTATTGGATCTGAATAACTGAAAAGATAGGATAATTATCTGAGATGGAGAGTAATATAAGCACATCACATTTGCAGGGGAAGACTGGGAGTTCACTTCTGAATACGTGTGAAGTTCCTATTAAATATCCAAGGTGAAATGTCAAATATTGAGATATATGTTTATTTCTGAATTTCAGAAGAGTAGCTTTGGATAGCAATCAATATATGAATGTGAAAGACAGAAGAATAGATGAGATCATTGAGAGTAAGTAGACTGAAAAACTAAAGATATCAAAGGAATAAACCAGAAGGCACTATAACATTAATGAAATGAGGTCAAAGAAATGAAAAAGAACTAGCAAGAGAACTGGTAAGGAGCAGCCAGTGAGGAAAAAGTAAAGATAGAAGTATGTAGAACCATGAAAGCAAAGACTTTATTTTATGGATGAAGAAAAGATAAATGTAGTCAAATGCTGCTAAAAGGTTAAATAAAATGTCAAATGAAATTTAATTGTGGAATTGGGCAAAGTATAGGTCATTGATAACTTTGACAAAAACTCTTTTTGAGGTGGAAAGGTGAGGATAAAGGCCTAATAGTATATTGAAGAGATGACAGGAAGAGGGAAATCAAAGACAATAAATCAAGATAGTTCTTCTTCTGTGAAAGAGAGAAGGAGAGAACAGAAGCAGGGACTACACAGGAAATTCGGGCAAACACACAGAGCTAATCATCAGCTGTTTGTTACGGGATGGGGACCGTGGTGTTCCAGGTTTATTTCTCAGAAGATAGCTGTGAACAAAATTTAAACAGAGCACAGACATACTATCTGCCTAGCTGATAAACCTACATCTTTTTATCAGCATCTTGTCCTAGACGGAAGTTTGTTTTCACCAACATAAATCTAAGGAATTGTTTTCTTAATCTTAAATAATTGCTCTGTGTCTATTAACTTTTTCTATCTTCCTAAGGATAGATCCCACCTCTTATCTTGCTCTTCTTAATTTAAGCACAACTTCTCTCTATTACTACCTCCCAAATCACAGAAATGAAGAATTATATCTGACACTTCAAAATATTTATTTTAAAGATTGCTTCCCTCTATTTGAAGTGGAGTTGCCGGCAACTTCTTTTTTAACAAACTATACTCCTGGTTTTCTGGGCCAGGTTGCAGGGCAGAAGACATGAAGTAGATGTGTCAAGTAAACTGAATAAGCCTCAAAAAAAAAAAAAAAAAAACCAAAAAACAGAAAGACAGCTGCTGAAGTTCATGAGCTTCCTCTAATCCAGATCCAGACGTTAGATCAACTTAGTGTGGAATTCACATGATCTCTCCTTACAAAACCGTGTTTAAAAGATTAAGCTAAGAAAACACACGGAAATAGTCCCTTTGAACTCGCCTAAACATTATTCCTTGAATCAAATTAACCACGTCTAACAACGCTATCGTATCTGACCTGTTTTCCTCTCCCCTTCATTTGTATGTGCACCTGTTGTAATATTGCTTCTACCACCTATCCTTGTGTTTCTGGAAAAAAATACTTATACTGTGGCTACATATCCTTTATTATCAATCATTAGTCAACCTATTATAGAATATAAATTGACACTTTTTTTTACTACCTATATTTCATAACCTACAAATGTCTACATTTGAAGAAAGCATAAAAGACACCAATTGCTGCAGGTTCAATTGAGCAAAAAAGAAAATGATGTATGGCATACCATGCTATTGCAGCCTGACCTGTGAACCCTAAATGTTCATTAGAATTCATCAGCACCAGACTATTTTCTCTTCTTTGCTTCTTCATTTTTTTTTTCTGATCTACTGGCTTTAGGCCAAGGAGAAATTTTTCTACAGAAAAGCTTATTTAATTAGCTCTCCACCCTCCTATAGATTCAGAATAATTGTTATAAAATGAAAACTTCAAATTACAGTTCATTTCATGAAAAAAAAATCATGGAGAACTGGAGATTTCCAACTGTGTTATTCTCCCAAAAGTTTTAATTCCACTACTTTTTTGCGGAGGCCATAGACAAAGATAATTGTATCTCATTTCTGAGACTTAAAGAAGCAACTTAGAAACTCTGTTTTCTCATGTAATAAAAATAATGGCCATGTTTGGGTTCTCACTATGTGCCAGGCATTAGGGTGATCCCATAAAATGGGTTATTTCATTTAATCCTCAGGATGATTACATTTGGTTCCTAACACCAATGGTCCCTAACTTATGATGATTGGTCTTAAGATTTTTTTTTCGTACTTTACCATGATGCAAATGCAATGCACATTCGGTAGAAGCTGTACTTCAAGTACTTATGCAACCATTCTGTTTTTCACTTTTAGTACATTTTTTTCTAAATTGTATGAGATATGTGATGCTTTATTATAAAGTAGGCATTTTGTTAGATTATTCTGCCAAGCTCTAGACTTAAATTAAGTGTTCTGAACATGTTTAACATGGGTTAGGTGATCTATGATGTTCCATTGATTAGGTGAATTATATGCTTTTGTCTTACAATATTTCCAACTTACAATGGATTTGTTGAGATGTAACCCTATCCTAAGTCAACAAGTGCCTGTACTTTTGTGCTGCTTTTATAGATATGAACACTTAAGGCTTTACAAGGCTAAGTGACTTATCCAAAGCCCTATAGCTAGTAAATGTAAGAATCTACATGTCAAAATAGTTGGTGTTATGCCAGAGCGGGAATCTTAAACACTGGTGATATTGTATAATATCTTGTTATGAATACATAGTTTATGTTTATTCATTTAAATTGTAGTCATAAATATAGTATTATACCTATTAATGTATAATTCATGAAAAGTAGTTTAATGTCAATGAAAACATGTTGATATTTTATAAGTGAGGAAAGAAATTTACTCACATATTTCATGAGCTTGTGTGTAGCAAGGTGTATAGACAAGGAATAAAGGGGTGTGGGTGTTAGTTCAAATACAAGAGGACTCTAGTTCTAATTTTCTTTATTTTCATTTTTGTCAGAATTGCATGCAAATGTATACCTGAAATTTCTAGAATAAGTCTTATCTCAATGTTTGCTTTTAGAACCACTGTATTCTTTTCCTACTACACTGACAAGATGGGCAAGGAGAAACAACCAGTTGACAAACTGGCTTACCAAGAAAATATAGTTTGTTTCTTGACTTCTTTCATTGGACATATGCGAGGACATCCTCTTTGCTACGATGCTGGTTCTGACTAGCCTGTCCGTTACATGAAGATCATCAATCAGCGAGCTCTTCATTATTTCATATCATCATCCTATTATGTTTTTGGCTTTTGTTGCCGTTGAGATTTTTTGTGACATTTTAAATGGTCACGACATTATTAAAGGATAACATTGTTGACTGCAAAGAAAGAGGACATTGAAGGGCTTGCTTTCATGAGTATCTTTGTGTGTGTGGTGGATTGCAGGAGGGCAGAGAGGTAACTTAAGATATTTTGTAAGCCAGCAGCTGGCTTGTGGAAGGTTGCAGCCCAAGGGTTGTTTCAAAGTCTTAGATACAGACTTGTTTTATTCCATGTTCTGTTTTTTTTTTTTTTGTCCTCTTAACCTTCATTGACAAATGTGCATGTGCAGTCTAATTTCTCTGCAATGTATGTTCTTCCCCTACTCCCAACTAAAAGGACACTCTGAGTAACAGACTCATCCCTTCAGAGTCACTAAGCAATGAGTAGGATGGTTATATTCCTGATTTGATCCATGCCACAAATGGAGTCTTTTCTCAAATAAATTAGGTTTATACTTTCATTGAGTTATAACTGACAATCAACCACATATATTTAAAGTATATAACTTGTTAGATTTTGACACCTGTGCATACCTACAAATGTTTCCTCTGACTCTTTCATGTCTATGTCCTCCCTTCTGCCCTTTACCCCCAGGCAACAACTAATCTACTTCTCATGACTGTATATTTTTATACTGGTAGATTTATGACATTGTCCATAATTTCACATACATGGAATTCTGTTTGTTATGCTCAGTATAATTATTTTGACTTTCATCTCTTTTTATTACTCCTCAGTGTTCTATTTTATGGGTATACAAAAATGACTACATTTATTTACCTATTCATGAACATTTGGGCTACTTCTAGTTTTTAGCTATTGCTAATAAGATTGCTTTATATATTTATGTCTAAATATCTTGCTTTTCAGTTGTATTAATAAATGACACATTAGTAATGTGTCATTTATTAATACATGTGTCATTTATTAATACATGTGTCATTTATTAATAAATAGTTTTCCAGGGTCATGAGTTTAGGGACAAAGTCTGTTTTCAGTCATTATTGTTAGTTGTTTTCTGAGTTCATCTCTATTAATACCTTGGAAAACACAGCCAATAACAATGAACATACAGTATTAATACTCTGTATTTCTACCTATAGCCTCAGGGTTTTAAGATTACTAGACATTATCTGAGTTTCAAATGGTCAAAAACAAGATTTGCCAGAAGTTTTACTATCATAAAGTGGGAATCACTATGATGGCCTGGGTTCAAGTTTTCACAGCAGAAACTTATGTAATTGTAAGTCCTCTTAAAAAAGACAACACTGGGCCGGGCGCGGTGGCTCACGCCTGTAATCCCAGCACTTTGGGAGGCCGAGGCGGGCGGATCACGAGGTCAGGAGATCGAGACCATCCCGGCTAAAACGGTGAAACCCCGTCTCTACTAAAAATACAAAAAATTAGCCGGGCGTAGTGGCGGGCGCCTGTAGTCCCAGCTACTTGGGAGGCTGAGGCAGGAGAATGGCGTGAACCCGGGAGGCGGAGCTTGCAGTGAGCCGAGATCCAGCCACTGCACTCCAGCCTGGGCGCCAGAGCGAGACTCCGTCTCAAAAAAAAAAAAAAAAAAAAAAAAAAAAAGACAACACTGCTGGGCGCGGTGGCTCACGCTTGTAATCTCAGCACTTTGGGAGGCCAAGGCGGACAGATCACGAGGTCAAGACATCAAGGGCCTCCTTGTCAACGTGGGGAAACTCCGTCTCTACTAAAAATACAAAAATTACCTGGGTGTGGCAGCATGCGCCTGTAGTTCCAGCTACTCGAGAGGCTGAGGCAGGGGAATCGCTTGAAGCCAGGAGGCTGAGGTTGCAGTGAGCCGAGATCACACCATTGCAATCCAGCCCGGCGACAGAGTGAGAATCGGTCTAAAAAAAAAAAAAAAAGACAATACTAAATTATAAATATAAAATTAGGTACAAAATCAAGTACTTGTTTATAATGAGAAAATAAATAAATTACAAAATAATTACAAACAAAAAACCAAATACCAGAAGCTTTATACATTAAAAAACATATATTTACCTGCTATGCCTATAAAATTATTTTTCTGTCTTTTTTGCTGCATTTTCTTTGATTACATTTAATCTTACATTAATTTTATAATATCATATCTCAGAGGGTAGAAAAGTAATTCTTTCCTTTCTTAGTATAGTGGAGCCTTACTTAAAAAAATTGTTGACAAGCTGGACACAAACTTATGATTTCATGCACAGAATTATTCACTGCTAGTAGTAATAGTGATAATGTCCATAAAAAAGACAAAAATATATTGTGTTTATATATACACCACATTATTTACTATATTACAGAAAGGAGAGAATTTCGGTGTTGACTAGGCTTCTATGAAGAAACAAATTCTCTGCTTGTACTTTTACATTTGATAATTGGAAAATGAAATCTCATATACTTATTTCTAACTTCGTGAAATACCAATTTTCTTATTTCTCCATAACCCATATTCTCTGAAGCCAGTTGCTACAGGCCACATTTCTATTGCATAACAGTGGGCTAATTGGCACAGAGGGCTGTAGAATATTCTGGGAAGCATTTCTGCACTGGCATGGCTAACAACAACTTAGCTATAAATTGTGAGTCACACTGTTATATTTCATTAAGCTTAAACTAAATGTGTCTCCAACTCAACTTTCCCTTAGCCAAATGCCAGAAATGGTGTGGCAATTCTAATTCCACTTAACATGAATATAAAATGTGATGAAGAGGAAGTTAGTGAAGACAGTGATTTTAATAAAGTGAGTATGCAATATCCTATGTTTGCATATGTTGTGTATCAGGGAACCTGCCCCAATAGTCATGTAGGTTCTTTTCTATTTTCCCTAAGCATCAGCCGGTTTGAGAAATAAAGGGACAGAGTACAAAAGAGAGAAATTTTAAAACTGGGCATCCGGGGGAGACATCACATGTCGGTAGGTTCCGTGATGCCCCACAAGCCACAAAACCAGCAAGTTTTTATTAGGGATTTTCAAAAGGGGAGGGAGTGTATGAATAGGGCGTGGGTCACAAAGATCAGGTACTTCACAAGGTAATAGAATATCACAAGGCAAATGGAGGCAGGGTGAGATCACAGGACCACAGGACCGGGGTGAAATTAAAATTGCTAATGAGGTTTCGGGCACCATTGTCATTGATAACATCTTATCAGGAGACGGGGTTTTGAGAGCAACCGGTCTGACCAAAATTTATTAGCTGGCAATTTCCACTTCCTAATAAGCCTGGAAGCACTATGGGAGACTGGGGTTTATTTCATCCCTACAGTTTCGACCATAGAAAACGGCCACACCCAAGGGGGCCAACTATAGACCCACCCTCAGGCACATATTCTCTTTCCCAGGGATGTTCCTTGATGAGAAAAAAAATTCAGTGATATTTCTCCCATTTGCTTTTGAAAGAAGAGAAATATGGCTCTGTTCCGCCCGGCTCACCGGCGGTCAGAGTTTAAGGTTATCTCTCTTGTTTCCTAAACATTGCTATTATCCTGTCCTTTTTTCAAGGTGCCCAGATTTCATATTGTTTAAACACACTTGCTCTACAATTTATGCAGTTAACGCAATTATCACAGGGTCCTGAGGCGACACACATCCTCCCCGGCTTACAAGATGACAGGATTAAGAGATTAAAGTAAAGACAGGCATAGGAAATCACAAGCTTATTGATTGGGGAAGTGATAAATGTCCATGAAATCTTCACAATTTATGTTTAGAGGCTGCAGTAAAGACAGGCATAAGAAATTATAAAAGTATTAATTTGGGGATCTAATAAAAGTCCATGAAATCTTCACAATCCATGTTCTTCTGCCATGGCTTCAGCCAGTCCTTCCGTTTGGGGTCCCTGACTTCCCGCAACAGTTGTGAATATATCTATTTGTAAAATCCATATGAACACATTACTAGGTTCCCTCCTAGGGGCTTTGAAATGGACTCCGTGAAAGTGGGGGAAAATGAAGCCTAAATTTGACTAACTTTGTATTAAACCTGCCCCAATCCCTGTCTTTCTAGCTATTGGTGGCATTTACCTAATTATGTGCCTCTGAACACTTAATCTATTGCTACTTATTTTAGCCTTTTATTTATGTCAAAATCTCACAAATACAAACCATATCCTCTACTAGTCCTGGTAAACTCAGTTATACTGTGGAATTAAACCCTCGCAAAACTTCAGTGGCTTAAGACAACAAAAGTTATTTTATGTTGGTTGACAGGATTGAGGAGGCGTTAGTTTATTTTCCCATCCTGTTTTGTAAGGGACCTAGCTGATAAAGGTCTATCTCAACAGGTGCTTCCACAATCACTGAATCACTGTAGCAGGGGAAAGAGCACCCTGGAGTTTATCACACTGGGAATTAATTGTTACATCTTGGAAATAACATGATATTTCCCCTCTTTTCTCTATAGCTAATGCTAGAAATGCCCATACTCAAGGGACTCAACAGGCTCAGTGTTCTATATGCCTAGAAAGAGTAGAAACTACTTATCAGTGAGCAGCATAACCTCCCCCGCCAAAATATAACAAGCATCTCAGATGTACCATGTCAACACCTGATCACCTGGGATACCCATAACAGTTATACCCCCTGCAATGCATGCGGTTGTTTCAACACATCTTATTGCCTACCATATTTTATTATGGAAAATAATCATAACGAAATTTTTTTATTTATTAGCTGCATTATTATGAAACATTATTTGTAACATCTCACTACTTATGATATAGTAAAAATTAATATGAATTTTAACTGAAATATGATATAAACTCAAATACTGCATAATGAAGAAAAACATGTAGAGAATTTTTTTTTCATAATGGTAGAGATGATACGTTGTCCCCCACATCAGAGAATCAGCTAATAGCAGATATGAAAAATTCCAGTATACTTACTCTAAATTAAGTTCTTTTTAAAAATTATGTACTTTTGTTCTAGTTTCTTCACGAAGAACTTGACCAAATAGCGATAAGTACTTCAACAAAAATTTCTTTTTTTAGTTTACAATGCATTATTTCTTAAATTGAACGAATCTTGTTTTATATCTTTTGGCATATTTTTCGTTTCTCTGTTACCTTGCATTTTTTCTCTTTCAATTATTTTAAAAGGATACTTGTATTTTTATTAGCTGATTTATTTAGACCTCCCAATATGACCTGTTTTGGAAATATAAAAAGGAATAAAGCATAACTTCTGCTGGCAAGAACATTACTATTAGAATTGAGACCAAAAAAATAACAGAGAATGGAAGCAGGGTATTTAAAAAAGAGAATATTAATATATAATAGCATGATTGTCTGAGAGTACATTATTGAAGGATCATTGCCAATATACTGAATTTTAATAAAATTGGAATTCAGAATATATATGCTTTGTCAGGGAGACTGGCCTCATAGCAGGATGAGAAGGCTGGTGATAGACAAAATAGAAAAAGTGTGCAGTGGCCAAACTATGAATAATTATTTTTACCACAAAGAAGTAATCAACTCTATCCTGCATATAGTGGGAACGGTTGAAAGAAATACCACTATTGAATTATCTCCTTCTTGTTGTATTATAATGCATTTATATTCTATGTTTTTGTTCATTTGTTCGTTTGGTTTTGAGATTGAGTCTCGCTCTGTCACCAGGCTGGAGTGTAGTGGTGCAATCTCGGCTCACTGCAACCTCCACCTCCTGGGTTTAAGCCATCATCCTGCCTCAGCCTCCTGAGTAGCTGGGACTACAGGTGCATGCCACCACACCCAGCTAATTTTTGTATTTTTTGTAGAGATGGGGTTTCACCATGTTGGGCAGGATGATCTTGATCTCTTGACCCCGTGAGCCTCCTGCCTCGGACTTCCAAAGTGCTGGGACTACAGGCGTGAACCACCTGCCTGCTATGTTCTATCTTTTAATATTCCATGAATGCCTAAGCCATTTTATGACTTTTATACAAATGCTATATTTTTATAATAGTCCTCTTATGTTTTTGCCTATTTAATACTATTTCTTTATTGAACTGTCTTCTATGGTGTGACATTTCTATAAATATTATTTTCCCTTCATGGTTATTTTACATTAACCTGCTTTTACTTTTACTTTTTACAATCAATAGTTCACAAAGCAATTATGTTACACTTTGTTTTAGATGAATTAATACAGTAGTAATTCAGTAACTACCATATTAATAATTTATATATATTATGTAAAAATAGAGCCTCTACAAAGAATTTAATACAGAAGGTAGTTCATAATTCTTAGAAGAGAAACATACAGTGCTGAACATATTAGCATTTACTACATTTAAATGGAGTGCCTACATTGTGTAACATAGCTAGCTAGGCACTACAATTCAGGAAAAAATATAAGTGAGACAGTCTATAATTTCCAGGAATATTCAGAAACATATCTTTAGTATGTCAAATTGATTAGATAATTTAAAATGCTATACTTTTATTTATAACAACTATTTTTATTTTTCACTCCAACCATTCTATTTTTATGCTTTATTTCCTTATTATAAAAACATGGAGCCTTATTCATAAAACCGATAAGAAACAGTTTTGCAGAGCCATGCAATTGATTCAGGCTCACTACATGTGCTATAATAACTGTGAATGTTTGCCAAGTAATAGCGGGTTCTGTTCAGGTTACCTATTTTCACTGAAAAAAAAAAAAAAAACAGCTTTAGTATGACAATGGCTTTAACAACAAGTACACAAATCAAATCCTTAATATAAATCTTTATCTTGGAGATTTTAAAAATTACACTGGAATAAAATAGGGGCTATTAATATCTAGTCCAGTTATATTTGTGTTTATTAAGGCTTTGCCAATGTAATAGCATAAAATTTGCGACCAGAAAAATCTGCCTGGTGGACAGGTTCTGCCTGTTAAAAATGAAGATAGGTAGAGTAAGCTATTCATTTTCTTTAGCCTTATTTTTATCATACACTGATATAGTTTGAATATTCATCTCTACCAAAATCTCACTTTGAATTGTAATTTCCCATACTGGAGGTGGGTCCTGGTGGGAGGCATTTGGAAAATGGGGGCAGATCCTTATGTCTTGATGCTTTTTGTGATAGTGAGTTTTAGTGAAATCTGGTCATTTAAAAGTGTGTAGCAACCCCCCACCCCCAACTATTCCTCTCTTCCTTGCTCCTGCTTTCACCATGTGACCTATCTACTTCCCCTTCGCCTTCTGCCATAAGTGAAAGCTTTCTGAGGCCTTGCTAGAAGCCAAGCATATGCCAGCATCGTGCTTCCTGTAAAGCCTGCATAATCATAAGCCAACTTAATCTCTTTTCTTTGTAAATTACCAAGTCTCAGGTATTTATTTATAGCAATACAAGAATAGCCTAATACATACAGAAAATGAATTTTAATATTAGAACTTATGGAATCACTGTGAGAATTAAATGAGATAATACATATATAGAATAATGCCTGGCATGAAGTTATATAGTCAATAAATGTGAGTTATTATTATTATTATTGCTGTTGTTATTATCACTATTATACTAGAAAATAGAAAATTAAAATAGTAAAAAAATTCAAATCAATTCAATACCCATTGTAAACATTGTTGATAATATTATATTAGTTTAAATTACAGGCTGTTTGAACACATAAACAATTTAATATAGTGGAAAATAATCATATTGAAACTGAAAACTCACTAGGCTTATTAAATGGTTCACTTGAAAAATTCAACCAAAAGTCTACATGCAAAGTTAAGACTGAAACCTATTTAGAATTAATTTAATGTAAGCTTTATATTTTTGGTTCTAACTATGGAAACTATATTTAAATGTGAATTTATTGAAAGAATAGAAAATTATAGTCGTGGAACAAAAAAGGTCCCTATATAACTGAACTAAGGAAGAAGAGTTCTGGGGATATCTGAAGGTGAAACTAATGAACACTCTATGTCTGGAATAATCAGCTACAACACTTTGTTGTGTTTTTTGGAACTTGTCAAGATTTAAATTCTAGACAGAGAGTAACTGATTCTTCTAATTTCTCCCACTATAAGATACAATGACTGAATATCTTTCCAAGATCAAACTGGAATGCTATTACCAGAAACAGAGGAAATGGCACATACCACAGATTGTCAGATCTATCCCCTACCTCCACTGAGACCTTAATCCAGAGCTGGTATAATATAGCTTTTTTCCCCAAGCTTCTGTTCCCATTTCTCTTCAGCATGTTGACCCTTCTTATGCCATATTACTTGAGCAGATATTCTCATGTTTAAACTATAGACTGGTATCTGACATGAAGTGAATCAAGGGCATTTACTGAGCTGGAAACAACTGTAAACATATATCTACTCAATAACTACAATGTATACATAACTGGTATTCACAATTCTAAACATACCTTATAACACAATGTGCTCAATTATTTGGTTACTGAATGAGAATAAGCAGATTGATTTTCTGGTCATTATTTTTATTTCTTCCTAAATATTTGAATGTGATTCTTTTAAATCTCACAAAACAAATAACAAAGAGTTTAGTGCATAGAAATATGGGAGGATTTTACAGGATTCACAATCTTTTGGACCTAACCAGCTTATGGAAACTTGTGTATGATAGAATCGGTAATCTTTGATTTAAACACAACAATTATATTCTTTCTCAATGCAGATAATTCTCAGGATTTGGCATTTATGGATGGTACCAAATTTGTGATGGAGCAGCCGCCATACATACCAGCAAGGATATTCTTATGAAAGAAAGAACTCATGAAAATGTACCCTTGAGAGATGCATGATTCCCTCTTGAACAGTGCTTTTCCTCTGTGTGGTGATTTCTCCACAGTGTTCAGATTCTTTTTCAGGTATACACGTTTCATACTATATATGTGATTCACAACTGATCATTGCCACTTTCATGTTACTCTGTGAACTGAACATCCTATTATATTTGAAAACTTTGATATAAGATTATTACCAGACCAAGCACAATTTTAGACTATATAGATGTCATAAAGCAGTGGTGCCCAACATTTTTGGCACCAGGGATCAGTGTCAACGAAGACAGTTTTTCCACAGACAGCAAAGGGGTGGATGGTTTCAGGATGATTCACCCACATTACATTTATTGTGCACTTCATTGCCGGGTCTGTCCGCAGACCCTGGCCAAGTGACAGAAGAAAGGAGTATTAGACACAGGTATGCAGTGTAAGAGCAGTTAGGGGACCGCCCAGCACTAGTGGCCAGAGAGGCAGCCTCAAGGAGCTGGCGCTGCTTGCTTTTATTCAGTACAGGCATACTGCCAGAAGCCTGGAACAAACACAGTCTGCAGGTAATTAACATTTATTGTTCCCCTTTGAGAGAACGGGTCACGTGCGCAGATGATCAAAGATCAGCTCCTGGTCAACATAAGTAAACAAGCCTGTTAAAGATAAATGCTCAAATACTTTCTCGTACCTACTCCTTGCCCTCTGCCTCTGTCTTCAGGTTGAAATGAAGGAAAAAATGTTAAGGGTAGCCAGAGAGAAAGATTGGGTTGCCCACAAAGGGAAGCCCATCAGACTAACAGCGGATCTCTCTGCAGAAACCCTACAAGCCAGAAGAGAGTGTGTAGGGCGGGGGGAATATTCAACATTCTTAAGTAAGTAAGTATGTATGTATGTATGTATGTATGTATGTATGTATGTATGCATGTATTTTTTGAGATGGCGTCTCACTCTGTCGCAGGCTGGAGTGCAGTGGCGCAACCTCGGCTCACTGCAATTTCTGCCTCCCAGGTTCAAGCAATTCTCATGTCCCAACCTCCCAAGTAGCTGGGATTATAGGCACCCACCGCCACACCAGTCTAATTTTTGTATTTTTAATAGAGACAGGGTTTCACACAGACTGGCAAATTGGATAAAGACTCAAGCCCCATTGGTGTGCTGTATTCAGGAGACCCATCCTCCTTGCAAAGACACACATAGGCTCAAAATAAAGGGATTCAGGAATATTCACCAAGCAAATGGAAAGAAAAAAAAAACAGGGGTTGCAATCCTAGTCTCTGATAAAACAGACTTTAAACCAACACAGATCAAAATAGGCAAAGAAGGGCATTACATAATGGTAAGGGGATCAGTGCAACATGAAAAGCTAACTATCCTAAATATGATTATTCCAAGGTGTATTGCTGATACTGAGATGAAGTAGTCTATCTTAAATTGTTTTATAAACTATAAAGTATAAAACTATAAATGTGGCCAGGCGTGGTGGCTAATGCTTATAGCCCCAGTGCTTTGGGAGGCCAAGGTGGGAGGATCATGTGAGCCCAGGAGTTCAATACCAGCCTGGGCAACACATTGAGACCCAATCTCTACAAAAAAATTAAAAATTAGCTGATGATGTGCTACATGTCTGTGGTACCAACTACCAAAGAGGCTGAGGTTAGAGGATCACTGGAGCCCAGGAGTTTGAGGCTGCAGAGAGCCATGATCGCGCCACTGCCCTCTAGCCTGGGTGATAGAGTGAGACCCTGTTACAAAAAAATAAAGCAAAACAACAAAAGCTATGAATGCTCATTTATTTATTTCAAAATTATTTATTAGAGTTATATGTAATGTAATGTGAAATTAAAAATATATTCTGAGAAGCCAACGTGACATGTGTGAGTGTCATCAAATCTCGGCTATGCTGAACTTCTTGCTTCAATTGTTTATACTTCTGAAATTTTTAATTTGACTTCAGGTAACATTACAGTTTATCCATTTTTAAGAATTACCTGGCAAATGTGTAAACTACTGTGTTAGGATTAATAGAAATATGATGACCGAAGAAAATGTGGAGAAAGTTGAGGCTATCTAAAATGACTATCCTCTGAGACTACTTCTGGCTGAGTTTCCACTCCTCAAGAGCATGAAGTTTTGGAGAAAGAGCGTGTCAACACATGTATCATTTTCTGGATTTAGCCAAATGTCTAATGTAAGTTTACTCATTGAGGGTCTTTGGAAGTTTTTCTATTTTTCTAAACTGTTTTTTAAAAACTGCATATGGCAGAGTCATATGCAGGATATGAGCTGTCTTTCTTTTGAACTATTATTACATTACTCTACCATAGCACTTTCCTCAGTGTATCCTAATGGTTTGCTTACTATCTTGTCACTCTCATTAGACAGAGAGTTGCTAGGAAAACATCATTTTTCCATCCAGCCTGCAGCGCAGGGCTTGTTAATACCTTCTGTATTCTTCAAATTAAATTGAATAACACTTTGTATCTTGCTGGTCACAACTTACAGACATTCTGTACCATAATATGTATTTGTTTTTTTTCTACTAGCATATTATAAATTACTTGAAATATGGAGCTATAACTTTATTCTCTTATTGTCATGGTGTAATAAAGTAAAATATTTGGGGAGGTGAGTGCTGGATGGTGCTAGAGACATTTTTTTTTTTTCTGTTTCTGCATAATACCATTGCAACATTCTTAGCTTTCTTTTTTTTTTTTTTTTTTTTGCCACTTAATCCTCTTTCTTTATAAATTACCCAGTCTCTGGTATTTCTTTTTTTTTTTGAATTTTTTTTTAATTTAATTTTATTATTATTATACTTTAAGTTTTAGGGTACATGTGCACAATGTGCAGGTTAGTTACATATGTATACATGTGCCATGCTGCACCCACTAACTCGTCATTTAGCATTAGTAACATTCTTAGTTTTCTTATCACTGGGAACTTGATGACCCAGATCTGACAACTACTTGGATTTCTAACCAAGTGAAAGAAAAGGAGAAATTAATGAAAGAAGAAAGGAATAAGTGGGCTAAACGAGATGCATAGAAATAGATTAGGATACGTCTATGTCTGTTGGGTAATAGGGCAAGGAAACATTTGTTTTGGCCAAAGTTTCAAATAATTAGTTAATGAGAAAGAAGCCATAGATAGCAATCTCCAAAATACCAAACTGAATAGATACAATGAAGAATATAACAAGCCACAGAAATCCACCTGTCAATGTGAACAAGAATGTCTCAGGTGGACACATAAACTTATTGAATTATAGAGGCATAGATGGCATGTCATTAGTTGTATTATGAAAAAAGATCATAGTTTGTATTTTTTTAATCTTGACATAAATTTCATATTTTATAGATAACAGTTATTATTATTTTGAAATATATAAATAACTGATTACATGTTCTACTGATGATTCTACAATATTTGGGAGCATCAGTTTTGGGTTTTATACATGTTTTGTAAATTTTGAGTAGAGTGCTCTTTACTCACATACTCAATTCAATATTCAAAAGGGGGGCTCTAAATTTGTTTCTGTATTTATATAATTATTTCTGAAGGATTTAATGATATATATTTTTTCCTCTTTTCAGTAAGATTTTAAACTAGTCACCTTTACGTCACCAGATGTAATCGGGAGAAGGATAGGTATCTGTCTCAGAAAAAATCAGACATTAATTCTTAAATTAGGTATCTAGGTTCTAGGGCTATTCTGTATATGGCATAATAGTGACTGGGATGTGAACTCTCTCTCTGGAAGGATTAAAGTCAGGATTAAGGTAAGGATTAAGGTTTTAACCCCTGTCTCATCTTCAAGATAAAGCAAGTAGCCTTAAGTGTTTCTGGGGTTTCTCCTAGCACAAAAATTTATAAATCTATGGTGAAAATGGGGAGAGAGTAGTGTCTTCAAACAAGAGCTAAATGTATTGATGATTAAGAACTATCATGGCTGAGTACAGTGGCTCAAGCTTGTAATCCTGACATTTTGGGATGACAGGACAGGAGGATTGCTTGGTCCCAGGAGTTTGAGACAGGCCTGGACAACATTGTGATACCCCATCTCTCATTTTTTTTTTTTTTTTTTTTTTTTTTTAGTTAGGCCTGATGCACTCCGGTAGTCCCAGCTACTCTGGAGGCTGGGGCAAGAGGATTACTTGAACCCAGGAAGTCAGCGCCGCAGTGAGCTATGATGGCACCACACTGCACTCCAGCCTGGGTCTTGAGTGACAGTATTAGAGTGTGTTAAAAAAAAAAAGAATCAGGATTTAAGGGCTCCCTAATCATACATTTGGACAGAGTGTAAAGGGCATCTATGCATCTGCTTTCTATTTCCTTTTGCTATCGGGACTACTATTATTTTACATGTATTGATTTACTTGGACATTTTTATTGGGTATCATTCTTAAACTCGAATTAACAATGATCACTTTCTGTTTTCATTTTTTACTCCTTGTGTTACTTAAAAATTGTCCTTTTTTATTAATATCTGAATCTGAACATACCATTTGATACTGAATATGAATTGCATTGTTTGTAAGTATAACTAGAAACATGCTCCTTCTCATAGTTTTTGTTGTGATTGTCTCAATAAATTTTGTATGTTAATGTGCTTTGCAAACCATAAGAAACTATGTATTACTTGTATTATTATCTCGGAATTTAGAGGCAGCAGTTTTTCATGTTGCATGTTCATTTCTTTCCACATGGCAAATTCAGGATTTGGGACTAGGCTGGCTGCCCTCCAGGACATCATTAGTAGTGACCTTGTCATTTAATGTTAACCATGTACCTCATTCGTACATGGTTGAAAATGGCTGAAAGCCAGTGCAAGTGAAGCATTGAAAACCAGGTGAGATAGGCAGGTGCAGTCCCCATTTCCCATGTCTGTCAAAATAATGCTCAGATCTTCAGCTTACCAGATCTGTTTCATTATTTTTGTACAGAACTGAAAGTATCTTCCCAATTCTTTCTTTCTCAGATATTGTCTGGCCCAGAGAAACCAATTTCTAAAAATGTTAGATATGCAGCATTTCAAGGATCAACTAATCTTTACATGATTAGTGAATTCTGCTTCAATAACATAAATCTAGTTTTTTACTACATGAAGAAAAAAATGTAAAGAATGAAGAAATAAAATGTGTACCAATGATTTAATTCTTATTTAATAAACAGTTACCAAACTGGTGCTTTCAGGATTGCGATCTAAGTTTTAATGGATCAAATTTCTTTCCAATTCTTGTTTCATTTTATTCATATGCTTTAGTTACAGAGATAGTGTTGTTTTTTCTCATGTGCTTGGACATATTTCCATTTACTTTTGTACTTAACACTGTCAAAATGTAAATGTTTTTAGTGTATCTCATTTGACATCATATTTAAAAGGTAAATGCTACATCAAAAATGATATAATTTTTATTTATTCCTGTAGTTATTATTAAAGCCAGACTAAATGGGAATAACATTTTTTTAGTCAAGCACTGTATGTCAATAAAACAAATCATTCTCAGATCCTTAGAAAACACATAGTTCTGGAAGACTTTATGAAAAATACAAGGAACTCCTGCCTTTATAACAAGTTAGTTTAAAATACTAATCAGTAGAAAACCTTAAGTTTATAGCAAGTTTTTTAAATACCTGGGAAAGAGAGAAAATCTCTTTGAGAGACGGCAGCTGAATTCCCATTTCAATTGTACTTAACTGACAAGTTGTGTAAATTAAAGTACAAAAGAGTTATCTCTAGAGATTGCCACATTTCTTAACATACTTTAAAATTGATATCTCATAAATAGTTTCTGCATAACTTCCTTGAAGAACATGCATTAAAGCACCAATATAATATATGAATGTAAAAAAAGTCTTGCATTAAATGAAGCGGTTGCAAAAAAAATCAAACATTTGGAGAAAGTTGTTCTAGGAAAAAAATGAAGAGATAGTAACAATTAATATTTGTTCTTTTCAGATAGTGCTTTCAATTATTCTAGTTAAGGAGAAATATGTTAAGCAAGTAAACAAATGTATTTCATAAAAAACAATTGTTGGGTTGGGTACCAACTGATCTCTCATGTAAATGTTTTCCTACATGCATAATTTTTGGTTTTGTTTTGTTTTTGTAAATCTAAAAACTCTAGCATATCTATATATAGCACATATATAGCATATGTAGCATATATATAGCATATATATAGCATATATAGAGCATATATATAGCGTATATATATAGCATATATATAGCATATATACAGCATGTATAGCATATATACAGCATATATAGCATATATACAGCATATATATAGCATATATACAGCATATATATATAGCATATATATATGTGCTAGGACAAAAATATCATCTATATATCTGCTATTAATTGATAATAATAATATTATATATATTACATATATATAGGCATACGCATGCAAATGCATGTTCATGTGTGAGTTCATGCATGTGTGTGTCTGTTCAAAGGAAAGACAAATTTACTCTATGAAACTTGCATGGAATGATGGTCTCCACCAACTTAGAATTCTTACAGTCTGAAGTTTGACAGCTGTTGGAACTGATCCTAGATTCAGGTATTAAACAAGTTTTGTTAAATTGACTAAAATTAATTTTACAAAATGAATTTGCATTTAGTTGAGCTTGTATTCTTCAGTTGGCCACCAACACCATCACACCTTGCTATGTTACATATTTTCCCTATATATTAAAACTAACTGTCAATTCCCTGGAGGCATTTGATTTATGTCTTCTGTTTCTGATTTATGCTTCTAGAAGAACAGCAGGAGATTATCTTCTAAAAATTAGCAGAAAAATTATATTGTCAGTAATAAAATAAAATATTCCAGATTCTGCTTTGGATAGCTAAAAGTCTTCTAAAAATTATGAGTGGAGAATTCAGAGCTAAATAATGACTTATTACAATCGTATAATACCTGCCTTGTGCCTGCAATGCATACCAATAATAAATCACATTTTGTGGTAAAATTACTGTCAAAACTTCATAGAATAATGGTCATTATGTCAAAAAAATAGACTAAGCAATAAATTTCTACACAATTGTGATAATACTTAATCAGGTGAAAATACACATACATATATGTATTTATACATATACACATAAATGTATATATACCCATATATATATGCACAAACACACACAAAAGCTGGTTAAGTCATATAAACATGAGAATAAAAAAATACAGAGAAAATATAGAAACAAACATAGAAATATGTAAAAGACATCAACAGTCAATTTATAAAAATGCAAAATGATGAATAAACAAATATATTTTATTATTACTAATAAATAATAAATTTCAGAAGCTAGACTTATTTTGGCTAATAAGATTAGCAATATTTAAAATGTATTTTTAGAAAATACAGATGACAGTGTCACTTTGTAGACAATTTTTGTATAATAACAGGGATATATACTAGCACAATTTTTTGATGACAACTTTGTGACAGGCCTGCAAATGTGATATATGGATGTCTTTAGACCCAGAATTTTACTTCTGAGAATGTGACTTAAGGAAAAAATTAGGTAAATGTACAAAGATGGATTGCAAGGATGTTCATCATGATGTTGGACAAATAGCCCCATGTTGTCTTTTGAAAAGGAGTAAATTATGTCAAATTACATAGTGAAATATTAAAAGAATATTGAAATAATGATACCCAGTCAGTCCTATAACACACATTTATAACATTTACTAAATCATAGGTATATTCTAAGAACTGGTGTTTTTCTGGTTGGAAGAAAAGTATTAAAGTAGCTGACCTAATTTTCTCTCCTGATTACTGGAGCAAAGCCCCAGAAGAAAGTCAGTGGCCCAGTCTAATCTTGTAAATATGTTGATAAGCAGACTCCCTAATAAATAGACTAAAAAGATTTGCTATGAAAAGGAAACTTACATGGAATTATTTTAGCAGGTTATCCCCAGGTAAGATAGCTCGTGATAAACAAACCAAGAACCTCTAAATGTATCAAGCATAGGTTCCTGGAAAATGTCAGTTTAGCTACACAAACAATGCTTTGGTGTATAACTTGATGTTCTAAACGGAATGGTTCCTGTAAGAGGTAACCCACGAACTTCACTTAGAGAACTGATTTATTACTCTGAGTCTGAGAAAGTGTTTATCACGTGAAAATTAAGGACCCAGGAAGCCACCATCAAAGTCCCACATCTTCTTTTCATTTGCTCATGACAGTAAATTTTTTCTGCCATTGATGCAACGTGTTATATTTGATTTATTTAAATCTGATTTTGAAATATGTTCCTTTGTGTTAGGTCAATGGTGAACGAAACAAGTTTTATAAATGAAAGTGTGTTTCTCTTTCAGTGAAAGAGATAGAAAAATTCGTAGACAAATTAAGAAATAATACAACTTCAAACAAACACTTTTAAGTGCTAATAAAATTAAAAGAGAGCAGTATAGTAGAAGATAACAATGTGAAATAGAGGACTACTTCAGCGAGTTTGGTCAGGAAAGGCTTCTGAGAGGAGTTGACATTTGCGTAGGGATCTGAATATTAAGAAAGAGGTCATAGAGAAAGCATGATAAAGAGCCTTGTGAAAATTTTGAGACAGATTTTAAACAGGAGGAAAAGCAAACTCTGAGATCTGTTCCAGTGGTGTCTAATCGTTTGGTTTAAAATATCCTTTACCCTACAAATTACTGACGACCTCAAAGAACTTTTGATTTGGGGGCTATTTTTACATGTTGAGCATCCCTAATCAGAAAATCCAAAATCTGAAATGTGCCAAAATTCCAAACGTTTCCAGTATGAACATGATGTCACAAACAGGAAATTCCACGCTTGACCTCATAGGATGGGTTGCAAAATGCAGTAAAAACTTTGTTTCCTGTGCAAAAGTATTTAAAATATGATATAAAATTACCTTTAGGCTCTGTGTATAAGGTGTATACGAAACATAAATTTAGTACTTAGACTTGGGTCTCATCCCAAAATTACCTGATTATGTATATGAAAATATTTTAATATAAAAATTCAAAACACTTCTGATTCCAAGCATGTTGGATAAGGGATAATGAATCTGTATTAATATTTGCCATATTAGAAATTAAAATGGATAATTTAAAAATATAGTAGTTTAACAATGCATTTAAATACAACAATAAACCCCTTACATGTTTACATAAATGACATTTTAATTTAATGATGACATTATCCAAGACAATAATAACAACAAAAGGATGGAGAAGAATGCTCTTGTGGTTTATTGGTACAATATACTTTAACAATAGATGTCTTAGTTCTTATATTTGCTTCTGCCTTCAATCTGTTTGGTATCATAGTTTATGTAGACTCTGGAAAATGCCACTTTATATTTGTGAAAGAATGTCACTACCAAGCATATAAAGTCCTATTATTATTATAAAAAAATAAGTTGACTTTGTGGACCCCTTGAACATGTCTTGGTGACCTCCAGGGTTTGGCAGACCATAATTTAAAATCAGCAATGCTGAAAATTAGCTTAATTTATTTAAGGAATGGACACAAGATGATTTAGCAACATGATTTAGGTAACATGAGAGAGTGAGAGGTGAGGTATAAGAGCACATGAGGTCGGAGATGTAAGTAGGAGCAGATCATTTATAACCATGTAGATAATGATAAGGAATTCAGATTTTTGTTTCAAATGAAAGCTGTTGGGTGATTTTGAGAAGAGAAGTGATATAATTTGATTCATACCTACGAAGTCAACTATGATTTGTTTTGGGAGAATTTAGGCTGGAGGAGGGTAAAGATTAGAAAAGGGATATTAGCTAAGAGACTTCTCAATTGTAGGCAAAAGGTGATCATTGCTAAAGAAAACAGGTAACTAACACTTGTTAGTCTGGTCACACTGACATTTCATGAAAGCAGCATGACATTCTTGCGGGGGACATGTCTCTTCTGCTTAAATTGTATTTATCCGGGTGATGATGCCAGTCATAGCAGGGCTGTGAAGTTGCCGAGTATGGTAACCTTTTCATGCATTGAGTCCAGTAAGAAATGGATATATGCAGAGGACATCCCAGAGAAGACTTGGACAAAAAGTCCTGGAAAGCAGTCACTCACCAAATTGCAGTTATGCAGTCACAAACCGAATTGCAGTTATCCTAAGAAACAGCTGTCCATGCTGATTTTCTAGGGATTTGATGGAATTAATAAATTATTCTTTACATTCACATCACCCAGATGAGTGGTTATCATATTCAGACAGAAGAATTTTGATTAATACATGTTTACAATAAGAATACAATCCAATAAGAAATAATACGATCATTTATTTTTGTTAATATGAAAAGAGGTACACAATATTATGTCAAGTTAATCTGGATAGAGGGTTGAATATATTATGATTTGGGGTTTATTATTTAAAAAATAAAACACACTAAGTCTTTCAGCATTTTCACAATGATATCAATAGGGTGGGTCAATTACAAATAAAAAATAATTAAAGAAAGTGGTTACCTTCACATGGTAAGATTACATTTGTTTTTTTTTTTTCTTATAATTTTCTGGAATTTTACAACAAATAATAAACTAATTATTTTATAATAAAAACTGTAAAACATTTGAAACATTTCTTATATTAATTATAACATATTTTGGTCTTAAAATTTAAAAAATACAATAACATATCTTTTTGCACTAAAGTTCAGGTTTTATACATTCATAAAACCTAATTTAAAAGAAATGTCCAAGCAAACTTTCCCATTTTTAGAAACAGCATATTTTTTTTTTTTTTTTTTTTTTTGAGATAGAGTCTCACTCTTGTTGCACATGCTGGAGTGCAATGTTGTGATCTTGGCTCACCGCAACCTCTGCCTCCCGGGTTCAAGCGATTCTCCTGCCTCAGCCTCCTGAGTAGCTGGGATTACAGGCATGCACCAACATGCCTGGCTAATTTTGTATTTTTAGTAGAGATGGGGTTTCTCCATGTTGGTCAGGCTGGACTTGAACTCCCAACCTCAGGTGATCCGCCCACCTCGTCCTCTCAAAGTGCTGGGATTACAGGTGTGAGCCACCGCGCCCAGCCCGATATATCTTTTCACAAGACAAACATCATCTGTGAAGAAAAAATATAAAATAAATATATTTTTACAGTCTTTTTTTATTTAAAAATTATCTACAAATAGTTTAAATTTATTTAGCAACCATAATAAAAATGTATTAAGTACTTTTTTGAAATATGAATCCCTAATCTATGAAGTACTATGCTAAAAAGCTAAAAAACTCACATTAAATTATGAATAAACTGAAATATACTTGATTATTTATAATGATGGGATTCACAATCAGCACACAGTTCAGTAAACTTTTTGAGTCATTGTGCACACATTCTAATCTGAGCTGGGTGTGTTAATGGTTTCAGCCACATTATGAATGCTCCATTACAGAATATAACAAAGACTTGACTACAGATAAGTAAGCTTTATTGAACAGAAATGACTTGTCACATATAGTGTCCTCGAAGTTCTATTATATGTATAACTTCTTGTGTTCACAATGTTTCTGAACATTTTCATTTAGGTCTAAACCAAGTGAAACATATACTTTTCCACTTTATGGTCACAATATTACATTTTATTCAAATACTTGTAATTTCTACTCAAGTTGTATTTGGAAATGTACATTTTAACTTTAATAAGATGCACTACTGACAATGTGATATGTCATATAACCAAAAGCCAATTAACTCTTAGATATCTATCATTGTGTTTCATGATATAGTTAGCATTACATATCTGGCAAATTTCCAAATACAAGAGACCCTGTTACATATATTCCAAACGTAGAGACACATTTTCTGAATTTTTCTAAGACAAATTAAAAACCTGCAAATGAAAATACATCATTCACAAGCTCTCAGTAGAAATCCAGTAGGTGGAGATGTGTCAGTTTCTTGTCTGTAGTCACCAATTTGAATAATTTGTCTTGCTTAGCTGTTTTTCAATGGGCATATGCATTTTGGTTGTATTTTCCAATCAGAGAATACCACCTGGCTTTGAATCTAGACTTTCTAGCTGTGACTCATATCTCACTGTGACCATTGTGATTTTATTTAACTTTGGTAAAGAAATATTTCATCCTGAAGAAATCTAGGTGTTTTAACAAAGAACCATCTGTCAAAGCACACTGCCAGAAGCCTGTTAAATATTCTCTACTGTATTTGGATTTCAAGCTTCTTTTTAAAGAAACAATGCTGCATTATGTAGTAAAGTTTGTTTTCAAATAATATTTCGTTTTGATTTAGCAATTTTAAAATTGTTTGATTTAGCAATTTTTCCTATGCAAATTTGTATAATCCACCAAAACTGTAAAGCATAATAACCAACGCATTTTAATTATGTCTTCCTCATCAATATAAAGGCTCCAGAGAGAAGGCAGAGAGACATATAATGGCAAACATCTTATATGTTAGGTTCTATTGAGGAATTATTTATGCATTGTCAAAATAGTATCAACAAGAAAAGTCGACTAGTGGGATTATTATAATACATGCCTGCTCATTGACCCAGTAAATCCACCTCTAAAACCTGGTTGTATTTTCTACTGATAGCAACAGGAGGCAGCCAAATGCCTAGGAAGATAGGAGCAGGTCCCCAGTGAAACCCCACCTCCAAGCTGAAGACAGTTTGAAGCCCAAAAGCCAAGCTACCAGTTAAAAACTCAGATCAATTGAGAACTTGTCTTCCTTTTTGGCGTGCTTTCTTCTGATTGATTCCCACCCCCTTTCCTAATTGGTTTTCTACATGGTTATCCCCACCTTTGAGTGGTGTCTTCTCTTTAACATTTTTTGCATAACCACAAACCAACCACCATGCACTCCCTATTGTGAGCCATTAAAAGCCCCAGGCTCAGCCATATTGGTAGGGACTTTCCTGCTTTTGGGTAGGAGAACCATCCCCTGCATCCCCTGTTTGCTGACAGCTTTCCTTTTGCTTAATAAATTATACTCCACTCACTCTCCAGTGTCCACATGCCTAATTCTTCCTGGTTGTGAGACGAGAACTCAGACCTAGCTGAGCTAAGGAGCAGAAAAAATCCTGCATCATTACCACAATATGCCTTACAACATTGTATGTGGTAAAACTGTTGATATAACACAATTTCATTTCAGTTAAAAGTGATATATAAAACCCAACTGTATATACATATATATATACACATATGCGTATATATAAAATATATATATACACATATGCGCATATACAAAATATATATACGCATATGCGCATATATAAAATATATATACGCATATGCGCATATATAAAATATATATATGCATATGTATATATATAAAATATATATATGCATATATAAAATACATATATAAAATATATACATATGTATATATATAAAATATATACATATGTATATATATAATATATATACATATGTGTATATATATAAAATATATACATATGTATATATATAATATATATACATATGTGTATATATATAAAATATATACATATGTATATATAATATATATACATATGTGTATATATTTAAAATATATACATATGTATATATAAAATATATATACATATGTGTATATATATAAAATACATATGTGTATATATATATAAAATATATATACACATATGTGTATATATAAAATATATATATACATATGTGTATATATAAAATATATATACACATATGTGTATATATATAAAATACATACACATATGTGTATATATATAAAATACATACACATATGTGTATATATATAAAATACATACACATATGTGTATATATATAAAATACATACACATATGTGTATATATATAAAATATATACACATATGTGTATATATATAAAATATATACACATATGTGTATATATATAAAATATATACACATATGTGTATATATATAAAATATATATACATATATAAAAGGTTGTACATACATAAAATAAAATGAAGCCTAAAAGTGTAAAGCACTATACTATCCAGTTATCAATACTGTGTGCATAGATAATACAGTCGAGTGAGACGAACATTAATTTGAACATTAATTCAAATAACCACCCATCTACCGTAATTATACACTATATAAAATGTTTACTGAGGGGAGGTACAATTTGCTATACATATAAAAGTAAGTTGTAAATTAATATATAAAGCATTGTTGTAATTAAATATTTCTTGCTTATAAGTGATAATTATCAATATGTATATAAAAATCTAAAGTAATAATTATTTGGGGAGGAGGTATGGAAATGTGGTTAGTTTTAAATGACTAAAACTATTTTCACATTTTCAGTATAATCCAATTGTGGGAAAATATTAAATTACATTTGTACAAATGAATTGGTAAATCTTTTGAAAATGCTTAACATTTTAACATGTGGCGGGGTGCAGTGGCTCACGCCTCTAATCCCAGCACTTTGGGAGGCTGAGGATGGTGGATCACAAGGTAAGGAGTTCGAGACCACCCTGGCCAATATGGTGAAACCCCACCTCTACTAAAAATATAAAAAAATTAGCCAGGCATGGTGGCACACGCCTGTAATCCCAGCTACTCAGGAGGCTGAGGCAGAAGAATTGCTTGAACCCGGCTGGTGGGGGTTGCAGTCAGCCGAGATTATGACACTGTACCCCAGCCTGGGCGACAGAGTGAAACTCCGTCTCAAAAAATAATAATAATTATTATTATTTAAAGATCAGTATTTGTAATCTCATTGCTTTCCTTATTTTTAAAGGAATTATCTGCAAATTCAATAACACAAGCAAAAACTTTTTTCGTTGATTTGTAGCTACACTGGCTCAGTGGAAATTATACTGATTTACTTGTTTTTCTCAACATGATAAACTTCGGTGAATAAAGAATGCAGGGGAGTCAGTGACCTGCATGAGAGCAAGAGTTTATTTTCAGGAAAGTAGAAATATTTTGTCTCTAGACCAGGGTCCAACAAAATAGAGCCTGCAGGGCAAATCCAGCCCACAGCCTGTTTTTATAGGAGCTTTCAGCTAAGAATGAACGTTACATACTAGGTGTTTGAAAAAAGATGAAAAGAAGAATAGGCCAGGCATGGTGGCTCACGCCTGTAATCCTAGCATTTTGGGAGTCCAAGGCAGGTGAATCACTTGAGGTTAGGAGTTCAAGACCAGCCGGACCAACATGGTAAAACCCCGTCTCTACTAAAAATATAAAAATTATCCGGGTGTGGTGGTGCATGCCTGTAGTCCCAGCTACTTGAGAGGCTGAGGCAGGAGAATCACTTGAACCCGGGAGGCAGAAGTTGCAGTGAGCCGAGATGGCACCACTGCACTTCAGCTCATATGAAATTTAAATTTTACTGCCTATAAATAATTTTAACAAGGTGAAATTCATATAAAATGCATTAACCATTTTAAGGTGTGCACTGAGGTAGGATTTACTTCATTGAAGATGTATTGCAACCAGCACCTTTCCTCTTTCAAAACATTTTTACCATTCCAAAAAACACTATGTCCAGCTTTTTCTCCCTTTATTCCCTGGAAAGCCCTCACCTACTTTCTCTTTCTATTAATAATCCTAATTATTGACTTATTAATATAATTAAATGTAGTAATATTAATATGAATTAAGGTCAGTATGTCTATATATCAATATAGATATACACACATACACACACACGGTTCCAAAATTTGGTGTTGTTTCTGCTTAAAATCTGTTATTTCGGTTGACGATTCATTACTGTATATTTCTCAAACTTTAATAAAAATTTTGTAAGAGCACTACCTATCCATATTCTTAGCAGATTTTTAAGTGTACAATACAGTATTTTTATCTATAGGCACAATGTTATACATTAGATCTCTAGAAATTATTCATCTTGCATATTGAAAATGTTATACATGTTGATTAGCATCTCCCCATTTCCCCAAACCACCATTCTATTCTCACTTCCATGAATTTGACTATTTTAGATACTACATTTAAGTGGCATCATGCCGTATTTGTGCTTTTGCAACTAGCTTAATCATAACACTTAGCATGTTTATTGCAGTGCTATCACAATAGCCAAGCTATAGAAACAACATCAAGGACGAGCTACAGAAGAATGGGTAAATATAATGTAGTATGAACATGCGATGACATGCTATTCAATCTTAACAAAGAAATAAACCCTGCAATATGTGACAACAAAAATGAACCCAAAACTTCTTATTGAAATGAATCATTTATGAATGAGGCTCTTCAGTATGTATTTAATTAGCAAATCATATTTTTGTGGTTTCGCAGTCAGTGTGAGAATAAAAGTGTATTTATCATAGCTACTTACTGGGTTTAAATTCCAATGAAATGGCATTATATAGAAACTGTACTTTCACATGCATTTTCCAGAGAGAATAAAAATAGATTATCTAACGCATTCAATTTCCTCTCAAGATAGCATGGAAAAATTACATAAAATAATAAACTACTGCTTGGTTAATGAGGACTGCTCAGTCAATAGATGTATACATGAGAACTACCTGTCAGAAATAGTAAATTGGACCCAGGAAGAAATTCGTACTCAGAATTCAAAACATATTGTCCAAAAAAATTCAAGGGTTAAAGTTCAAGAGCTCAAAATAATAATTCTAACAAGGAAGAATTTTATTCTAGACTCTTCATAATTGCTCACAAAGTATGCTAGAAATTTATAGCTCTCAACAGTAGTATTTATCATTCCTTCTAATCTTGATGCAGTCATTTAGATGACATATTCATGACACCTGTGCTATTAAAGCAGATATGCATTTATTTTATCATAGATTTCAGAATAGACCACAAAATAGAGTCCAACATTTTCTTTTTTTCACATATAAATTTAGCAAGCTTGTAATGGTTTAAATAAATGGTTAAATAGTAATTTAGAATAAACTCTTTGGGTTTTATTTAATATATGTGATCTATCACATGACTTATAGATTTGCTGTTTTTGATGATGATGTCAGGGATGCAAGAATAACATTATAATATAGTTCAAATCTTTCAGGATATTCCTGAAATCAATAACAAAAAGGCATAGCTTGGAACTGAGAATGCTGCTGTAGTCTTTTGATTTCTGATACTGGAGAGGGTAACATTTAAAACTGGTCATTGGTTGATTTATTGTTGAATTAAGCAGAGCAAGTGTAGCCCAGACATATATCTATCTCTAATTTTCTCTGACAATGTAGATTTGGCAATTTCTTTGACTAAATTTAGGTTTTTCAAGAACTTTTATATTTTATTCATGTTCATGTTATCCAAGACCTCTGCACTTTTTTTACATTTGTCTCTGTTATTGTCAAGATTTTCTCCTTTGGTTTTCTGCCTATTGACTGTTATCTAGTGAAATAGTACTACAATTCTATGATTTTCTGGGTTTTTATTATTACTATTAATCTCATCTGCATTTCAACTCAGGGAGTTTCTATTGCTCTAACTTCAAGGTTTCTAATTTTTTCTTTAGCTGTGCCAGTCGACTAAGGGGTCCATCAATAACATTATTTATTTCTTTTCCAGTTTTTTGTTTGTTTTGTTTTCTGTATTTCCTACTTTTTTAGGGTTTCTATCTCTTGGCTTATTTTACCTATTTGTTCTTGCACGTTGTTTACCTTTTTTATTAGAGCCCTTAACATATTAATGGTAGTTATTTAAAATTATTTGTCTTATAATTCCAAATTGTGATAATATTTGAGTCCAGTCCTGAGGCATGTTTTTACCCTTTATGTTATTATTATGCATTTTAGCATGCCTTGTAATTTTTTTCTGGAAAGCCAGACATGGTGTGTCAGGGAACAGAAAGTGAAGTCAATAGGCCTTCAGTGTCAGCTTTTATGTTAATCCATCTAGGAGTGAAGAAGTGTTCAATGTTTGTTGTTGCTGCAGCTGCTAGAGGCTGAACATTTCTCTGGTGTCCTTGTTTTTGTCTCTTCTATTGTCTTTGGGGTTTCTCAAGAATTGTTACTCAGAGTCTGCCTTTTAAAGCTATTTCAGCTGGAATTCACTATTATTATGCTGGAGCTCTTATTGGTATGGCAGTAAAGTGGAGATGGGGTGTATAATTAAATCTCAGGCTTTTAGTGGATTCCTGCCCTTGGGCTATGACATTTACAGATATTGCTTACCTTATTTTCCTCCTTAGGTGAAGCATGAAGACAAGCGGTCTGCAGTGGGGGCATTTCTCTTCTCTCAGCTGATAGAAGGCTCTGATAAATACTTTTTTTCCCTAAAAAGTAATTCTTTCTTACGGAGAACACTCTAGATATATTTTATCATGCTTAATTTTTTCCTTGCTCATATAGAGGGATGAGGGTGTATTTCTTGGCTCTTTATCATGAGAACCTAGTGGGGTTCTTACAAGTAAAATCTGTGAAAATGTGAGGGCTCCCCTATGACAGCCACACTCAGAATTTCCTCCCTCTTATGCCAGTCTATATCTAGCCTCCAGCAATTCATCAACTTTACCATTTACGTATTTCTAAGAGTTTATGGCTCTAGTGACCTCTGCTCAAGTAAAGCAATTTTTAGCTGGGACTCTTTAAATTTACCTGTCTCTTTGCAATTCAGATGGCAATCTGTCCTGCAAACTCAGTTCTCTGATGAGTCCAAATAAAGTTGTGGATTTACAGTTTGTTCAGCTTTTTTCTTGTTATAGGGATGATAGTGAATACTTCTTACATGTTAGAGCTGAAATGAGAAGACTGTATTTTATGCTTCCCCATCATGTATTTTTGGAAGAAACGTTCTAATGAAGATATTAGGTTTGTGCCAAAGTTGCTGCAGTTTTTACCATGCTTTAATGGCAAAACCACAATTACTATTGTGCCAACCAAATAATTCCTGAATGCTGAATGGTTTAAATAAAATTTTAGGTATGCAGAAAAAAGATAAGGTCCAAAAAATGCTAGCATTGCATTATTGCTAAAATCTTTTGTCAATGTCTTGCAATGGTATGCAAACAATTTATCTTTATTAACTGATTACATTTTCATAGTTGGCATATACTATAATCACCAATAATGTACACATATGCATCACATTCTAATTAACAGTATTGCATTGTGTTATATATTCTGCAGCAACTACTTGTGCCTTAAATGATATTTTCACTCCACCACATAAATATATTTTGAGCTATTGTACTGTTAATAGTGTTGTGTGGAGGCAACATCACATGGAAATCAAAACAACGATAATGAAATATAAAGTTTCAGCAAAAGAAATATTACAAATTGCTACAAGACGAACAGCAGAGACAATGGGTGCTGTAATCCCAGAGAGCTATGGAGAAATGTGTGTGTGTGTGTGTGTGTATGTTTGTGTGGTGTATGTGTTTACAAAAATCTTTTAAAACTGGATAGATGGAAAGGACAGATGATAGAATTACTTTCATATTCTGATTTAGAAGAGAGGTATCCAAAGAGTTTTGTTGTAAAGAAGTACAATGGGATACTCCTGCTTGATAAATAAACTTTGTTACTTATTTCCTGGTATACTGCAATTGTCTTTTTTTCAATAAATTTAAAAAGGGTAAATATGAAGCAGTGAATGTGAGGAATATTTGGACAAACACACATTTCACTTATCATCTTCATAAATTTTTTTCCCCCAAGCATTCCATATATCTACTCATTCACATACATCCTGCTGAATTTCATTGAAAAAAAGATAATTTTTCACAGTATGATGTGGCAGCAAGAAGAGAGCAGAGATAATAGTTTAAGAATATGTCAACGTAGTCTATGATACATAAAAATTATTTAAAATATTACACATGCGCAAAAACAAATAGTGCATGGAAAACTACAAATGAGAACTAAACCTAAGGATGCACTCAATATAAATGTTCTTTTAACATTCAAAATGTCTTTACTATTAAATAAAAATTAGTATTGATATAGGGTTTATTTATACACATATAAACATAAAATTATATTTACATTAATTGTTCTAGAAAAGCATTTTCAGTTAACAGATTTTTGTAACTATTTTTCTGTTCAATAAATCTTTTTATTATTTAAATATATTTTTGCAGTATTTCTTGAGGATATGTATATGTGTGATAAAATTGTATCATTCCATTTGACTAATCAAAGTATTTTGCTAATATAATCACAATGTTTATTTAATATAAATAAAGTAATATGTATAATATTACAATATATTTTCCAATTGTAATTCACTTATATTTTTATCTTTTTCCATATGATAATCCATTTATTTAACTTCTAGCTATTATCTAACTAAATCTTTTTAAAAATTTTTTAATATGTTTTATAATAATGGCAATAGCTTTTGATGCATGCTTTTTAAAAATAACTTCAACATTTACCTTAGATTTTGGAGGTACACATGAAGGTTTGTTACGTGGGTATATTGTATGTTGCTGAGGATTGAGGTACACATGATCCTGTACCCAGGTAGTTAGTGTAGTACCCAATAGTTAGCTTTTCAAACTTAGCCCCTCTGTTCTCCCTCGAGAAGTCCCCAGTGTCTATTACTGCCATTCTTATGTTCGTGAGTACACAATGCTTAGGTCCCACTTGAAATGAGAACATGTGGTATTTGGTTTCCTTTTCCTGCGTTAATTTGTTTAAGAGAATGGTTTCCAGCTATATCCATGTTGCTGCAAAGGACATGATTTCACTCTTTTTCATGGTTGTGTTGTATTCCACGGTGTCTATGTATATATTTTCTTTCCCTAATCCATCACTGATGGAACCTAGGTTGATTCACACTTACCTTAGTGTCATCATGAATATTAAATTAAAATCTACACAAAGAACATTTTCAATTTAAATCAATTATATCTTATAAGTATCATCCATTAGAACAGAAAAGTATAAAAATAAAGTATGGATTTTTAAAATATATATAGCTTACAGAATTACATATTTCTTGCACTTCTGTTTTAGGTATGGTTGTATATTTTTATATCCAAGTTTATTTTTTAATGCTCTTCTTAATATTTTATTTTGGAGCAATTTCAGGTTTAAAAAATGTTGCAAAGACAGTATAGGAAGATTTATTATACATTTCACCCAGTTTTCTCAGAAATTATCATCTGACATAACCATGGTGTATTTATCACAATTAAGAAATTAACATTAGTGAAATGCTACTGGTTAAAGATTTTATTCAAATTTTCCCAGTGTTTTCATTTTTTTTTTCTTTCTTTTAACTTTTAAGTTCAGGGGTACATATGAAGGTTTGTTACATAGGTAAACTTGTGTCATGCAGGTTTGTTGTACAGGTTATTTCATCATCCAGGTATTAAGCCTTGTATCCATGAGTTATTTTTCCTGATCCTCTTCCTCCTCTCACCTTCCATCCTCTATAGGCCCCAGTGTGTGTTGTTCTCCTCTGTGTCCACGTGTTCTCATTATTTAGCTCCGGGTTATAAGTAAGAGTCTGCAGTTTTTTATTTTCTGTTCCCGCATAAGTTTGCTAAGGATAATTGCCTCCAGCTCCATCCATGTCCCTGCAAAGGACATGATCTCATTCTTCCTTATGGCTGAATAGTATTCCACGGTGTAAATGTACTACAGTTTTTTAATCCAGTCTATCATTGATGGGCATTTAGATTGATTCCGCCCTTGCTATTGTGAATATGCTCTACTGAACATACGCATGCATGTGTCTTTATAATAGAATGATTTATATTCCTTTAGGTATATATACAGTAACGGGATTCCTGGGTCAAATGGGAGTTCTGCTTTTAGATCTTCGAGAAATTGCCACACTGTCTTACACAATGGTTTAACTAATTTACACTCCCACAAACAGTAAAAAGTATTCCTTTTTCTCCACAACTTAGCCAGCATCTGTTATTTTTTGACTTTTAATAATAGCCATTCTGACTGGTGTGAGATGGTATCTCATGGTGATTTTGATTTGCATATCCCTAATGATCACTGGTGTTGAGTTTGTTTTCATATGAATGTTGGCTCCATGTATGTCTTCTTTTGAAAAGTTTCCGTTCATGTCCTTTACCCACTTTTTAATGGGGTTGTTTGTGTTTTTCTTTTTATTTTTTTTTTTTAGTTCCTTATAGATGCCGGACATTAGACCTTTGTTGGATACATAGTTTGCAAAAATTTTCTTCCATTCCATAACTTGTCTGTTTACTCTATTGATAGTTTCTTTTGTTGTGCAGAAGTTCCTTAGTTTAATTAGGTCCTATTTGTCAATGTTTTGTTTTGATTTTAATTGCTTTTGCCATCTTCATTATGAAATCTTTGCCCATTCCTTGTCCTGAATGGTATTGCTGAGGATGTCTTCCAGGGTTTTTATTATTGTGCCAAGATTTAATCCTGAATATTACATTGCATTTATTTGTCATGTCCCTTTAGTGTTCCAATACACATTAATTTCTCAGTCTTTATTTTTTATAACCTCGTTAGTTTTGAAGAATTATTCGTTGAGCATTTTATAGAATGTCCCCAAATATGGTTCCATCTGACAATTTCTTATCTTGTTGTTGGAGTTAGAAATTTGGGGGAGAATACAACAGAAGTGCTATTTTCCTTGCATTATATTAGGTAATACTCATTAGGTAAAATGTCTTATAATTAACTGACACTAAGTTTAGAAATTTCTTGGCTGTTATTTCTTTAAATGTTTCTTCCTCCACATTTTTCCTGTCTTTTCCCAGTTCCAGTTACACACATATTAATCTTTTTTATATTGTGTCATCCTTTTTGGAATTTTTAAAGAAACTTTCTATATGCATTGCATGTGTGGTAATTTTTATTTACCTATATTCAAGTTACTGATTATTTCCTCAACTATGTTGAATCTATTAACGGTTTCATTAAAATAATTCTTTAATTATGTTAGTAGTTTTCTTGCCTTATTTTTAGCAATTAAGTTCGATTTCACTTATAGTGGAACTGTAAGTTTCCACTTCTCTGAAGAAATTATTCATCTTGTCTTGACAAAACTTTGTAGCAATCCAAATGTTCATCAAAAAGTAAACGGATAAATAAAATCCATACATCCATGCAATGGAATTCTATAGAACAATAAAGAACAAACTGACAGATGCTACAACATAGAAGAATCTCAAAAGTGGCTTTGTGAAAAAAGCCTGATTAAAAATACTACATAATACGTGATGTAATTTATTTGAAATTTTCTTAAAAGTTAGATGTATAGAGATAGAATATCTATCAAAAAAAAGAAAAAAGAAAGTCTGTCAATGTTTGCTTAGGCTTGGTGGGAATAAGACTTAAATGCAAAGGAACACAGAAATACTTCAGAGCATGATGAAAATGTTCTAAAACCTGATTTTAATGATGATTGCAGAAATCTTTAAATTTACTGAAAATTCTTAAATTATATACTTAGATACTTGTTGCTGCATATAAATTATACTTTAACCTCTTAAGTTAACATAAATCTGACAGTTTCATACTAACTTAACCTGTCCGACCTCTATGATCTCATATTCCATGATCCTCAATCATGAAACATTAAACTTAAACTCCTCTGTAGACATCATACTCCCTATATGTCTGACTATTCCATAAACTTTGACACTTCTGGCCTGATTTTCCCTTCACTTGAAATGCATTACCCATCTGTATGCTGGAGGTTTCCTATTTAATTCTTCAGAATCATGTTGACTGTTTCTACTTCTAAAGCCGTTCTTTGATCAGTTAGGGTAAGGTAGCCTCTAGGCTTTCATAATATCTTCAGTACAACTCTGACAAAGCAATTAATATATTGCAATGCATTTGAATGCAATGTACTTGAGCTAGAGTTACTCAATAGCACAGAATTTGTCTTTATTGTTATCACTGGAAGTTATCACAATGGCTAATGTAAATATTTGTTTAATAGTAAACTAGTAAATAGTAAAATAGTAAAATAAACTAATAAGAATTTACACAATATTTTTATATAGCTATTGATATTCTATATAAAAGTCATCAATAATAGTACACGTACTGGCTAGTACACTTACTTACACTTAATAGAAACTCCCCAGACAGATGAATCAATGAATATGTTTATCACTAAGTATATTTTCCTATTGAACTTTTCAAACTGTGAAATTGTTAATAAGTAGCTTTAAAGGTTATTACATAATTCTAACTTTTCTAGATTCATTCACCATCTGTGGGTTAGATTTTTTATTTTAACATTTCAGTATTTACTTTCCTTTTCTAATTTAAATATTTATTTGGAGCCAAAATTCTACATTAATCCTGAGTCTTTCAGTTAATCTCCAAAATATTATAATAATAATGAGCTAAAATCAAATATCTGTTTGGGCAAATATTGCTCTCTGAGCAGAGAGCATTGTTTGAGAGGACACATTGATAGTAAAAAATTGTATGAGCTTCTATTTAACATAATTATGACTGAAAATATTCAATCTGCGTAGCACATTTTACCTATCGGAGCATAATTTTTTGTGTTAGATGTATAAAATGTACCTTTATCATTGCATCTTTAATAATATAACGTGTGATTGGTTGTATAAAATGTGCTTCCGCTCTTGGGAATCCTCTGAGATACTTATTTCATGACGGCGTGGTAATTGCTGTCACGACTTTGCTTGATGATGGTGAATAATTAGGGTCTCATCTAGTACTTCTCTTTCTAAAAGACCTTTATCAACATTAACACTTCTGACCTTTTTAATTGCGCGGATTAAAGCTGGAAATAGATGGTTATTAATGTTCTGTACTTTCAGTTCCTGGAGCATGAAATAATGTTTTCTTTCTCAATAGCATTCAGCAAGTTTACATTTCCCTCAGTAAATGTGACTTTAAAGGTGGCACCATAGTGGGTAATAATTTGGTATTCATAACGCTTTCAGCTACACTTAGCAGCTTCTCGGTGTTTGCTAAATCCTCATTGATGCATCCATGTCATTCTAATTATAGATTTTGACTGAGCTGCACAAATGCATGCACCCCTTTATTACAGAAACCAAGAAAAACTATTTATAAGTTTTTCTGTCTTTTTCTCTTTTCATACAAAATTTAAAATGGTGGCTTTTGCACTTGTCATTCAAACCTGCCAGAGAATGACAAACAATATTGAAGCAATGTTGAGAACACAGAGCAGTACTGTAGAATTAAAGTTAGCTTTGATATACAAGCTCCCAATTAGGCAGGTCGCCTATTGTTCCCTTCTGGAAGAAATGAAAAAATAATGTAGTGTGAGAAAAACTTTTGTTGGCATATGTGCCAGAAGGAAAAAATTCTTACTTGGGAAAAAGGGTTTTGCACAATAATGCATCTATGAATAAAAGAATATAAGTTAACCTGTAGTTATAATTTATGCATGTGCATGTACTTGTATTATGCACAAATAATAGCCATGTTTATCTGTGCATATATTTATGCATAAATATGCATCTGTCATATATATATTAAACATATATGCATACAGAGTGATTAAAATCTATCAGCTGTATATTAAAATATTTATATTATTTATATCAGGGTATATTGCAAACCCAAGAACAAATTGAAACTCCTTTCACATTTTTCTAATCATTATATCTGGACTAGCAGTTGGAAATTAAACCTGTAGTTTTACCTTTTATGGCTTAACATGGACGTAGTTCAAACAAAATGAAGGTAGATGAGTGAGAAACTTGGCAAACATGAGAGAAAAATCTCTTACCTTTCACATATGCAAAACCCATTTGAACCTAATCATTTTAATGCTGACATGAACAGCTGTGCTAGTTCTCATTATTTGATAATGAGGGTTGTGAATATATAAGGCAGTTTCTAGAAAGCTAATACTTTGTAGACTAAAAGTAATTGTGTGTGGCAGAGTACATATGCACACAGGATTTTAAACCATTTTCATAATCTAGTTTCCACTTTCTCCATTATACTTTGTGTTGGAATTGCATTTCAAAAAGAAAAAAGTAGTATGTAATATATTTTATAAGTTACTATAAAAATGTCCAGAGGAAAAAATATTTAATCTCATGATTTGTACTTGTTTTGCAGTTTTCATATGTTGAAATGTATCATAGGTATATTCACTTGCTTTTGCTTCATAACTCTGTGGGAAAAAAAGCTGAGATATTATCTTTTTATTTCTGTTTGACAAAACTGAGCAGTTACTTAGAGATTAAGTGACTTGCCAAAGATGACATAATACACCATGATTAAGGTGCCTCTTGATACTTTCACAGATTTTGTTGCCCTCTGAACATTATAATATGTTAATCACCAAATCATGTGTTATTTTTCATACTGTTCAGGAATCTTTTTGCAAATCCATGAACAAGTAGAATCCATGAGAAAGAGAAAATGCTCAGTAAGTAGCTATCGAAAATTTTAAATAAAAATGTAGATTTATAAATTTCATAACCTCATAACATTACAAATAAAAATAGTCTTCAAAGAGGAAAATACAGAAATAACTAAAATAAAATGGAAGAAATTTATTTTCCAAGGAACTGTCTTGACTATTCTAGCTTCAATTTGAACAATATTTCTGAGGAAATTACTAACCATATATCTATACGTTTACGGGGAAGTTTACTTAAACCTTTATTTGACAATCTATAGACCAGAAAAAATATTAATATGAGAGGTTAAACTAGGTTAAATTTCAGCATATTTTAGTTAGAATTTAGTCTAAATTATAAGGGTAGTTAATACAATCCAAATGAGAAGAAGCATACAAAACTATTTTTCTAATTCTAATATTTATTTAAAGTGGATAGGTTCAAAGAGACATAAAAGGAATCATAGGGAATATCACAGCCAGATTCTTCTAATGGGAACATTTTTTAAAATTAGACAAAATTTTCATTAATTACCAGAATAATTAAAATTTTCACAATAGAATAATTACTTATAAAGCTATAAAGAAAATATTGAAAGAAATAATGGCTAAGAGATTTCCAAAGTAAGTGTCAGACACTTAAAATAAGTCACTTAGAATTATAAATAATGTGAGTATATTAGTGAGCTTTCTGTAGTTATACTACAGTAATAATCCCTTAATATCACAATATTAGTTTTATTTCTTGGTCATATATATGTTGCTATGGTCAAATGTGGCCCTGCTTACCACCTGTCTGTTTTCATGCTGCTAATGAAGACAAACCTGAGAATGGGTAACTTATAAAGGAAAGAGGTTTAATTGACTCACAGTTCAGCATGGCTGAGGAGGCCTCAGGAAACTTACAATCATGTTGGAAGGGGAAGCAAACACATCCTTCTTTATATGGTGGCCACAAGGAGACGTGCCAAGCTAAAGGGTGAAGAGCCCCTTGTAAAACCATCAGATCTCATGCGAACTCACTCACTATCATGAGAACAGCATCATGGGGGTAACCGCCCCCATGATTCAATTACTTCTCACTGGGTCCCTCCCATGACATGTGGGGATCATGGAAACTACAACTCAAAATGAGATTTGGGCAGGACACAGTCAAACCATATCACCACCTTTATCTTTTAGGGTCCCAATCAAAGGAAAATTTCTAATTTTGTCTCTTGGAAGTTTTACCCAGATGTGGCTTATGTCACTCCTGTGCATATTTCCTTTTCTAAAGCAAGTCACATGTCCAATCCTGAAGTCACTTTGGTGAGAAGTGTGCTCCTCCTCTAGGGAGAGACTCTGTAAGTATAAAACCAAAGAGGGGCATGGATATTTTTGAACAAATACAAAAACATATTGCAGAAAAATTTGTGAACATATTTTCAAAAGCTCTCACATCCAGAAATAGATATTTGGTTCTCTATGTGACATTACCCACTACTGCATATAATTGTGGATTCTTCAAGAATATCATGTCATCTGTAAAATTTAGGAGCCAATTTGGGAAAAAAAATCATTACTTTCCACTCAAGATCACGTATAAAACTGTAGAAAAATCTGTAATGCTGACTACAGACAGTTTAACAGCATTAGTCATAGTAAATACACTGGGGAAAGGGGATTATGTGTCATTGTCAAGGAAGCTGGGAGGTAAATAGTTGGCTACTTCTGATAACATATAGAGGATGACTAGCCATGGAACTTAACTGAAACCCATAAATCAAAAACACATATTTAAAGACTCTACAATGAAGAACCAGTGAGTAAGAAATGAAGGTTTATATTTTCCTAGTAGATATATCTGAGCAGATATATATGTGACACACAGGTATATATATGTATGTGTGTGTGTGTGCATCTTCTGAGGAAACACCTCAAATTATCCCAAAATTATCTGAGTTAGGTATTAAGTGAATTTCTAGATGTTCTGCCTCTTTAATTCCATATCTCATAAATTTTCATTGATACTGCAAAATATGATAGAGATTAACTGGTATTTTAAGGAACTGGGCTGGTGTCGTAAATGGTAAAATAAGTGGCGGAGTAACTCCATTCAGAAACCATCCAACAAAATCCAACGTACCACAGTATATCTTAAGACACTAATGTTTTCAGATGGTCTTAATGACTAAATGATTTTTGAAGAAAAGGGAAATAATTTATTCCAAATGATCTCTTGATTGTATTTCCATAATTTTAGCTCATATACATTATGTATTCACTTATTTACATATTTGTTTCATAAAATAAAATTGGATCATCAAATATGTGCCTAAGAAGATGTCTGTTTTACAATATGTTCTGCAATTTTCATTTTTTTGGATTAAGAATGTTTCTGATGAATAAATACATGTGTATGTATGTGCATATGTGCATGTGTGTACATTGAGAAAGATACTTAAATTCTTAACCTTAGTCTCGTCTTACGTCAAATTAAGAAAATATCTCTTAGTTGAGAATCTTTCAGGTGCAAGTGAAAAAAAATTATCTGAATTAATTTTTTTTTTTTTTAGTTTTTTTTTTTATTATTATACTTTAAGTTTTAGGGTACATGTGCACATTGTGCAGGTTAGTTACATATATATACATGTGCCATGCTGGTGTGCTGCACCCATTAACTCATCATTTAGCATTAGATATATCTCCCAATGCTATCCCTCCCCCCTCCCCCCACCCCACCACAGTCCCCAGAGTGTGATATTCCCCTTCCTGTGTCCATGTGATCTCATTGTTCAATTCCCACCTATGAGTGAGAATATGCGGTGTTTGGTTTTTTGTTCTTGTGATGGTTTACTGAGAATGATGGTTTCCAATTTCATCCATGTCCCTACAAAGGACATGAACTCATCATTTTTTATGGCTGCATAGTATTCTATGGTGTATATGTGCCACATTTTCTTAATCCAGTCTATCATTGTTGGACATTTGGGTTGGTTCCAAGTCTTTGCTATTGTGAATAATGCTGCAATAAACATACGTGTGCATGTGTCTTTATAGCAGCATGATTTATAGTCATTTGGGTATATACCCAGTCATGGGATGGCTGGGTCAAATGGTATTTCTAGTTCTAGATCCCTGAGGAATCGCCACACTGACTTCCACAATGGTTGAACTAGTTTACAGTCCCACCAACAGTGTAAGAGTGTTCCTATTTCTCCACATCCTCTCCAGCACCTGTTGTTTCCTGACTTTTTAATGATTGCCATTCTAACTGGTGTGAGATGATATCTCATAGTGGTTTTGATTTGCATTTCTCTGATGGCCAGTGATGATGAGCATTTTTTCATGTATTTTTTGGCTGCATAAATGTCTTCTTTTGAGAAGTGTCTGTTCATGTCCTTCGCCCACTTTTTGATGGGGTTGTTTGTTTTTTTCTTGTAAATTTGTTTGAGTTCATTGTAGATTCTGGATATTAGCCCTTTGTCAGATGAGTAGGTTGCGAAAATTTTCTCCCATGTCCTCTGGGGGCAGGGCACAGACAAACAAAAAGACAGCAGTAACCTCTGCAGACTTAAATGTCCCTGTCTGACAGCTTTGAAGAGAGCAGTGGTTCTCCCAGCACGCAGCTGGAGATCTGAGAACGGGCAGACTGCCTCCTCAAGTGGGTCCCTGACCCCTGACCCCCGAGCAGCCTAACTGGGAGGCACCCCCCAGCAGGGGCACACTGACACCTCACACGGCAGGGTATTCCAACAGACCTGCAGCTGAGGGTCCTGTTTGTTAGAAGGAAAACTAACAAACAGAAAGGACATCCACACCGAAAACCCATCTGTACATCACCATCATCAAAGACCAAAAGTAGATAAAACCACAAAGATGGGGAAAAAACAGAACAGAAAAACTGGAAACTCTAAAACGCAGAGCGCCTCTCCTCCTCCAAAGGAACGCACTTCCTCATCAGCAACGGAACAAAGCTGGATGGAGAATGATTATCTGAATTAATTTTAAAAATCTATAGATATAATAGCTTCAGATGTAACTGGATACTGAGAGTTCAAACAATGTAGTCAAGTTTCTGTTACCTTCTTCCTTTATATTATGCCCTTCCTCTGTATGTAGATTCAACTCTTTTATCACACTTTTTAGTTGTAGTAAGGAAATTGATATTAATGGTCAAGATTAGAATCCTCCCTACGTTGTAACCTATGAGAAGAAGAGCATCTACTCCTCTAACCTTAGGAGAAAATTATGTAACCGACTTGGCTTTAATCAAAATTTTTTCCTGAATTAATCATATGATCATGGAGATGTGTCCCTTTTGAGAAGGTTAGAGATGACCATTGACACATCCACTTTGACGATAAGGAATTCAGGAAGGCTGATTCCCTAAAGAAAGGGACATTGACCTAGACACATGTGTCCACTAAAATTACATGGGCAAGTGACATAAAAATGCCTCTGAAGTGGTTAAAAATTGTCCAGAACTTTTCCAACTGAAAGAAAAATGTGATAATTTCTAGCAGATATGGTGGTGCCCATATTTCTATATAATTAGGAATCTATTTTCAGCTCTGAACTATCTCAAGTTTATTTTTCCCACTGAAAGACAATCTGGAAAAATATTGCTTATTATTTCACCAGGTGGAATATGATGACAGATTATCAGGAGACCCACAGAAAAAACTACTACAGCACAGCACAAATAGAAATGGAAATCACTGTCTGGTAGGAAATAAAACACTCTAGATGGATATTTTTATAGAGAAAGAAAGTAAAGCCTTTTTAGCAATCAATTAATGGAGGTTTTTTTTAAAAACTTTATCTTTGCCCAATTATAGAGTCTTTTTTTAAGCAATAATGAATATTATGATTTGAGAAAGTAAAAATTTGTCCTAGAGCTGTGTGGATTGAATAAGTGATGTGAAAGATGGAAATAGTTGAAATATTTAAGCAGACATAGAACAAAATAAGATGAAAAATTGAGACCATATCAACGTCAAGAAATTTCTCAAACTTGAAAAAAACAAATTTGCTAGTTTTTAAGAAACAGAGTTGATAAGTCAATTCAGGATGCCACTTTATATGCATTTATTACATATTTATTCTTCCATTGGATCTATTTATATTATTCTCAACTAGTATTTTCTACATTGCGATAATTTTCTGATTCTAGTTCCTCTGTAGTGTGTTTTCTCTCTGGCAATATTTAGATTTTAATATTAAATCTTAGTGTTCTGAGATTTCACAACAATTAAATTAGGTATAAGTGGTTTTTCACTCATTTAATGAGATACTCATGGGGCCCCTTAAATATGAAAACTCCTTCAGTTGTTTGGCTATAGGCATTTATGTTGTATTGCTCTAATTGTTCCTTTTATTATTTTCCTCCTCTTTCAGTGTTTTTCTTTCAGAACTTCTCTTAATAGATATTGACTATATAGTGTTGAGAAAACAAAAAATGATAGAGGGAGCCCTCTCCATAAGACACAGTAAAAGGAGTTTAACTACTGAATAAGCACATCTAAAGTACACTGCATATTGTAAGCAGTCTGTAAAAGAGGCTATAAAGTCCAGATAGAATTTTCATAAATTAATTCAGTAAAGCAGAAGAAAGAAAAATTAAAATTAAACTTTTATCTCTTTGAGAGATAAATTATTGCACCTTGGAATAGTCTCCTGTAATTCCTGGGAGACTCCTGAGGTCATTTTGGAGGCAAGAGTTTACAGTTTCCAGAGCCAGAAAGCCTTAAAAACAATAGGCCAGTGTTGAACCATCCTTCCGTCCCAGGGATAAATTCCAGTTGCTCATGTGTGACACTGTTAATGTGCTGTTGAATTTGGTTTGCTGGTATTTTGTTGAGGATCCTTGCATCTATGTTCATCAAGGAAATTAGCCTGTGATTTTCTTTTCTTCTAGTGTCCTTCTGTGGATCAGGTATCAGCGTAATGCTGGCCTCATACAATGAGTTTGGATTCCTCTTTAATTTTCTGTAAGAGTTTGAGAAGTATTATTCTTAAATGATTGTATCTTTTCAAAATGTTTGGTAAAATTCCCCAGTGAAGCCATCAGGTCCTGGATGGGCATCTTTTAAAAATGGTAATTCGCTTGACTTTGGTAATTATTTCACAGTATATATGTATATAAAGATATCATGTTGTATACTCTAAATATATGTAATTTTTATTTGTCAATTATACTTCAGTAAAACTAAGGGAGTTTTTAAGAAAAACCACAATAGAACAGACAAATTTGGAGTTTATGATGTTTTCAAGGAGACACACTGAGGGGAATGGGAAAAAAATTGTATAATTTTATCCTTACAATAGTGATACTAGCTAACATTTGCCAAGCAATTAATAATGTCAAACACATTACTAAGGACTTTACATGTATTAAATGACTTATTCACATAATAACACTAAAGAATGGTTATTATTATTGATATTATTATTATCTCTATTCTAAAAGTGAGAAAGAAACAGGGAAGCTAAATTACTTGCCTGAGTTGACACAGGTATTAAGGGACAGCCAGTATTAATCCCTGGCAGTCTGGCTCCAGAGCCTATAGTCAAGCATCCCACTTAGTACTTTTCTATGTACCTTTTCTATCTCTATTTTTTCTTTTGTTAATAATATCCTTTTAGTCTTCCTGGACCTTTAACAGCCCATTCTTCTACTTCAGCAATGCACTCCTCAGCTTAGTTCGTTCTGCTCTTTGGTCTATAAATTAGACTTTTATTCTTTAAATATACGTTTTAAATTAAAAGTACTATAGATATTTATTTGTTGTATATGACATATTCTAAAATATCTTGAAAATATTAAATAAAGCTATTCTAAAACCTCTGTTTTCCCTATTTTGATACTCAGTTTGAGCTGCTATGACAAATTACCTTAGACTGAGTGGCTTAACAACACGTATTTATATCTCACAGTTCTGGAGGCCAGAAAATTGAAGATCAAGATGTCAGATCCAGTGTGTTTTGTGAGTCTACTTCCTGGTTTACAGATGGAAGTTTTGTATTCTCATATGGCAGAGATCAGAGAAAAAAGAAAACTCTTGTGTCTCTTCTTATAACAGCATTGATCCTACTCATGAGATTCTATCCTACTGACCTACTTACCTTCAAAAAAAAAAAAACAACCTGCCTCCTAATACAATCACACTGGGGCTAGTATTTCAGCATGTAAGTTTTGACGGCCACAAACATTCATCCCTAACACTCCTATTGATTATTTCTTCGAGTAACAAGTTTTTTTTAGGTTTTATTTTTGTAGGTTCTCATTCTTGATGTTGTTTCCCATAAGTGTCAAGCAGTCTTTCTAATGAAAAGTATATGCTTGAATTTTCTGACTACTAAAAATTATGGCACATAGGGTTCAAAGAGATATACTTGTAGCTTACCTTCAGAGAATGGTGTCATCCATTGACTTTTTTAACCTCTTCGGTCCAAATATCTATATTTTCTTCTTTACCATATGGATTAATCCCACTTCTTCCAGCTGTTCAACAAAGGATGAGTTTGGAGGAGACAGTGACTTATAAGTTGCTCCAATTTGATTCACCCATATTTGTCTCACAAATCCTTTTATCTCCTTATCTCAGGGTGAGCCCCATTTCCTACATGTCTCCTGCTTTCATTTCACCTCTCGCCTCTACATCTATACAGTCTTTGTCTGATCCCATCTGCAATTCTACTGATGTTCCTCTACCCACTTAGTACTCACTTAAATCTTCTAATGATTTCTCCAAAAGTCTATGAGAGTTCCTCTTTCCCCCAACATAATATACATTTATGTATGTGTATGTATGTTTATATGTATAACATAGTATATGGTGTGTGTGTGTGTGTGTGTGTGTGTGTGTGTGTAGACAAAGACTTCCCGTGACATAACTTTAGTCAGACTCTGCTAAACCCTCAAAGCTCCAACCTTGAGCTCTGTCCATGGCCTGTTTAGTCCAGTTTTAACAATAATTTTTCAGGTCAGTTTGGGAAAAATCATCCACTCTTGATATCTGATTAAATCCTCATTGCCCACCCCTGATATCTTATCACTCTGCGCTGTCTTCAGCAAAATTCCTGTCAAGTAGGTTTAGCCAAAATTGTCCTTATACATTATGATACCTTAGTAATTTTTTATTCTGTGACCTCTACCTATCTTCTTAGCTATAAATCTCCATTTGTTCTTGTTATTTTTGGAGTTGAACCCAATCTCTCTCCTCTATGGAAAAACTTCACTGTTGTAGTCTCTCTTAAATAAAGTTCTCTTTCCCATCTTTAACAAGGGCTATGAATAAATTTTTTATAGTTACGGTACAGTGATTCAGATAGAATCAGACTCATCATTGGACTCCTGGACTTTTCACTCAGGACCCCAAGTGTGTATCTTTGAAGATTTCTTCTTCATTTCTGATTGATCTTAGATCCACTAGTACATCTAATTCCTGAGCCAGTGCTTGGTTGACAGTTTGTTGAACCATGGTAGGGACAGATTTTGATTCTTAGGATTTGGAGTATATCCTTGAAAGCTGGGTTACAGTCCCAGGCTTCTTTTGAAAGATACCTCCTGGGCTGCAAGTTCTTCTGCCTGGCTCCTTGTTTTGATTTGGATTCGATCCCTGACTTCTGGGCTGGAAAACAGTATTTTTTTGGGGGGGGGGGCGGTGGTGGTGGCTTTCCCTTTGATGTCTCTATTTAATCCTGCTCTGCTGATGGAACTTCTCAATCAACTGAAATCACCTTCTCAGATCCTTGCTAACCATATGCCCTGCCAACTCTATCCACTTGTTTTTGTTGGCATAATTTTACTAAAGAGCATTTGGAACTATTTTAGCACCTTTGGAAAACTTAACATCTCCCCAAACTAAATCCTCTTGGATCTCTCTCACCATTACCTCTGCTTTTCCACCTTTTCTTTTTACCACCTTTGATCTTCCATTTGGCTTTTGGCATCCTTTGCTATATCCTCCTTCAGTCCTCTGCCTCTTCCTCACCTCCATTCACCCTGCCAGACGTTTCTGCTCCCACTCCAGCTCCTCAGCTTCTTATAGACACTTAGGCCTTTTGCCCAATCAGAGATTCTCAAGCGATTCATCGATCCCCAAAAGCAACTATCAGAAGCTGAAAAGAAAAAAAAGGTTAATTAGAAACAAACTGGATATTTTGTTTTCTTACATATTACTTTTTTTTAAGATTATTAGTCTGCTTTTAATAAGAGATAGTAAAATGTTTTTCTTTACCTTTTCAATAATCTGCCTAGGAAACCACAATCTTGTGTCTTATCAAATTAATATCCCATGTGTTATGTTCACTTTTATCATGTCCTTAATCATTAAAAAAAACCCCAAGACTTCTTACATATATTTTAGAGACTGGAATGCAGTGGCTCTTCACAGGTGTGATCATAGCATAGCACACTACAGCCTCAAATTCCTTGGCTCAAGTGTTTCTGCTGCTTCGGCCTCCCCAGTTGCTGGAAATACAAGTGTGTGCCACCAAACCAGGTACTAAATTAAATATTTCTAAGCCTTCCAGGAATATGGAAACTAATCCAAATGCTCTACATGTTCACATGACTTGGGTAAACATCTTTTGATAAATAAAATTAGTTCAATATTGTTAGTTAAATAAAAATTGGTATTTCATCATTAATTATAATATTGGCATATATTTTTATTCTACCTGGATTTACTAGTTAATTAAGGTGTTTATTTCTATTATTAGATGTTTAAGATTATTAAAAATAAAAATTCAACCTAAGAACAAATGTACAAGTAAAGATACAATCAAATGTATGTACAAGTACAAGTAATGTACAAGTAAAGATACAATAAAAATGAACTGCTTGAAATACATTACTTCATGTATATCAAGCACAGAAATAAAAATAAACAAAACTTCACGTATTTAACTTTTTAGGTTTATGCTTTTGTGATGCTTTGCATACCGTGCAAGTGCTATAAAATACTTAACAGGGAAATAACTTGAGATGAGAGTTAGCTTTGTTTAATGTTATCATATGTCTGCCTAAAGATAATTTTTAAAATAACTTGTAACTAAAGCTATGCCAAGTTAAGTAATAGATATTTATTAAATGTCTGGGCCATTTCTAAATAAAGTAAACTACTGAAACTTAATTACTAACATATGTTCAAGATTACATACTTTTGACATCTTATGGAATACAGAGACTATGATTATATATGTTCTGTTAATAAACAGTTTTATGCCATCTAAAAATTATACTTTGGAAATGTATATGCCCCTTTAATTATAAAATAGTATATGCATACATTTGTTACTCTGCTAGAGAATGCTAGTAAATGACAATTTTCTACTTCCTGGTTTTCTCTGTAAAAGGAAGTTAGTTATTAATGGTTAAAAATATAATCAATATATATATAACTAAACTAGAAATAATAAGGGTGAATGAAGCAAACAACTCAGTATATAAAATATGCAAAAACGTATGTGTTTTTAATAAGGAAAAATACACTGGGATAAATGATTTGTTTTCATTAAAGGAAAAAGAGAGTAGTTTTATCCTATGGAATTATGACTATTGATATCCATAGATAGTTTTTAAATTTTCCTAAACTAGATGAAGTGGTTAATACAGGTTGAAAGTATGTTTATGAGCCCACTATTGAAAAAAAATAAAGAAAAATGTCCTAAATTTCAAGATCATGCATTTGAGTTTTATTTAGAATGGAACAAACAGTCATTAAAAATTCTGGATGAATGCTGTTATCATGAAAATGTTTAGGAAAGTGAATATGACAATAGACAGTAAAATAATTTAGAATAAAAGAAACAGAAAAGTAGGTTTACTGTTAGAGAAAAATTTCAATAGGACTGAGTAATTAAAGATCAAACAGGTATGGGAACACAGTGTTAGGAAGAATCACAGATATTATTAAATTCAAATACCTTAGTGTGCAATGAAGAAAATTAAATTTAGATATGCACAGAGACTTCTTCAAGGAATTACTGTTCATTTAAAGGAGTACATTCTAAGGCAGAATACAGTCATTTTTATTCTCAATCCAGGGTTCTATTACTCTTTTCTGTGATTTTAATATCAAATTTTGGTCATATTTTAAAACTTATTTTGGGTTTATTCTTTTAGGAGTTCAATACAATTCTGACACCTTGTACTTAAAAAATATTGATAACCTCCGTTTTAAATCAATATTGCCAATCAAATTTATAATGTACACGCACATTTATTTTGCAAATAATTTTCAGTTGAAACAATGGAAATAGAATTCATGAGTTATTTCATGCAAATTTTAACCTTTAGCTTTTGACTGAACATCTAGAGTATTCTTCCAGTCAAATTTTAATCTTAGATGGTAGAATGCAGAATCCATCAATCTAGACAAATCTAGAATTAATGTAAGCTTGACCACCCACTAGCTCTTTGACTTTGAGTAAGGTCTTTGAACTCTGTGGGTTTTAGATTTTCAATCTGTGAATTTAGAAAGCAGTTCAGAGGCTCTCTGAGTCCCTTCCATCTCTAACAGTCATTCATCTTATCATCTCTAAAATTCTGAAATTCAACAGAATCCAAAGCTTATTATGAGCTAATAGTTTCCATGACAATCATTGTATACTTGTGTACACAAGTTCTGAGGCCATTAGATTTGTAATAGGTTCAAAATTTGTGGAGAGTGACGTGAAAGCCTTTGCGTTTCAGTGTATCCATATGTATATATATATAGATAGATGGAGTCTAGCTCTGTCATTCATATATATACATGAGAGAGAGAGAGAGAAACATGGAGTCTAACTCTGTCACCAGGCTGGAGTGCAGTGGCATGATCTCGGCTCACTGCAACCTCCACCTTCTGGGTTCAAGCAATTGTCCTGCCTCAGCCTCCCAAGTATGTGGGACTACAGGTGCACACCACCACACCCAGCTGATTTTTATATTTTTAGTAGAGATGGGGCTTCACCATGTTGGCCAGGTTGGTCTCAATCTCTTGACCTCTTGATCCACCCACCTCAGCCTCCAAATGGGCTGAGCCCAGACCCATATTTTGAGTTTAGTACAGATGCTCTGTTCTCAGGAATTCTTTTGGGCTTTAATATTCCAGACATTTTCCTTATATTTCTCTTTAAGTTTCTATAGAATTAGAATATTCATAGCACCTAGTTCAGAAGGTGTGTGAACTTCTGAACTATGAGAATGGTGTGTCGTAAAATTCACCATTGGCTTACACATATGCTTACACTCTTGGTATATTTTATGACGTGCCAGTCTCACAGCAATGATTAAAACAATACCTAGCACATAAGACTCAAAAATGATAGTTGTTATCATCAACCTTCCCAATGTGGTCACCTTGCTCTCTCATCAGTTGTTATGTATTAGTAGTGTATTTGACAGTTGTTACATAGTTACCATTATGTAGCATGCCAAATATTTAATAAACCATTCACTAATGTTCAAAAGCTAGAATGGAGCTATGTGTTCATCTTTATTCAGAAAACAATGTACTGAGGACATTTCTGCCCAATGTAGAAAATTTCAAGCCAGACCACAGTTTTTTAAAAAGCTCTCTCTATTGCCCTAATTTCCAACTGTGTTTTAATATTTCCCCAGTATCTTAAACTGAGTTAAAAACCAGGAAGCTTTTCTTCACTGGATTAAAAATATAAAACAAATAAATAAGTTACAAAACAAATAAGCAAGCTACAAAACAGATTCTGGGCAATTTTTCTTCTGTCTTCTTCCTTTCTTTCCATCTTCCAGCTCTTTAATATTTATTTTCATATTCCTGTTTCTGAAATCCCTTCACTTTGTTAACTTCTTGATTTCTATAGTCTGCTAGATAAATGTGATTCTTGTTTTTCTCAGGAAAGAGGAACTAATTTTGAATTGAAGGTGTGATAAAACTCTCAGTCACTCCCATGTGTACCTGTACAACAGAGACAAACCAGAACTGTGGAAAAAGTAAAACTAGTTGCATTAGCTGCAAACTTGTTATTGGAAGGAGTAAACCTCTGTACATATCAACCAATATTAAAAAAACCTTGATTATAAACAACTTGATTAAACCATAGGAAATGGAGTATAAGGCCTTTAAAAAAGAAAGCAACATCCAAGCAGAGACTGGAATGGAAGGTGATGATGGTAGGCCAGAAAGAGTCAGCAGAATTTGAAAAATCCAAAAAAGAATTTTTTTTAGGATGTTCAATGGTTTCACGAAAAGGAACTGGAAATTGTATTAGAAATGAGAAATTGTATTTAAATAGTCTAACATTTTTATTATGTAGACTACTACAAATATAGCTTGGGTTCAAAATTTCTCAATTTTTGCTTTGCTTTGCTTTCATTAAGTCACCTATAATGGACATATATTAGTAAGTAGACTCAAAAACTCCAAATTTAATATGCTTTACATAGAACATTTTTTACTATTTACAAGTTACCGCATAGGAACGTTAATACTTGATGATGAGAAATAAGACAGATTTACATGTTACTCAGCTCATTCACTTAATAATTAATTTTATTTACCCACCATTCAAGGGAAATTCCATTTTGAAACTTTCTTTGCTAATTTGAGAAGAGGTTTCTTGTGCATAACAAAGCTCTATTTTATATGATCTATAGAAATATTTGTAATTACAATATTATTAGAATCAATCTTCTGCCATCCATAAGTTACAGTATGAAATTCATTTTAGAGAATTTTTACCAACATGGATTTCTTTCCTACCTGTTTTTTATCTTAAAGTTAAAAATCCTTGTTATTAACCTATTTTTCTCTTTTCTTTTCATGGTTGTCCCAAATTTTTTAAAATGATAACTAATAGATGAGCAGATTGCTGGACAATTTTAAAAACCTAAATTAAAGTCACAAGAACAGAATTTCTTTCAGAACCCACTAACTAATTAATTGTAAAACTTTAGAAAAACCCTTTAACCTGTGGGTGAGTTTACCTATATTTTCTGAGATATTTTCTAAATTAAAATACTTTGTCATTTACTCTCCTCTGAGCTGACATTGTGAGACATGTTTTCAAAGATGTTTCTTATGATGAAAACATGACAAACATGATAATGATATTATAAATCTTTTCATTTCCGCCACAGTTTTCAAGAAAAAGATATGGCAGACAACGAGTTGGTAGATATTCTTAAAAATTGTTATTGAAATTTACAGTAGAGGCAATCAGGTAATAACCCTGTGTTTTCTGAACTAAAAACTCAACCTTTTCTCACTCAGTGGACTCTAAACTAGAGAGAAGTACAACTTTTGCTGAAGAGATAAAAAACCTGTAATAATAATGAAATCTGCATCACACCACTACAATTTCTACCAATATGATTATGTCAGATGTGACAAATTTTGAAAAGGTCTGTACAACTATCACCTATGCACCTCTACACTCCAGACAATTCTAAAGAAAGAAGGAAGAGAGGCTGTGATTTTTTTGTGAGGGTGGGGGAAAATATAATGGTACTAATACTTTACTACAAGGCAGAGGTAGCTATTAGGTTGGTACAAAAGTAATTGCGGTATTGCCATTAAAAGCAATGGCAAAAACCACAATTACTTTTGCACCAACCTAATCATAGGCACTTGTGAATTATGTAAAGATTATATGTAAGACCAATTATTTGATATGTGAGATAAACACGATACTCTTGAGCAATTTATGGGCTATATATAATTTGTACAAACACGGTGGACATATTCTCATTAGGATAATGGTACTTTATAGTGTCCAAAAAATAAATCATACGTTATGGTAATATGATCTCATGAAACCCTAAGGTGATCTGAATCCTGGAGTAGAATTGTGAAATCAAAGCTCTATTTTTAGTTATTTTTTGACTGTACACATGTAGTGGTGGGCAGGCCATCAATCTCTGGGAACCTGTGTTCCCTCCTGGACAATGCCTATCTTAATCTTACAAAATAAAGGAATAAAGTATGCTTAAGCATATTAAATAACTTCAGAAATTCTTGTGTGGCTTTTTGTTTCAAATCTAAATATACTTCTATTTTCAGTAACTGAGTTTTTCTCTAATATTATTTTTTGAATAAACTTAAAAAAAAATCCCAGAATTTCCTGGTTTTTAAAAAGCGTATTGTTGTTTCTTTATTTCCTCTAAGTTGATATGTCAAAAGTTTAAATGGGGAATGTGATGGCCAGTTTTATGTGTTAACTTGACTAATCATCAGATGCCATATATCTGGTTAGACATAATTTCTTAGTGTGTCTGTAAGGATGTTTTAGGAAGAGATTGGCAATTCACTTCGTGGACTGAGTAAATCAGATGGCCCTCCCCAGTGTGCATAGACAGGCATCATCCAAACCTTTGAGGGACTGAGTAGAACAAAATGGCAGGGGAAAGTTGAATTCACAGTCAGCAATGACTGCTAAGCTGGGACATCCATCTTCTTCTATTTGTGATCCTGGTTCTCAGGACTTTAGAATCAGAATGGAATCTATACCACTGTATCTCTGGCTGTAAGGCTCTCAGGTCTTTCAAATACATTACTGGCTTTCCTGGGTATCCAGCTTGTAGATGGCAGATTACTGAACTTCTTAGCCTCTACATGGTGTAAACCACTTCCTTTATTAAGTCTTATTTTTAATTTCATTTATGTATACAAATCAGCGGGCATACCTTGTGTTTTTTTTTAAATTCCTCTTTATTGTTCTTCAAAGATATTGAGGTTTTTACAAATTGAAAGATTGTGGCAACCCTGGGTTAGGGAAGTCAGCACCATTTTTCCAACAGCTTGTGATCACACTGTGTCTCTCTGTTATAATTAGGTGATTCTTACAATATTTCAAACTCTTTCATTATTATTATAACTGTTATGGTGATATGTGATTCGTGATCTTTGATGGTACTATTGTCACTGTTTTGGGCTGCCATAAGCCATGCTCATATAAGATGGTAAAATTAATCCATAAATGTTGTGTGTGTTCTATCTGCTCCACCAACCAGCTGTTTTCAGTCATGCTCCCTTTCCTCAGGCCTCCCTATTCCCTGAAATTAGGCTAATAGCCCTACAATGGCCTCTAAGTGTTCAAGTGAAAGGAAGAGTGGCACGTCACTCACTTTTCATCAAAAGCTAGAAATGATTAAACTTAGTGAAGAAGGCATGTCAAAAGCTTTAGATATGCTGAAAACTATGTCTCTTGCCCAAAACAGCCAAGTTGTGAATGAAAAGAAAAAGTTCTTGAAATAAATTCAGAGTGCTGCTCCAGCAAACACATGAATGGTAAGAAAGCAAAACAGCCTTATGCTGATATGGAGAAAGTTTTGGTAGCTTAGATAGATTAGTCCAGCCACAATGTTCCCTTAAATCAAAGCCTAATCCAGAGCAATGCTCTATTTCTCTTCAATTCTATGAAGGCTGAGAGAGGTGAGGAAGCTGGAGAAGAAAAGTTTGAAGTCAGCAAACCTTATAATATTTACAAAATAAGACATGTCCCTAAAATAAAAGTACAAAATGAAGTAACAAGTGAGGCTATAGAAGCTGCGGCAAGTTATCCAGAAGATCTAAGATAGTTGATAAAGGTGGCTACATTAAACAACAGATTTTTCAATGTAGATAAAACAGCCTTCTACTGAAAGCAGAAGCCATCTAGGACTTTCATAGCTAGAGCAGAGAGGTCAATGCCTGGCTTCAAAGCATCAAAGGGCAGACCAACTCTCTTGTTAGAGGCACATGCAGCTGTTGACTTCAAGTTTAAGCCAGTGCTTATGTACCATTCTAAAAATCATGGGCACTTTCAGAGTTACGTTGACTCTACTCTGCCTTTGTTCTATAAATGGAACAATAAAGCCTGGTCATCCAGTATATCTCTTTACTACATGGTTTATGGGATATTTTAAACTCACTGTTGAGACCTACTGCTCAGAACAAAAGATTTATTTCAAAATATTACTGCTCATTAATAATGCATCCAGTCACTCCAAAGCTCTGGTAGAGACAGATGTACAATAAGATTAATGTTGTTTTAATGTCTGCTAACAAAAACTATTCTTTGGCCCATGGCTCAAGAAATAATTTTGACTTTCAAGTTTTATAATTTTTAAAATAAATTTTGTAAAGCTATAGCTGCCATAGTTACTGATTCCTCTGATGAATCTGGGCAAAGAAAATTGACCACCTCCCAGAAAGAATTCAACATTCTAGATGTCACTAAGAACATTTGTGATTTATGGAAGGAAGTCAAAATATCAACATTAACAGGACTTTAGAAGTGGATTCCAAAATGTGTGAATAACTTTGAGACATTAAAGACTTCAGTGGAGGCAGTCACTGCAAATGAGGTGGAAATAGTGAGAGAATTCAAATTATAAGTGGAGCATCATGATGTCATTGAATTGCCACAATCTCATGATAAAACTTGAACAGATGAAGAGTTGCTTCTTATGGATATACAAACGAAGTGGTTTCTTGAGACAGAATCCACTTCTGGTGAAGATGCTATATACATTGTTGAAATGACAAGCAAGTATTTTAAATATTAAATAAACTTGGCTGATAAAACAGTGGCTGGGCTCAAGAGGACTGACTCCAATTTTGAAAGAAATTTCTACTGTGGGTAAAATTCTATCAAACAGCATGGTATACTACACAAAATCTTTCCTAAAAGGAAGAACCAATCCATGCAACAAACTTTGTTTTCTTTTCTTTTTTTTTTTTTTTTTTTTTTGAAGAACATGCCACAGCCTCTCCAACATTCAGCTATCACCACCCTGATCAGTTAGCAGCCATCAACATTCAGGCAAGACCTTCCATTAGCAAAAAGAATACCTCTCACCAAAGACTTAGGTCGTGTTAATATTTTTTAGCAATAAAATATTTTTAATTAAGGTAAGTACGTCGGTTGTTTTAGACATAATGGTATTACTCATTTAACAGTCTACAGTAGAGCATAAAAATATCTTTTATATATACTGAGAAACAAACAAAAAGAATGTGTGACTTGTTTTATTGCAGTGGTCTGCAACTGGACCTGCAGTATATTTGAAGTGTGCCTGTATATTTATGTCTGTATATAGATATATAGATGATTGATAGATTAGATAGATAGATAGATAGATAGATAGATAGAGATATTGATAGATACGTTCTGTTTCTCTGGAGAACCGAGAGTCCTGACTATCACAGGAGATGTAAAAAACATGAGGTTGGCTGTGGTGGCTCACGCCTGTAATTCTAGCACTTTGGGATGCCGAGGCAGGTGGATAATTTTGAGGTCAGGAGTTTGAGACCAACCTGGCCCACATGGTGAAATCCCACCTTTATTAAAAATACAAAAATTAGTTGGCAGTGGTGGCACACACCTGTAATCCCAGCTACTCAGGAGGATGAGGCAGGAGAATCGCTTGAGCCTTGGAGGTGGAGTTTGCAGTGAGCCGAGGTCATGAAACTGCACACTCCAACTGGGGTGACAGAGTAAGAATCTGTCAAAAACAAAAACAAAAACAAAAACAAAAACAAAACAAAACATGAAGTCTCTTCCAAACACCATATATACAACATGGTCAGGTATGAAGGAGCTATCCACGGCTCCCAAGACCAAGGTATAACCAGTTCTTAAGTTTGTGAGGAGGTAAATAGACATTAATGATATTCTTCATGGACTTATGAGGAAATTTTTTTTTTTGGAGCTTTACATTTGGACTACTGTGATTCTTTATCCCACTTAATTAGATCCAGGCATCCACCAGGAGAGATTTCAATATTCTTCATCTGTTCATAGGCCTCCCTCATGTCTTCCCTAAGCCTCACTCCTGCATTGATAGACAGTTTTTACGTAGATTACAGATATTTTTTTTCTAGAAATTCTCTTAGTACAAACTTAAATGGTAGCACTTTTTGTCTCACCATCTTAGGCGATTTACAGAATGGAATTTGTGTTATTGATAATTTAAATAACTCTGCTTTACATTTGGTAAACATACTAATAGCATTAGCTTATAAATAGCATTTTACAGCCTTCTGAATGAGCAGTAAATTCTTTTAAAATATTGTGGGGAGAAAAGCATGTAACATTGAGAGTTATCCTCAGAATCCTAAGATCTAAAATTACACAGCAGAAAGAAGTATGAGATATTAGGATTATCTTACTATTTTTGCAAGTTTTTAATTATAATGATTATAATTCATATACATCATTATATATACTATTTAGTTCTAGTGTCACTAATGAAATATATTTTATCACCTACCTCTAAAGATACTATGAACATTACCCTATTTTTTTCCAAAAAATAAGTTGAATATTTTCCGAGATATTGATTTTGATAACAGTGATTCAAATTTGGAAAAAGTAATTATGGTTACATAATTTTAAAATACTTTTATCAGTATCTCCTAACTTTCCAATAAATAACTTCAATAATAACATATTTGAATTTTAGGCAACATATTATATAAGATAATGGTATTGAAATGTGGAGATAATTATTGGGCTTTACAACTGAAGCCACATCAAGTATAATGTTAGCATGAGAAAAACAGAGAGAGAAAGAGAATTGTTGGGATCTATAATATATGCTACATTAATTGGAATAGTAGTATGAGACAGACTGAACATGAGAGAGAGTAAGAGAGAGTAGCTTTAAGTGAAAAAATCATTCCCAATAAAATAAATTATTTGGATAACAGTAAAAGAAGTTGAGGTCAGGTTAATAGAATTAAAATACTTATTGTGAGTTAAATTTTTAAAAATCACAATGTTCCCTACATTCTAATATTAAGGGCATAACAAAATTTATCTCTTTATTGTACTGTGTACATTTCATTTTTATTTTCCAATAGTACAAATTTTAATCAAGTGTTCTATTTTTTACTGTTAAAAGTACTATAAATATGAGCCGGGTTAAATATTACATTTTCAATAGTTTTTTTATTATACACATAGACACATGCATTGTAATAGACTGTTGAGAAAATTAGGATTTATCTTTAGCCTTTGGTTTCATTTTTCTCTAAATCATTGCAATGTAAAGGATATATCAAGTTTTCTTTGAAATAATTGGGTTGTAACCAAGTGTAATTGGGTTGAAACCAAGTGAAAGCACACACCGAATATTAAATTTATATTTAACAAAAATTTTTAAGAGAAAATGTTTATTTTTGCTGTAAATAATTTAATTTTTTACTTTTTTAACTTCTCATTTAGAAAACCAACCAGAGCATCAAAACTATTTTTTTAAAAGATAAAAACTACATTTTCATCTAAATGAGGAGACAGAAAATCTTGCAAATTCCTTATCTGTTCTAAATGTGGCCAAAGGGCTAAGCCAGCTAGCAAGCCCACATGGGAAGAAGACTTGGGAGGAAAATCTTCTTGTGGTTGTATATTTCAAGTACCTCTAGCATCTATCCACTCCCAGAATAAAAAAAGTTCCATCCTGATAATAATCTGTAGTAAGTATAATATTATCACTGTAAATTGAGAAGAAAGAAGGCACAGAAGTGTGTGGGAATACCCAGAGGTGACTGATCTCATAAAGTCCCTGCCAAATACAACTTCTAAAAGTGACTGCTTCACATTTAAAGAAAAGGACTCTGTCTCTTGGAAACAGTGGACTGTACAGTAATGAAAGAAAACACAGTCCATTAGTAGAAGTCCTTATGAAATAGATTAGGTTCTGAGGGTCACAGGAAGAGTGGCCACACACTGGTGGCATGAATTAAGAAAACAGTCCACCACTATAATAACAGAGGTGGGAGACCTTAAAATGTGAAACCTCACAAGCTACTCCCTTTCTCCAGTCCACAAAAACCTCTTGCTATTAGTCAGAAAAATTAATTCATTCCAACACAAATGCCAGAAAAGGAATACTCAAAGATTCATAGAATTAGACTTGAATATTAAAATGATCAACATACCATTTATAATAATAATAAAATATCACCAGAAAAATGTTTTAACAATGATTTTTTAGAAAATGATAACCCAATTCCAATATAAATTTAAAAAAAAGCAATTAGATTTATGAAGTAATACCAAAGTAGATACACAGGAATTCAAGTAATAGTCAAATAATAAGTGCAACATGATGAGTAAAGTACAATGAAATGTAAAATGGGTTCTGAAAAATCTTTATAATTTTTTAAAATTATGAATAAATAAGAAAGACTGAAGAAAATAGACATGACACAAAACATAATGAGAACATAGAGAATAGAAAAATGTGAATACAATGATACAAATATAAAGAAAGAAAAAACAGTATATTAAAGTGAAAAATTATAGATATGAATTATAGGAAAAGGCAAACCTAAAATATGCATAATTGGGGTTGGCAGGGAAAACCTGAAAAAAACAATTCAAAATATAATTGAAGAAAACTTTTCTGAAATTAAGCAAACATGGTTCTTTACCTGTAATTCAAAACCCAGAATGTATAGGATAAGCTATCATCACATTGCCCCAGGAGAAAAGAAATGAGGTAAAGGGAAGATCTGTTATTGCTGGGGATGAGTATAATAATTATAATAATGTATTTATCTCTGCCCCACAAATGTCATGTTTATTTTCAGAATAATATGAATAATGGTATACATTAAAATCTTATCAACTTTTTGCAATCACCTTACATTCATCCTGTTAGTAAAAGAGGGATTACCACCCTAGTTCATGAGGATGTCCAAATGCATGACATAAGACACTGGACAGATGAGGTCAACAGAAGTTTAAAATCAGATGTATTCACAACCTGGGAGAGAAGGAATATCACATGCCAGGCAGGGCCATTTAAATGTTCACTCAGGATCAGAGTGAGCTATCAGAGACTTTTGGAGGCAGGCTTTATAGTACCAATAGGATAGAATATCCCCTCTGCTTATATAGGATTTAAAAAATTCCATGGGCTGGCAGGGAACTTAAATGTGCTACTCACTGATAAACATATCGTCGAATATTATTTAGAAATGAGCTTTAAGGCTTGAAAGACATGGAGAAAATGTAAAGCATATTGCTAAGTTAATGAAGCCAGTTTGAAAATGCTACATACTCTATAATTCCAACTAAAAGACGTTTTAGAAATGAACTAATATCAAAGAAGAACTAAATAAATGGAACGATATGTCATGTCCATAAATAAGTAGACTCATATATGTTAAGACATCAGTGCTTCCCAAGATCTTGATCTGTAGTTTCAATACAATCCTGATTAAACTCCCAGCAAATTATTTTGTGGATGTAGACAGACTGATCCTAAAATTTATGTGAAGAGGTAAAATATCCAGGATAGCCAACTCAATATTGAAGGAAAAGAACAAAGTGAGTAGACTGACACTATATGATTTTGAGACTTATAAGTCTTCTGTAATCAAGGCAGTGTGGTATTAGCAAAATAATAGACTAATAAACCAGTGGAACAGAGTAGAGAGCTTAGAAATATACCCACTTATAGTCAAGTGATCTTTGATAAAAGAGCAAAGGAAATATGATGGAACAAAGATAATATTTCAACAAATGATGCGGGGCAACTGGACATTCACATGCAAAAAAATGAGTATAAATACAGACCTTACACTCTTCAAAAATATTTACTTAAAATGGCTCATAGAACTAAATGTAACATACAAAAATCTACAACTCCTAGAAGACACCATAGGAAAAAAACCCTTATTATCTTGGGTATGACAATGACTTTTACAGAGAACTTCAAGGGCACTATTCACTAAAAAGAAATAAGATGGATTTCATTAAAATTAAAAACTTCTCCTCTTCAAAAGGCACTGTCAAGAGAATGAGAAGACAAACGCCATAGACTTGGGGAAAATATTTGCAAAAGACAACTGCAAAATGTTTTAAAAATACTCTTTTATATAGCTTTTACATATTATTGCTTTATTTGTCCTGTATCTGTTGACTTGAAACATTTAAAGAAAATTAGTCATTTTTTTTAAAAAATTGCAATTCACAAAAATATATATTAAGAAATGGAAAGAGATACCATGTGCTTGGAGAGATTCAGCATGATAAACATATTTATACTCCCTAGATATTATATGCATTTAAATATCCTTTTGAATCTCTTATATTTATTGATTTAAAATATTAATTTTAGATTAAATAGATGCCCAGTGTAATAATTTTAAATAAATTTGAGAAGTGAAAAATAAAAAGAGAAAGTATTTATTCCTTGCTCCTACCCAACTGTGCCCTATATGGCTAATTTAATACTTTGGTGTATATAGTTATTGACATTTCCCTCTTTTTTGTTTTTAGTGTTTTCTGTGTTCCATGGAGACTAAAATACACTCATTTTTATTTTACATGGAAATTACATCATTATATGAACTTGTTTGTCAAAGCAGTTCTAAGTTATTTTCTGCATCTTTATCCTCAGCAATATAGGAGGGTTTATGACATAAATTCATTTTAAAGCCAGGAATTGCTTGTAGGCCGGTTAAATACAGGAAAGTGCTTCTCCTCTTTATTAAGTGATCCAGTGATTAAGTTATAAAAAATAACTTTTAATCCAAAGATACCACTGGATTTGTTTACTTTATTTTTAAAACCTGATTGATTATACAGAATAGTAGTACAAGTTTTCTGGAGAACGTGGTTAAGAACACAGGCTCTGGAATCAATTCCCATTTATTCCAAACCTGATTCTGTCATTTAGTAAATGTATGACCCTGTACATGGTAAATGACCTTCCAATGCTTCAGTTCCTCCAACTAGAAGATAGGAATAACTAGAGTTTCTACATCTAGGGTTGTTGAAAATAGTGACAGTATTTGGTTAGTATTTAAAACACTGAAATACTGCTAGCTAGTTTTAGAGAAACGCCCCTTTTTAAAAAAGTTTACATTTTTTCAGGTGTATAGCATACTGATGCATATATCTGTATTTATGCAAACACACATATATATGTAGTCAGTGTAGATAGTGAATACTTTGGTGGAAGTCAAATTGACAGAAATCAAACTATAGATAATAAAATACTAAATTAACCTAAGTGGAAATATAAATGGAATGTAGAAAAATTCAGATTTTCCAGAAATAAATTACCATATTTCAAATAGTGCCGATTTATATACCTTGAGATTTGAAAATTATATTTTTTGTTAATTTTTAAAGAAATATATTTAAGAGGACTAAGGCCAGACATTAGTCTGAAAAATGTTGGCAGTGAATAGAGGGTGGATAGCCTACACAATGGGTATGTTTGCCAACACTCTGATATGCTCTATACATAACTTCAATTAATATTTTTTTCTTTTATATGAGCTGGTCCTTTTAAAAACCTATAATTATGTTTTAGATAAGTTGTAGAATGGTTAAGTTTGCAGTTCCTTATTACAATTTTGTGCTTGAATAAACTTCCCTGTATGTATTCATCTAAACAATTGAATACTGAGAGAGTTTTTGGAAAACTCTTGGAGAGAGTTCTTGGAAAGATGATTTATGTCACTACTAATTCGTGCAACAATACAAAAGCAACTTTGAAACTATATACAAGATGCCATAAAAGATATTTCTAGAAACATGAAAATGGACTTGTGTTCATTTTGAATCTTTAGAATGAATATTTCATGTCAACAATCAGATTGTTTGTTCTATGAGGCAGCTCTTGCTACTAGAAATTTTTAATTAGAGCCCAAATACCTAATTTTTGAAGATTCCTCAAGCTTTTATCTTTAAAAAAATTAAATCAAGATTTTTCAACAAATAAGAGAGTAGATTTCTTTCTAAACTGTATATGTACTCACTGGGAAATGTTTATTAAATTATGGCTTTATGCATAAATTCTCCAATAATAGGTATTATTTACATTTAAAAGTATGTTTAAAATAGAAACATAATTCCACTGTAAGAAAAATTCCAACTTCTCAGCCAACATTGGAAAAATAGGACATTACATTTTCTAATTTTTGAGAAAGCCCCATTTTTCAACTTAAACCTTGTTGTGATTATGCTTGCTATTGCTCAACCTAACCATATGCCCTGTTTTAATTTAATGTAAGTATCTTCCAAATGATTATAGCAAATATTAATAATGGTGGACACATTTAAATAGCAGGTGAAAGAATCAGAGAAGTTGAAGTTTATTCAATGTAAATTATAAACCCTAGACAACCAAGATAAAATGACATTTGAAGACAAAAGAGCAAAGCATCAGACCTGTGGGAAGACATAAAGTGCACTAACATAGTCCGAGAAGAGAAGAGAGGAAGAAAGGAAAGAAATAATATCTTAGAAAACATAATGACTGAAATAAATTTGATTGAAAAAATCTACAAATTTAAAAAGCTTACTAAATCTCAAATAAGATGAACATGAAAAAGATCCACTTCTAAACAAATAATTGTCAAATTACCAAAATACAAACCCAAAGACATCTCTTAATAGCAACACAACAAAATGACATCATATTCAAGGGAACAACTATACAATCTACAGCTGACTCTATACAATTTATAGTGGATGTCTCATCTTAAACAAATGAAGCCAGAAGCCAATCAAATTGTACATTGTATATGGTGAAAGAAAATAACTATTATCAAAGAGTTCCATCTTAGCCAAAAAACGTTTTAGAAACACAAGCAAAGTAAATACATATAGAGAATTTAAAAATACAATAACCTCGAGAGAATTTGTTTCTAGAAGGAATTTTTTAGCCAAAAAATTCCTTCAGGCTAAAAGAAAGTGTCACTAGACTGTAACTCAAATCCGTAGAAAAAAATAAACAGCAAAGGCAATGGTAAGATATTGGAAAACATTTGAAAACCCCCTAAATACTTTCTCTTTCAGAAGCTTGCTATATTTTATCAAAAAAATATTAACCTGAAGTAGTTTATGATAGTCACTTGTAATTTCTTGATAAACTAAGAAAATAACTCAGAAGTACACATAAAATACATCAACAGAAGACTTTAAATGACACACCAGAAATATTTATTTACCAAAAGATAAGACAGTAAAGGTTCAACAGAGGGAACAAAATAAATATAATCCATATAGAAAACAAAAAAATGCCAGACATAAATAGAGTACAAAGATGGTTTTATTGAATAAGAATAGACTAAAATTCCCATAAAACTTCAGATATTGTCAGATAAGATAAAATATGAGATCCAAATATATTTCTAAATATGTTATTTTTTAAAACGGAAAAATGTATTATGAAAAATATGGTAAATAAGCAGGAACGTTTATATTAAATAATCATACAAAATAGATATCAAGACAATAAATATTACCATAGAATAAAGGAGTATTTTATAATAATAAAAGGGTTAATACCCGTAGAAGGTATGACAACTATAACCATATATTCACCTAAAAATAAAATTTCACATTACATAAATTGAAAACTGACATATTTGAAAAAATAGATAACTTAGTGATTATGATTTGTGATGACAATAACTCACTCTTGAGACTTGACAGAATAACTAGACAAAAATATCCATAAACATATTCAAGACTGAAGTAAAACTATCAACTCACTTGAATCAACTGATACAAAAATATATAATTGGTATATATATATATATGAATATGTATTTACATATATTTATATATATTTACATATATTTATATGTATAAATACATATGTGTGTGTGTATATATATATATAGAGAGAGAGAGAGAGAGAACACTTAGTCTAACAACAGAAATAAATATTGTTTAGGCCTGTCACCGTGGTTTATGCCTGTAATCCCAGCACTTTGGGAGGTCAAGGTGGGCAGAACACAAGGTCAGGAGTTCGAGACCAGCCTGACCAATATGGTGAAACCCCATCTCTACTAAAAATACAAAAATTAGCCAGGCATGGTGGCAGATGCCTGTAGTCCCAGCTACTTGGGAAGCTGAGGCAAGAGAATTGCTTGAACCTGGGAGGCCGAGGTTGCAGTGAGCCGAGATTGAGCCACTGCACTCCAGCCTGGGACACAGAGTGAGACTCTGTCTCAAAAAAAAAAAAAAAAAGAAAAGAAAAGAAAGAAATATTCTTTTATTCTTTGCAAACACACATTGGACATTCTTTACTACAGAACATAAAAGAGGCCCTATAACAAGTCTCGACAAATTTATAAATACTGAAATATTCAAAGTTTGTTTTCTGAACCAATAAAGTTAACTTAAAATTATCAGCACAAAGATATTAAGAGAAATTTCCAGATATTTAGAAATTAAACTGTACAATACGTAATAGTCAAAAACAATTTACAAGGGAAGTTAGAAAATGTTTTAAACTAGATGAAAACTAGCACACAACTATCAAAATTTATGTGATGCAACTAAAACAATGTTTAAAGTGAAATTATTAGTTTCAAATGCCTATATTATAAAAAATACATGAAATAACAAGCGAGGTTTCATCCTAAAAACTAGAAAAGAAGAACAAATTAAGCAAAAATGAAGCTGAAAAAATAAATAATAAATGTCGGAGGGGAAATAAATATAAGTAAAAGAGAGAAGCAACTGGAAAACTCAATGAAACCAAAATTCATTCATAGAAAGAATCAAATAATTGATCAACTTTTAGCTAGGTTGACAAAAAGAGAAGCAAGAGAAGAAAAGAAGCAAATAAGAGAGGAAAGGCAAATAGAGTAATTAAGAATTAAAGAGATGCTATAATAAAGGAATATTGTAAATAAATGTATCCTATGTAATTAGACAACTTACACTGAGTCAGCATACTAATAATAAAACACTTCTTGCCAAAATTCTTTCTAGAAAATATGAAAAATCTGAATATACTTACAATAAGTAAATAAATTGGTTTAGTAATTAAAAACTTCCCCAGGCCCGGATGCCTTTACTGGCTGAATTCTATCAAGTATTTAAAGAGCAAAAATAGTGATTATACAGAATACTTTTACAGAAAATATAAGGAGAAAATATTTACCAGTTCATCTTTGAGGCTATTATTAATATTTTACTAAAGACAGACAGAGTCACAACACAAGAAAACTAGACAAATATATTTTATAAGGATAAAATTGAAAGTCCTTAACTAAATTCAGAAAAAAAAATCCAGAAACAAAAAAAATTACACACTGTCTTTCTGAACTTTCTATTCTATTTCATTGGCTCATGTGTGTCCTCATATATCACTCCCACAGTGTCTTAATTACCGCACAGTTATAGTAAATTTTGAAATTGACGATCATTAAGTCCTCCAACTTCTTTTTCTTATTTTTAAACTTTCTAGGTGTATTAGTCCATTTTCATGCTGCTGATAAAGACATACCTGAGACTGGGGAAAAAAGGAGGTTTAATTTGACTTGCAGTTCCACATGGCTGGGGAGGTCTCATAATTATGGCGGAGGATGAAAGGCACTTCTTAAATGGTGACAGCAAGAGAGAATGAGGAAGAAGCAAAAGTGGAAATCACTGATAAACTCATCAGATCTCATGAGACTTACTCTATCACGAGAATATCTTGGGAAAGACTGGCCCCCATGAATCAATTACCTCCCACTGAGTCCCTCCCACTACATGTGGGAATTCTGGGAGATACAATTCAAGTTGAGATTTGGGTGGGAACACAGCCAAACCATATCACTATGGGTATTTTAATTCCTTTACATGTCTGAGTAAATTTCAGCATCAGTTTGTAAATTACTATGATTCTTTACATTCTTTGGTTATTTATAGGTACTGTTTTGAATGTATTTTTCTATTTGGGTTAAATTGCCATTTTAATAAAATTGAGTCATTAAAGTCAGGAAATTGCCATGACTATCCATTTATTTAGATGACCTTCAGTTTATTTGTGTAATGCCTTCTGATTTTCATTGTGCAGGTCTTACACTTCTTTGTTAATTTCATTTTAAACTTTTTTCTTTTTGATGCAACTTTAAAAGTGTTTCATAATTAATTTTTGTATAGCTCATTGCTAGTATATAGACTAAAAATTCATCTGTATGTATTGATTTTATATCTTGCCTATTTTCTGAACTCAAATTATTACTTTCAGTATTTTTTGTAGATTTCTTAGGATTTGCTACATATAGGACTATGGTGTCTGCAAATAAAAGAATATTACTTCATCTTTTTAATCTGATTACTTTTATTTATATTTACTTACCTTACTGCACTGGATATAACTTTCAGTTCTACTTTGAGCAGAAGTGCTTAGAGCTATTATTCTTGTCTTATTCCCAATCTTAGAGGATAGCTTTTAGTCTTTTACCATAAAGTATAATTTTAATTGTAAGTTTTTATAGATGTCTTTTGGGAAAATTCCTAGCACAAGATAATCTCTTTGGCAAAGCAGATCCCAAAATAAAGATGTCCATGTCCAACAATCTCAAGGAAAATGTAGTTATCAGTAACTTTGTAATTTTTGCTTTCATGAAGAGATAGTATCTACCCAAAATATCAGAGAGAGAAAAACAGTACCTGTTCTTTAATGCTATCTCCTAAAACCATTTCTCACAATGTTCCAGATTTAAGTGGATATAGAAATTGAACTGTTTTTGCTTAGATTGTTTTCTCTCCCAATGGACATTGGGCTAAATAGATTGCAGATTTAGGAAGAGGTTTTTTTCCCCCCTTTTTTCTTAGAAAACAGAATTTCTTTTGTGCAATAAACTGGTGATCACTGCTCATCTCCCATACGACAAATAAATGCATTTTTCTTGTATAGAAGCTATCTTATTTCATATAGGTCAGTGATGAGGTCATATAAACAGTGATGAAATCATCAAACTGAGGAATAAAATCCTCTTGAACTTGTAATTATTTGTATTTTATGAGCAGAACAAGAGAATCAAACAAACAAAAAAACCCCAGAAAGTTGTGGATTTAAATGCCAACATTTAGGTCAACTCAATTAATTTGTGCTTTCAGCTAAGATATTGTATTGCTAATAGAATTTTAAAAACTTAAATTTTATAACAAAATTTCCATGCAAACTTTTTACTACTCATAACAAATTTCTCATAATAATTTTATAAGTTATGAATCATTTTTATGAACATAACATATTTTAAGTTAAAAACTATGCAGAAAAAGTTTTAGTGTATGGTCCTATTTGGTCAATATACTTGGTAAACATAAAATCTCATTGAAGTCAATGATAATTTTATTCTCAGAATTGAGTAGGACACAAGATGAATGAAAGGCTTCTCTTAGGACTGTATGCATACAACACACGAATGCATTTAGCATTTATTAAATTAGCCCAAGGAATAGTGTTGCTGTCATTTGTTTTGATCAAGTAAATATTTTCATATACTTTATATTTTTGTCCACAGCATATTAACCATATTTTCTTAAGAAATTTAATAACATACGGCATTCAGAGCTAATTTAGAGCAAATGCCATGAGGAGAAAACAGCAAGATCCTATCAAGTGCCTAGTTAGCTGTTACTCTGTTGACTTATAATATGTTACATTTAGAAGTGAAACAGTTTGTTGAACATTTTACATAACCATTAGAAAAACTATTCGTGTGTATTATTTAAGAGATGACTTTTTGGTTGTTTACTTTAGGAAAGCCTCAAAATAGGACTTGACTTGTATGCTTTAATCTATTTGCCTTATTTTAGGTTGCAAAGAGAGATTTATCTTGCCGTCTAGTTAGAAGCACTGATGATTATACATTGGATGCATCTCCTCTTGCCATCTTGCCATCTCAAAGACGTTTTCCTGATGTTTTTCCCTGTTTTAATTTGCTCACCAAATATTAAAATTAAAAAACTCTTTACATGCATGATACTACCATCCTATTCACATCATCCATTTTATAAGACATGTCTTAAGAAAGTTTTCAATATCTGATTTCCCTTATATATTATTCCCTTTTTTACTCTTTCAATAAGAATATAGCTCACAATATACTGTCAAAAACATTCTTATACACTTTTCCAACGATTTCTATCCAAATTCAATGGTCAATTAAAACACGTCATTGAGTCATGACTTGACTTCTATCAGATTTTGATATTCTTGAACATACTGTACATAGTACCATTTATTCATTTGATTTCTAGAATAAACTATGATCATTATTTTTCTCTGATCTCCCTGACCACTTAAGCTCCTCTTGGGAGATTCTTTTTCTTTGCAGATCTCTTGATGTTGGTGTAACCCAGAGATTAAACCTTGACTCTCTTTTGGTTTGTGCTCTCTCACTAGTTGATAACATTTGATCCTGGGCTACAAATACCATTTATAATGTACAGATAACATCCAAATTCATATCTCAGCTCTCATCTTGCCCTCATCCCAAACTTAATATATTGAATCACTTTACTTGAATTCTTCATCTAGAGAATACCTCAAAAGATCTTAATTCCTTCTCCCACCTTAAATATGGTCTTCTCTCAGTCCTGTCCACTTATGTCTCCTTTGCACATATTTGATAAAGACACAGTCCTAGAATCACTCAATTTTCTTCTTTTCCTCTTATCCCTAACATGTAATTCCACAAGTTCGTTTTCCATCTACCTTGAAAGTATGTTTCTAAACCACATATTTATTTACTTCTCAACACCTCCTCTCTTACCTTTTAGTTCTAAGATTTTCACATTACTACCTAGAGAAATGTAAGGCCTTCACTAATTGTCTCTATTTCCCCTCTTATTCTTCTACAGTTTGTTCTTAACTGAGTAATTGAAGATACAGAAAAAAAAAATTCTTCAGCTCTTCTTGATCTAGTACCATATGTTCTTGGTTACTGAGTAAGAATCCGTTCTGTGCTCCAGTTTTCAGATATCTGCAGTACATAGATTGGCCAGGAATTGAATTCTGGTTATATTTACCTCTTTTGAAATAGTAATTTTAAAAGCCCAAATTTATCTTGTTTTATAAAAAAAGATCGTTCTGATTTACTTATACCATCTAATTTCCATACTCTTAAACATTTCTTCAAAGATATTCCTTGTCAATCTTACATTTGTTTTACTGGTACTTTACTTTCACCTCTACATTATAGCAAATTAAAAAAAGTAAGAAATAACTAATTTTATAAATATTAATCTTCACATATAATTTTTAATATAGAACCATATGGCTGCAGTTTTTAAGCTATTTTAAAAAAGATTTTGCACAGGATATTAGAGTGATTTAAACTGATCTGCTTTGTAATCATACTCACTACTTGCAATTAATTTTTTGAAGAAACTAATAGGGCAAAGAAACAATCCATAGATGTCAAGACTTATGGAGATGGGAGACATAGGATAGAATCACTATACATAATTAAAACTTTCTTAAAAAGCACAAATAAGGTCAAGTAACTTGTTCTAGGTCACGTATTCGGTAGTAGATAGATCCTTATTTGCTTGAATCTACCAATTGTATTCTGAGATTGTAACATTAATTGAATAGCTATGTTGGTTCACTGTCATATATCCACTTTTATAGATGAGTAAATTGAGGCTCACAGAGGTCAGCAGCCCAGGATCACAAGAAAACAAGTAGCAGAGTGAAAAATAATCATCTTAGAGGTCTGTAAATATTAACACAGTGTCTTCTATATGATATAGAGTCCAACAAAACAGATGTGGTCTTCTTGTTCCTTTTAAAGTTTAGTGAAAATTAATATTATATTTAATTATATTATTTCAATGAAACTCAATCTCATAAATTATTTTAAGTGGATCAAAGGAGATGAATAAATGCAGGAAATAATTCTCCTTAATCAAGTGTTTTCACTGCCTTTCATTTCTACAGATGGCTCTCCAAGGTGGTTGTTAGGATTGAATTACTGTCATACAGTACAGGCTGAAATATGAATGACAAACTTAATCAGGGAAGGACTGCTTCGACTAGTGATTTTTTCATATTTATCATCAAATGCTTAAACAGTCTTGGGTGTGTTCCTGGTGACAGACTTAATATCTTAGCATCTAAGAATGTCAGAGTTGAAAGTCAATTGCATGATTCACAACTCTTTCACTTGTAAGTGATAAAAACCCAAGTCAACATGGCCTAAGAAAGAATGACTAAAAAAAAAACCACACAAATTATTTGAGGAGAACGGGGGTAACTCTGAGAATTCAGAATGGCACTTCAGGAAATGACCCAGCTCTAGGCCTCTCAGGGACTGGACACTCAGGAAACTCTCTGTATCTCTTCTCCATTTTCATTCTTGATGTCACAGTGGTTTTTTGTTTGTTTTTTCTCATGTTTTATCTTGTGTGCTTCAGCATGGTTTCAGGTAGTTCTTGAGTTATTATCTTAAAAGCCTTTTACCAAAGAGGAAGAAGAATACATTTCCCAGGAACTCAAGAAGGATAATTCCAAAGATGATTTCCAGTTACTAAGGCTGAAGACACAAGCCCAGGAATTCAAGACTGCAGTGAGCTATGATTACACAACTGCACTCCAAGCTGGATGAGAGAGTGTGGCTCTGTCTCAAAAAAAAAAAAGAGACTCAAGGCACAGGTGCTTCTCTGACCATGGTCTCCCAGCATCAGCCACATAATCAACCCTCAATGGTCAGGAAAATAAGGTCTATTAATAGAAACTGGAGGGTAGAGATGCTGGCAGAAAAGGTCCATAGCCACAAGTTACTTCTTGGTTGCCCAACATACATGATTACACACACACATAAGCATACATATTTCCTTTAATTTTCAGAATGCCCCCAACTTTAATGCAACTATCCACATACAATTGTAAATAATTCCAAAAAAGACTGTCCACAATAATATTTAAAACTGTGTTGAACATCATATCAATATCTCATCAATGTGAGTTCCTTTTATTAATTGTAGAAGTGGCCTCTCTTCATTCTGCAACTTATTGCAAAAATATACATATACATATAAACCCCAGAAACTGTAAGCACAGATAAAAGATGAAGGAATTTTATTTTACAGCCTATAGGTCAAAGCAAATGCGTAGCTTTCTAAACAAGATTTTTATAGGTTTCTTCTGTTTGCTTAATGAGTGAGTCTCTTAATATTTCCTTTGTATACTCAGTGGACATATCAGCATGGGGTACTGGGGAGCATTCCCCAAATGGGTATTACATGACTTTAGTGGGCCAAATTACTTTGGTCATGTTTATGATAACCTGAAATTTGCTCTAGTAAAGAACAATCACAAAACTCCCTTTTATTGTTTCAGAGTTTCAGGGGCAACGCAATACCATGAAAACAGTTGTTTATTGATTTATTTGTATCTTAGCCCTGCCTTGGGGATTTCTATTTTAGAAGGCAGTTGAGGTTTCTGCAACCTCAGTTACAGGGTACCGCATGGACTTTGCCATGATGTTTAATTTAAAAAGCTCCTTGCTATTCGCCAGGTTACATTTTCATAAATAATGCTTTTCAGGAAAGACTATTAACAATGTTGTTTTGGGACAATGAGGGAGACATGATTGTCTAGAATATTAATTTGAAGGGCCAGGAAAATTCACCCTTGCCCCATTTCTCCATCTCCTCCTGAGTGCTCATCTTATCTCCTACTGAGTTTTCCACATTCCTGTCATTTTTCACACAACTTCAGTATGAGGCGCATGATTTAGCTTCATGATCTTAAAGATGCACAATTCCCTCAACCTTGCATTCATAAATAACTGGTTACAGCAGAAAGGGCATTTTTAACAAAACCAATTACATGGATGGTTCTCTTTGCTATTTCTTTCTGTTTCCAGATAGGCCAGCTTGGAAAGCAGCTCTTTCGTTGAAACGTCTTACCACAGGTTGCAAGAAGCAGCCATGCATCCAGTATTCTGAGCTTTTATATCAGGTCCCTCACAACAAAGCTCTCCATCAGGGACATGTGTTTGGCGTATTTATTCCCTCAATCCTGAGTTGACATGGCAGAAACAAAGACTATGGGAACCTCTAGGCAAGCCTCTGGACTTCTTTAGGATCAAATGTTTATTTAGTGAGATAAGAAAATATAATTGTCTACACGTGTGATTTTTTTTTTCCAAAAATAAGTACTTCCCTAAAGCTTAAAATTCCCTGCAGCAATCATTTAACTAGTTTCATTGCCATTACATCACAAGAGTGGTTGTTCTCACTGCCCAGAGTGAAGAAATCCTCATTATCTACCTTTCTCTCCCAGTTCGGTCAGTTTCATACTTAAAGGTCACTTATGACATCATTCAAATTTAAACACCAGTTTTTATATTAACTCAAGTTGCAAGTGACACTGACTTTAGATAACAGGAATGGGATTATTGCAAATATGTGGGATAAGTCTTTTATTGGAAGGAAGAGCTGCAGAAATTAGAGACATTTGAGTACAAAATCTGAATTCTAAGACCTGGTACTAGGTCATCAGGTAATCAGAAGTCTGGCTCATTTGAAGAATACAAATGACATAATATTAAAAAGGTGAATTAGTAAAAAATAAAGTTAAAAGGTAGCTGAAGTCCAGATTATAGTATAACCCTTTGAGGGTTATAATGAGTAAAATATAAAGATGCTTATGTGAGAAAGCTGTTGTTTCACCAAACTTACAGTTCCAACAAATTTACAGTCAGTTGTTTATGATCTGTCTCTAGGAGTGTGTCACACATTGTATGGCATCTTGTTAGGGATGACAGGAACAGTGACAACAACAAAATTAAGGGCTTTTCATTTCAGCACTGCGACGCAATTGAAAAGAAAGCTGTTGTGATAAAGTTATAACCAGGTAATGGCAAGGGAGAATAATAAATGCTGGGCTGTGGCCAGACACAGTAGTTCACTCTGTTAATCTTAGTGCTTTGGGAGGCTAAGGCTGCATGATTTCTTGAAGACAGGAGTTCAAGACCAACCTGGGCAATACAACAAGACCCCATCTTTGTAATTTTTTTTTAATTAGCCAGGAGTTATGATCATACAACTGCACAGAGTGAAACTCTCTCTCTAAAAAACAAAAATATAAATAAATGCCAATTTTTTTGCTGTTTCATTAACAGACATTTTATTAATAAATTATTTAACTGTAATTTGAAAAGTAAACATGTAAAATTTAAAATTATGATGAGTTATTACCTTTAATATGTTTTTCTATTTAACTTCTTAGATATTTTATGACTAAAATTTGTATTTATTATCCCCAAACAACTTTGTGGAACTGACCAGTGCCTCAGGCAGGACACTTGGCTGTAGGCTAATATAGAGGCCCAGATAATGCTTTTGATTCCTATGGTGTACATACCTACATAATAGAATTTCCCAACGATTATATGTATATGACCTATAAAGGTTTTTCTGTTTAAACTCTGCACATACCAAACAGTCAGATAGTTTTGTCTTCATAGCTACATACAAGCTAGAAGTTTCTTATATGTGTTGGATTAAAGCCACAGGTAATTCAAGCACTGGGACAAGTAACTCTGGAATAAATGCTTTGTTGCACTTGTAAGTGACAAAGAGTACAAAGGCTTCTGAACAGACAGAAAAATGTTTGTGACACAGAGAAATAATAAATGTTTAGGGCGGTGGATACCCCATTTACCCCAGGGTGATTAGTACACATTGTATGCCTGTATCAAAATATCTCATACACCCAATAAACATATGTACCCACTATGTACTCATAAAAAATAAAATAAAAAAGAAGTATTCTCTTTTGAATAAATAGTTTTGCCCACACATTTAAACAAACTCTTATCAGGGAAACCAGCTGAAGTAGCTGTAATAAGCTTATCTCAATGTGACAAGAGTGTTGATAAACACTTCAAATTCCGATATAAATCAATCAATCCCTGCTTGACCAAACTATGTCTTTTTAATAGGAAAGTAAATACAACTCCCTCCAATAACCATCACTTCCAAAAAATATAAGAGTGTAAGTCTTTTAATTTTAGAAATAGAAAAATTGACCTTTTTAAAGTCTTTACATTGTTTTGGAAATGAGATCAATAGCTGTAATACAAATGGATAAAAACTGAACCTTTAAGATTTATGAAAATTAAGAATGTGTATTCAATGCATTTTTTAAATTGGGGTAATAAATTAATGCAAAGAGGCTTTCAAAATTGGTGGGAAAAACCATTAAGACTTAGTTTACAAGATCTAGATTGGGAAGTTTTACATGTCCCATTTATATTATACAAACCTGCTGGGATATTGAAGATATGGATACAATAAAGTAAGACAGTTCCATATTTGATTTACGGAATGAGTACTAGTTTGTGGACAGCACTAATCATATGTATGCATTCTTTCCTAAAGCATTTGAAAGCATTATTTACTTTTTACCTAATTTCTAAAACTCCAGTGGCATAATTCAGAATAATAAAATGAAAGTTAAAATGCATAACCAATTAAATTTGGGGCGAAAGCACATTTTTGGCAAGACTGCTTTCAATTATTATTTAGTACTGTTTAGACTTGTCAGTCTGTGCTGAATCAGCTGAGCAGTCAACATGAGCTCTTAGCAATCATTTGTTTTTTACTTGTCTTTTATTTTCCATGTGACTTTTAAATATGAAAGTACAACATTTGGTTAATGGGTGTCTCTTATATAAAGTTACCGTATTGCCCATAATTGTCAACTGCTTAATGGTTTTCTTTTCTTTTATGATTTTTTTTTTAGGAAACATTAACTTTCCTCAATTGGCGAGAGAGCAGCATCCACCTATGAACATGAATGTCATAATGACCCAGATCTTTAGCATAGCAAAGATATATTTAATATATTCATTGCAGCAATGAACAAGATGCCTCTGTACTACAAGCTGATGACAGGCAAGAACAAAAGAGACAGACATAGTACATGGGAATTTGCAGAAGCCTTTAGTTTTCTCATATGCCTGTTTTTTTTTAAAGCCTTATTTACTTGCCAGATTACAAAAAGCCCTAGTTACTTTTCATAGATCAATCCATTTAAAAAAAAAATTTTAGATAACCTTGCAGAATAACCACCCTGGCCCCAAACTAGTGAGACCATACATTGTGGTTTGCCCAAGAGAGTTTGAGTCACTTGCAACACTACATATATTAAGAGGATATCTTCAGTCCATAAGTGCTCTGGTTTAATCAATCATATATACGTCTTCCTACCCACCATTGTGTTTAATCTTTTCAAAATATATCCCTGTAATGATTAGGGTTATTAGTTTGACATTAGAGTTCACCTCATATGAAACACATTCTTTACACCATTAGACCAGCCCTATGTAATCTCTGGAAATTGTACTTAGCCATAAATTGAACATATGATAGTATAATTGTTCAGTTTGATTTATTGTGATAGATCTTGCATCTGTAAGAAATGTTTTCAGCTATATGTAACAAAATGACAGTGGCAGGCTGGGTGAAGTGTCTCATGCCTTTTATCCCAGCACTTTGGGAGGCCGAGTCAGGCTGATTGCTTGAGCTCAGGAGTTCGAGACCAGCCTGGGCAACATAGTGAAACTGTATTTCTACAAAAATAGAAAAAATTAGCCGGGGATGGTGTCATGTGCCTGTGGTACCAGGTACTCAGGAGGCTGAGGTGGGAAGATTCCTTGAACCCAGGAGGCAGAGGTTGCAGTGAGCCAAAATAGCCCCACTGCACTCCAGCCTAGGAGACAGAGCAAAGCATGTCTCAAAATAAATAAATAAATAAATAAAATAACAGTAGTGTTAATAAACTACATATTTCATTAATTCTTGCAGGATATATGAGGTGCATAATTTTGATTTGGTAGTAGTTTTATGATATCATCAATAATCCAGATTCTGTCTCTTATTCTATGCCTCTATACATTTCTTTTTCTTTTCCTCGTTTCACACTTGTAACCTCATGTTTGAAAGATGGTTATCATAGTTCTTGGTTTCATTTCCATTTTCAAGGGAGTAAAAAGGGCAAAAAATTGTACCAGCAACTCCTTTCTTCTTTTCTTATGTCAATGAAGGAAACTTGTTCACAAGATTATAGGTTGTCTTCCCCATTTTACCACACTGAATTTGAAATAGGACCACCTATAGCTATACCGGTGACGGTAAATTCAAATTTCTGTCATTTATTTTATCTATTAGAAGGTAGTAAAGCTAAATTGGGGTAGAGATGTCTGTTGACATACAGTGTCTGCAATAGTACTTTACGTATTGCATTGCTTCTGTAAAGAGTTTAGTAGTGTTTTTAGATTGTAAAAGTATTTGTCGTGTAAGTCATCCTGAACCATTCAATCAATCAACTACTGTTGGACATTTATGCTGTCAGAAATTTTACTACAAAACTTCTGACTATCCTTTCTTATTTCTTAGCATAAATTTTGATTAGATTTTTAGGGACAAAGGGTATGACTAAATGTATTAAAAAATACTTGTTGAAAATTTATTCCCTAGAAACAGTCCATTATCAACCATACCCTCATGATCAGTAAAAGTAATATTACTAATACAAATAGAAAAATTATGATAGTTACTATGTCATATTGTATTTAAATATTGTCTATATGATAATTTATTTAAGCCTCAAAAAGGTCTGTTTTCTCAAATAATTTATTGAAAAATGTATAACTTCATGTTACTGTATGTAATATGCTAAATAGCTATTTATATTTAGATTTATTCTAAGCTTTCTATAGCACTTTATTAATGTATCTCTTTATTCTGCAAACATTACTATCCTGTTCTAACACAGTAGTTTTATCTGTTAGTATGTGGAAGTGGAATTCACTTTTCCATATTCTTTCTGTTTACTATTCTGAAGGTAACGTGATTTTGATTGCTAAATTTTTTAGACATTATATATTTTCAATTTCAGAATTTGCATTTATATTTTGTAACAGTTTCTATTTGTTGAGATTTTCTTTTTCTTGATTGTAAGCCTACTTTTGCATCATTAAATACAACTATAATTATTGCTTTAACATTCTTGTCTACTGATTCCAACATCTGGTCATCTTTATCTTTATTTTTTTATCTGAACATATGTCACTTTTCGTCTATTATTGCTCGATAATTTTGGGTTTTATGTCAGTCAGTGCAATGTCATATTGTGGAAAGACTAGATTTCCTCATACTTTGTCAAGGAATATTGACTTGTTTTAACAGTTGGATTCAAACACAATGTTTCTCTTAGGTGGCAGTTAAAAATCTCAGTTCATTTCTTTTGTCCTTATCTGATTACTTTGAGACTTTTGCACGTGTATATGGTTCAAAATAAGCTAGTGATTTGGAGAAAGTTTATCCACATAATGTTGGGTTTCCCTTCTCTGCTTTTCATCTTTTAAGGATTCTACCCTCATTTTCTCAGCATATATGTTTGCCTTGAAATTTGGCTCAGATATCTTGTCCTTAAAGACTGATATGTGAATGAATCATCTAATTAAATTGTAGTTGTTTTGGTGGGAGATTACTTCCTCTGCCCTCTATCTTACTAAGTTAGATGGGATGCTCCCAAAGAGTATCTTTTTTCTTCAAAATTAGAAATGGCTACTGGATATGCATCTACATTTTATTTCCCATTTGGATTCTAATTAGGTAATAGGCTTGCTTCCCTGTGTTTATCTGAGCCAGGAAAAACATTTAAAAAAGATATTAAGAGGGGAAAAAGCACAACAGTGTAACTGTTTATATTTTGATTTGTCAGAGATAAGTTAGTGATCCATGGACAAAGCAGACACAAAGAGAAAGTGAGCATAAACTGTTTTACCACTCTGCGTTTTATCATGAGGGATAGAAGGTGAGAAATTGGACAATGTCAAACCACAGTTAAAATATAATTTTAGAGATACCATAGAATCTACAAAGAATTAACGAGTGAGCCCCAAAAGGAACCAACATTTAAATTTCTAACAGATACAAAATATTGACAGCCAATCAGAAACAGCCAGAAAAACAGGAATGGATTCTTCAGATGATTTTTTAATGGCCAGCATAAAAAGATTTAATAGAGCATGGAAAACCCATTTACTGAAGAAAACTTACAGTTTCAGTTTTAACTGGATACATATGAAATTTGATCTAAACCTGTTTCTCAAACTTTAATGTGGATATAAACTCACTTGAGCATCTTGCTGAGAATGTAGATTCTGATGTATTAGTTTGGGGGTGGGTCCTAAAATTCTGCATTTCTGTTAAGCACATAGGGATGTGATTATTAATAATTGATGGGCCAAACACATTTCCCCTGTCAATAATTTTTTAAAAAGTGAAATATGAAGAGTAAGCAAAAGCTGTTAAATGAAAAAAAAAAAAGACCTCTTTTAAAAAAGGGAGGGAATATAAGTTTGAAAAAATAAATCTTCAAAATTTGACGTGAGGATAGGAAAGAGAAAAGTTGAACCTCAGGAATTAATAAAAACGAAAAGGAGGGTCAATCCTGGAGGTTGACTATCTAAGCAACAGAACTTATAGTAATATGAATTGTAGGAATTACAGACAAAATAATAAAAAAATCTCAAAGTGATTATCAAGAGTATATACAGTGGACCAGCCAATAAAAGAATAATGATCTAAAGAATGTTTTAAAATCTCGAGAAAAAAATTCATAACCAACTAACTAAATAAATAGTTTATATAAAAAGAATATTTAGTCAGGGTTTGAGAGAAGCAAAACCACAAGATAAAGGTATGAGTAAACTACAGTATTTCCTATACAATTGTGGCAAAAGCTGGGAAAGTGAAGATCTGAAGGAGGAGGCTAATTAGAGACTGGAGTCATTTAATCAGTTTACCAAAAGCACCTACCTGTGTGGGAACGTTAGGGCTTTCACTAGAATTTGAGAACCCAAGCGCATCCAGCCCCTGAGGTGTGGGTAAGGAGCAGATGTGGCTGTCAAGAATCCTGGGAAAGTGCTGCCTCTGTGTAGCTACCACCTCTGTAGTCTACAACCAAGTGTCTGGTTGTGAAACTGAGTCTGTTTTGGATACTAGGATGGCAGCTGTTAAGATGAGATACGCATGATGCGGAAGAATGAAGAGGAGGTAGTAACCGCCAGGACCTCTGAATATATTGACCACTATGTCTTACCTTTGAGAGTAAGGACCATCGATTCACTCTAATCTTCTAATATTTTACAGTTCCTCTTTTGTCAACTCTAAAATGTAACCATATAGAAAAGGGAAATTTGGGGGAAATATTTTCCATTTTAACTAAGTTTACAATAACTTATCTTAGTAGAAAGGAATTCTTTAGCACTAATAGTCAAAATACCCTGGTTTTCAAATTGGTCTAACAGCAAGAGTCTTACTAAGACTGTTGGCTTATATCTGTGTAGGAGACAACAGTGTCTTCTTGAGAAAACAATTCTGAGTCAATTTCTCCAGATCTCCTGGTTTTGTCTTGAAGGATCAGAGCTAGGAAAGCCTTGACAGAGTCATATTATTGGATTTCTCCTCCTTCATCTTATCTTATTATCACTCACAGAGTATCTGAAGAAACCCAAGAGCATGTCTTGTCAGTATACTCAATCCAAATGCACTAACCAAACCATTTCTAAAATAAGACAAGACCACAGCATTTTATTGATTTATTGCATGTATTCCACAAAATTTTAGAAATGTTTTGGAGATAGAATTCAACTGATTGTGTTTGGCATAATGACTATTTTCTAAATTTATCAGAAAAGATAAAATATGGCCATATTTTAAGAAAATTGTCCTGGATTCACCTCCAAGGAGTTTTGTCACATATCTGTAATGACTGCAGAGATAATAGAGTGACTAGTATCTGAAAAGAGTGTTAAAATAATGCAAGCAAGTACATTATATAGAAAATCAAGGAAGTCATTTGTAGCCTGACTATAAGCATAGAGTTTCTGAGTGTTTTACTCTGTATTGAAGGGTTAGTTGTGTGGAGATATGTATGGAGACCCCCTGAAACTATTGCTATGGAATAAAAGGTGAAATGCTCCTGATTATTGTAAATACAAAATTGCATGCAGGATTGTGTAAAGACAATGCCAGGTTGGACTGCCAGAATGAGCCAACAGTGCATGATGCACTTCCCCCTGCAGACAGACTATGAATGGACATGCAGTAAGGGAGGTTTCACATCACCAAGATTCCTATCCCAGAAAAGCAGATGTTCATAGCTCTGGGAATGGAATGTGACCCTTGTGGGGAGCCTATAAACGGACGCATGGAGGGCGCCTGTCCATATGGATAAGACAAGACTATAAACGCCCTCATCTTGCCGCGGCTCTTCTAGGCCTCTTTAGGGTTAAGGCATACGCCCTTCTGAGAATTTCTGGTCTAACCGGTTGTCTAGCTTCACATCCTGTTTCCATGGATTGTTTGTAAACAGCTTTTGTTGCAATTGTTACTGCTGATTAATATCTTCCTAATCATAGGTTATGGAAAGACTGTGTTTCTGTTCAAAGGCTCTGTTAGAAATTACTGACGTACACACTATATTGTAAACTCTTATTTTTCTATACTGTACTTCTACATACAAATGTTATGTTAAAAATTACTTCATCCCGATGTGACCATCTCACCTCATAATCAAATGACCCTAAATCCCTCACTAACCTACCCCGCCCTCACTAAACTTAATAATAAATACTGGTATATCCAGTGTATTGTTGGCAGTGTGGGACCAGAAGGCAGTGACCCCCCTGGAACCAGCTTTCACTATCTTGTGTGTGTCTATTATTTCTCAACCTGCCGATCCGCCTGGGAACAAAGAGAGAGCCCCGTTGCATTGCGGGCTGAGGGCCAGATCCCGCAATAGAGATATGGCAACATTTTATATTCTTGTTAAAAATATGACATTGCAAATCCAGTTAACTAAGAAACCCCATATAGGGCCGGGCCGGGCGCAGTGGCGCACACCTGTAATCCCAGCAGTTTGGGGGGCCGCGGTGGGCGGATCACTTGAGGTCAGGAGTTTCAGACCAGTCTGGCCAATATGGTGAAACCTCATCTCTACACACACACACACACACATACAATAGAATTACCCAGGCGTGGTGGCACATGCCTGAAATCCCAGCTACTCGGGAGGGTGAGACAAAATAACAGCTGCACCACAATCCAGCCTGGGCAACAGAGTGAGACTCAATCTAAAAAACAACAACAACGACCAAAAAAAAAAAAACAAAAAATAAACAAACAAAAACTCCATATGGTTATGGCAAAGGTTTATTACTTGTATCTTTGTATTCTTTATCATGCTCATTATGTAACTCACTTAGGACATGAATTAATTCAGTCAGTTTTTTATCACCAAGACCTAATGAACATTTTTTAAATTAATTTTCAAGTTTTTTCATCAAGATAATCTTCTTATGAATAAAATTTTACATTGTTGACTTAAATGCAGTGAAAACACATATCTTTAAATAGCAATTAGTATACTGTAAATATAAAAACATTTATATAGACTTACACAACCTAAAACCAGCCATACTTTTGAAAAGTTGATATAAGGCAGATGATTTAAAATAATAAATTCACGTTAAGTGTATATATATATATATATCTGTTAATAAGATCTGAAGGAGTTAATCTATATTGAAATTTGGCAAATGTTTTATTTTTTTACTTACAAAAATTATTCTTTCCATATAATAAATTAATACATGCATAAATCACAGTACAGTGTAAGTACAGCAGGTACAGAATTAAAAATATTGTTGGATAGATAATGCACAACATTCCATTACTAACTTATATTCATTAATTGCTTAAAAAAATCACATTTATGTGCATACTTTCATTTTGCATATTTGACAGCCTTATGATGCAGTCATTAATATAACCATTTTCCAGTGAGAAAGATATGAGTTACGCACTTTTCTCAAGTTGAAATTAAATTTAATTTTAATTCCTCAGATTCCTTTTCTCCGTCTTTTTAAAATAACAAGTCTCAGGAGTGAAAAAGGATTGTGGGAATTTTGAAGTGAGTGCTCACTTGTGCCCCAGGGAAATTAAGAGAGGCTTCAGAGAGGGTGAAATGGAAATGAACATTGAGTGAAATACAGGAATTTTAGCTAAGAGAAGGCATTGTGAGAAGCAAATTTTATTAGAATCTATGTGCAAAGGAGAATGAGTTGGAAATTTACCTGGACAAAGAAATAATAAATCAGGGTAGAAGGGCGTTATGATGAAAGAAAGAAATAATATAACACAGTGGAAGAAGGCTCTGGGTGCTAACTAGAAAAATTATCTTGTGATACTTTCTGGTTTTTTTTGTGACTTTAAAATATTTAATTTTACAACAACAAGGTGACTTTATTGTTATAAAGCAGAAAATTTTTGCTACCAATTCAAACATGAAAGAAAATGACATTTATACATGCCACGTGTAAAAGCTCAACTCTTTTACACGTGGCATGTATAAATGTATAAGCTCAACTCTTTCTGCAGACACCGTGACAGAACTATTATGAAATTGTCCAAAAGGCTGAGTGACCTCCTGAAGGAAAAAAATAAATTTTATTGCAACAGAAAAAGAATATGTATTAATATTTCAAATAATTTTGAGAAAATATTATATAGAAAGTAGATTAAAATAATACAAAAATGGCATAATTGATGGACTGAATAGAAATGATACATTACTTTTCTAATGTAAATGGCATGGTTTGAGATTTGTCACAGGATGACAAAAATGAGTCTTTTAATACAGTAAATCTAGACTTTTTAAAAGTCTTGTTATAAATGGATAACTTGCTAATTCCTTAGGTTCATCATGATTTATATAAAAGTCCTTGTATGTGGTTTATCCATTATCCATTATATTCTTAGAAAAAGAGCAGGAAGTCATGTCAGCAGTTATGGTTGAGTAAAAATCTCCTAAAATCCTCTCCTCCATTAAATCATTAAGAATACTACTAAACATTGTCAAAGTCAACTTTTAAAACTCTGAAATTTACTAAGATCTTGTAGCAATCTAAGAAACATTTAGTCAAAAAAAGTAACTGGATCTCAGTAAAATATAGTGAGTATTTTTACATTTCAACTTGCTGTATTTCCATTCCAAACACTTCTGCTCCATTGTAGTCTTAAAGCCCAACAATCCACTGGGTACTGTGGCTCATGCCTGTAATCTAAACACCTTGGAAGGTGGAGTCAGGTGGATCACTTGAGCCAGGAGTTCAAGACTAGCCTGGGCAACTTAGGAAGACCCTGTCTCTACAAAAAATAAATAATAATAACAGTAACTAGCCAGGCATGGTGGCGCTACTCTCAGCTACTCAGGAGGCTGATATGGGAGGATCGCTTGAGCCCAGGAGGTAAAGGCTGCAGTGAGCCATGAATGCACCCCTGCCCTCCAGACTGGGTAATAGAGTAAGACTCAATCTCAAAAACAAATAAAACAAAACAAAACAACCCCTTTCCAAAACCAACAATCTAACAGCCATGGTAGTCATGTAAATCAGTAGCCTATCAGCTCACAGCAGAAGTAGAATAGATTTAGATTTGTCCAAAAGCCCCATTCCCAGGAAATTATTATTATGACCTCCACAGCAGTTCCTTGGAAACCCCCATTGTTTTTATGTGACCTAATGCAGAGCTTGCTAACTGCAAACAATTTTTTCCAAGGGTATATTTTGGAAAGGATTAGTGGTAATTGCTAAATTTGCAGCTACCTGAGGCAGTGATACCAGGTAGGAAAAACATGAAAGTGACTAAAAAACTTAAAAGTAAAACCTGAGGATTCACATGTCCACAGGAAGCTTTAAATAGCATCAATATATTTCTGGCAATCTAGAAAGACACAAACACGTACAGGGCGGTGGGCATACCCAGGAAATACATGAGAAGTCACTAATTTCCTGCGTGTGGCTAACCTGGAGACACTTCACAAGCAGGAATTAAAGTTGTAATTGTAAACTCCCTATTGGAGCATTTGAAGACATGATTCAACATGCAAAGGAAGCCCATTGGCAAAGTCTGGGCAGCTCAATAGTTTAAGATATTTACGGAAATTTCTAATCATCAGTGACAACTACACTAATAAGCAGAGAGTTTGGCAGTTATTGTATCGTGGTACAGACTTTACAGAATTCTTCAGGAAAATCACTATAAAAATAACAAACAACAACAACAAAGCAATGGCAACAAACAGCAGCAACAACACAAAACACTGAAATGTGGCTTCTAGAGTTGCCATCTATGCTACGTGTCCCTAAATCAGCAAAGGAAGTTATGAGAATGGTGTTTCACCAAATAAAGAATATCAATACAAAGATAGAAATTGTAAAAAAAAAAAAAAAAAAAAGAAAAAGAAACAAATATAAATTCTGGAATTGCAAAGTACAGTAACTGAAATGAAAATTTATGGAGAGGCTCAACATCAAACTTAACCTGGAAGAAGAATTGGTGAATAAAACAAAAGGATTAATTAGCATTATCCAATCTGAGAAACAGAAAGACAAAGAATAAAGTAAATTAAGAGCATCAGGACATGTGGGACCAACAAGTGGCTCAATATTTACACAATGAGATTTCAAGGAGAGAAGATAGAGAAAGAAATAGAAAAAAAATGAAAAAATAATTACAAAAATTTTCTCAAATTTGATGAAAGCTATTAATTTACACATCTGAGAAACTCAACAGACTTTAAGTGGTATAAACTCAATGAGATCCACTCATAGGCACATCATTATCAAACTGTCAAAAGCTAAATGGAAAGAAAGGATCTTTAATATTCTGAGAGAAGCACCTCATAACACACAGTATTATACTACACAATACTATAAGACAATTAGACCTAACAGGCTTCTATTTAACACACCTTTTCTACAGCAGCAAAATGCATATTCTTCATAAGTGCACATGGAACATTTTATGGGGCTGATCATATTTGAGGCCACTAAACAAATCTCAATAATTTTGAAAGAATTAAATCATGTAATAATTTTATAAACCTAATAAAATGACAAATTAACTACAGTAGGAAAATTTGGAAAATCACAGTAACAGGAGAATTTAACAACACATTTCTAAGTAATTAACTGGTCGAAGAATAAATCACAAGAAAAATTAGAAAATATTTTGAGGTGAGTTACATTGAAAATATAATATTCCCAAACTTGTGGGATGTGACTTAAGTAACACTTAGGAGGGTTTCTATAGCTGTGGAGTCCTATATTGAAAAAGAAGAAATATCTCTAATAACTGAACTTTCCAACTTAAGAAACTAGAAAATAAATAACAAAGTAAACTCAAAGCAAGGAAAAAGAAATAATGAAATTATAAGTAAAATAAATGAAATAGAAAACAGAAAAACAACAGTGAATCAACAAAACCAAAATTTGTTATTTGAAATAATCAGTAAAAATTGATAATGGTTTAGGTAGACTGACAAAGCGAAAAGAAAAAATATCGAGTTAATAAAACCAGGAATGAAAGAGGGCATATAACTAACAAATTTACAGAAATAAAAAAAATTATAAGAGAATATTGGGAACAATTGCACGCCAACAAATCAGATAACATGAACAAAATGAACCTATTTCTAAAAAGAGAATAACTATGGAAACTGACTCAAGATCAAATAAAAAATATGAATAGACCTATAAGAAGCAGAAAAATTAAATTAGAAATTTAAAAACTTCCTTCATCCACACACACACACACACACACACACACACACACACACACAGAAAGCCCAGACCCAGATAGCTAAGCTGGTGTACCTAACAAACAAAAATTCATAAAAAGCATTATTGTCAGTCTTTCACAGACTTTTTCAAACATTAGGAGAAGACAATACTTGCCAATTCATCCTTTGATGCAGTAAAATCCTAAGAACTAACAACAAAGACCTTCATAGGAATAGAACACTGTGGGCCAAGGTCCCTTATAGATATAGACACATAGACACAAAAACTTTCAACAGAATGTTAGCAAATTAAATCTAGCAACATATGAAATGAGTTATATACTATGACTTAGTGGATGTTTTCCACTATTACAAAATTAGTATATTAGTTTTCTACTGCTGCTGTAGAAAATTACCAGAAACTTAGTGGTCTAAAACACAAATTTTTATCTTAGATTTGTGTAGGTTAGAACTCCCGGATAGGTCCCACTGGGTTAAAATAAAGGTCTTGGCAGATCTTCATTCCCTTCTGGAGGCTGTAAGGGAGAATCCATTTCACTATATCTGCTCAAAGGGGTTCATTCATTCATTGATTCTAATAATATTCATTTAGTTAGTATATATGCCGTGTACTATTCTGGGATCTTGGGTACTTGAGGCAATTAAGGAAACAAATAATTTCTCTTATCGATGCTAGTTGAAGGATTTAGACAATAAACAGGAAACTTAAAAATAAGTTGCTAATTTTTTGTTGTTGTTGAGATCTAGACACTGCAATGACAAATAATGCAGTGCAGGATAAACGAAGGTTGGGGTGTGGGCCAGTTTTAAATTTTAAAATTAAGTTGTAATTTTTTAAACTGTGGACAGCTTTATTGGGAAAGTGACATTTTACCAAAGATTAACAAAGTAGTCAAGAGACTGTGTCATGAGGTGGTCTGGGAGATGAGAATTCTGCATAGAGGAGATTGCCAGTTTCCAAGCTGTAAGATAGAAAGACACTCAGTAAATTTAATCAATAGCCCAGTAACCAATATGGCTGGTAAAGAATAAGCAACAACAAGGGAGAAGGAGAAGAGTTCAAGAGAAGTAAGAGGGCAGAGTTTTAATAGGGCTTATAATTTTATTTGAACGGTTTTGGCTTTTTCTCTAAGTGACATAGAAAGCCACTGCAGGTTTATGAGCAGTGAATTGGTGTAATCTGACTTAATCTGTTAATAGAATTACTCTGGGTAGTGTTTTGGGAATAGTTTATAATAGCAATAGCTCTTCCTGACCCTATTCCCCTTATGTTCAATCTATCATTCACATTTTCTACTAGAAAGGCCTTTATAAAACAGAAAGTACATAACGCTATTATCTAGTGCCAAACTCTGTGGTGAGTATTTATTGAAATAAAAGAGTTGTGCCCTGTGGTGTTCTGTGTTATCCAGTCACTGCCTCCCCCTTTAGCCTCATCTAATGTCACTCATCCCATCTGTCACTGTGCTCCAACCATATTGATACTTCCTTTTCAGGAAATTCAGCTATTTCAGACAGATATTTTATACAGATTTCTTTTATTCTGCCTGAGAGCAATTCTGTACACTCTTTTGCAGATTAAATCTTACGTATTCTTAAAGTCTCAACTTGAATGTCACACACTCAGGAAGGCTTTCTCTGAACACTAAACTGAGTTAGGTTTCCTGATATAATTGTTCAATGTGATTAGTCTTCCCTCATGCACTGTGAGCTCCATGGTAATAAGGATTATGTTCCTTTTTGTTTCTCTTACAGTAGTTGAACCTAGAATCAGTTATTTTCTCTATCCACAGAAAGTATGTCAACCCAATTCCATCTTACACTTTCTAGTTATATGAATTATAACATAACATTGATAAAGAATGAACACATTTTAGCAAAGCTAAGTGACCATTAGAGGTGTCTTTCAACTTCTCTGACAAATTTCATTCGTTTCTCATTATCACGTGATATATTTTTGTAATGAGTACTTGGGTTTTACATAAAACATGCGTTTTAAAGTGAGAATGCGTGATAAATATCAAAGTAACACATTAAGGCTCTTATGTAACATATCTTGCTTTTTTTAGTTTCTTTCTTTAGTAGACTTTACCTTGTGGAACTTTGTTTCGCTTTTTAATAGCATTTTATTCTACATTGGTATGGTGATTACCATGACTTTCACTGAGAACAGCCAATATTAAGCAAAACTTGCCATAATATTATGGGGTCATTTTAATTCTCTTTGTCTTCAAAAATTTGTCAAGAAAGCAAGGTAAGTCATATTGAAGAACATTCCTTTCCATTTTACAGATATAATTGAAATATAACTGCATCTCACAAATGATGGAAAAGATGAATAACAATAAAACCAATTTTTACATTTTAGATAAGATTTGTTTAATATAAATGGCCAAGGTGTGGCAGATACTCATGCATGCATCTTGAACATAATTTTGTTTCAATGTGCAGGGGATTTTAGAAAAGTGTGCAGGCATTGGAAATTATGTTGAATGCCTATGTTCTCTTTTGACAAAGATTTTTAGAAGGATTACTCTAAATAATTTTTAAATCAATAATTATTTTTTTTCCCAATCAAGTAAATATTGACTTAGAGGAAGATATATACCTTGTCTCTATTTCTGGGAAAGAATGCTTTAATTGCTGTTTGTCATTTCATGTTAAATAAATTCATATATTTGTTAAAAGAAGTGACACTAAATGCTTAAAAGAGATACCCATTGACTTTACATTGTTTTGCTGGGACTTACAGCATGATATTCTGGCTTTCTTTTTACTACTTGGTCTTTGCATATCAGTTTTGTAAGAGATATAATCAGACAATATATTAGTGTATTTTTTGAGGCATTAATATGAGAGCCTGACAGCATTACCTCTAATGTTTATATCACCATAAAATTGGTTTATAGTGATACAATTAGTAATGTTAAACCTAGCTATTATAAGAAGTAGTACTGATTGTTCCACAGTAAATCTCACTTTATAGTGACATAAATGAACAATATTTGTGCCATCATGGTTTATGGCATCAAGTAATCTCATGGGAACAAATAACAGTTATCCTGAATGCTCTAATCTTACAGATAAACTATCCATTCATGTTACATTTTAAATCAATATTACTATGATTCACATGCTCTTTTGACTACCTAAAGTTATGAAGGTTTATTTTTTAGCAAAAATATCACAAGTTACATACTTTGAAATATTGTGTATCATTAAAATTTTAAATATTTTTTTCTTCTGAATGCTATTTGGATATTTTATATTCTCATTAGGATATGAAAGAAGAGTATTTGCATTTTACTTATGCATTTTTTTGCATAAGTCATTTTGTGATGATAGTATAACCTGTATTTTAAACAAGTTTTATTCAATTGCAAGTTTTCTTTTAACACATAGTGTACTCATGCCAGTAATACTCAAAGTCATGGATGTTTAATTAAATTATTGTAAATCGATTTGTTTTTACAATACCATAACTACATTAGTCCATTCTCATGCTGCTATAAATAACTGCCTGAAACTGGGTAATTTATAAAGGAAAGAGGTTTAATTGACTCACAATTCTGCATGGCTGAGGAGGCCTCAGAAAACTTATAATCATGGCAGAAGGGTAAGCAAACATGTCCTTCTTCACATGATGGCAGAAAGGAGAAGTGTAGAGTGAAAGGGTTGTGGAGGAACCTCTTATAAAAACCATCAGATCTCATGAGAACTTACTCACTGTCATGAGAACAGCATGGGGGTAACATCCCCTATGATTTAATGATCTCCCACCTAGTGCCTCCCACAACACGTGGGGATAATGGGAACTACAATTCAAGATGAGATTTGGGTGGGGTAAGAGCCAAATCATATCATTTCACCCATGGCCCTCCCAAATCTCATGTCCTCACGTTTCAAAACACAATCATGCTTTCCCAGCATTCCCCCAAAGTATTAACTCATTTCAGCATTAATTCAAAAGTCCATAGTCCAAATTCTCATCTGAGACAAGGCAAGTTCCTTCCTCCTATGAGCCTGTACAATCAAAAGCACGTTATTACTTCCTAGATACAATGGGTGTACAAGCATTAGGTAAATTCATCCATTTCAAATGAAAGAAACTTGCCAAAACAAGGGGGATATAGGACGCATGCAAGTCCAAAATCCAATAGGTCAGTCATTAAACCTTAAAGTTACAAAATGATCTCCCTTGACTCAATGTTTCACATCAGGGTCATGCTTATACAAGAGGTGGGCTCCCATGGCCTTGGGCAGCTCCACCTCTGTGGGCTTTCTGGGTACAGCCCCCTCTGGACTGCCTTCATGGGCTGGTGTTGAGTGCCTGTGGCTTTTCCAGGTGCACAGTGCAAGCTGTCCGTGGATCTACCATTCTTGGGTCTAGAGGATGGTAGCCCTCTCCTCCCAGAACCACTAGTAGTGTCCCAGCAGGGACTCTGTGTGGGAGTTCCAACCCCACATTTCCCTTCCGCACTGCCCTACCAGAGGTTCTCAATGAGGACTCCACCCCTGCAGCAAACTTCTGCCTGCACATTCGGGTATTTCCACGTCTTCTGAAATCTAGGCAGAGGTTCCCGAACCTCAATTCCAGACTGCACCAGCAGGCTCAACACCACAAGGAAGCTGTCAAGGCTTGGGGCTTGCACACTCTGAAGCCATGGTCTGAGCTGTACCTTGGTCCCTTTTAGCCAGGGCTAGAGTGGCTAGGATGCAGGGCACCAAGTCCCTAGGCTGCACACAGCAGACGGGACCTGGACCTTGCCCACAAAAGCATTTTTTTTTTTCTCCTAGGGCTCTGGGCCAGTGATGGTAGGGGCTGCCACAAAGGTCTCTGTCATGTCCTGAAGACATTTTCCTTATTGTCTTGGTAATTAACATTCTGGTCCTCATCACTTATGCAAATTTCTATAGCAGGCTTGAATTTCTCCCCAGAAAATGGGTTTTCCTTTTCTACTGCATTATCAGACTGCATATTTTCCAAATTTTTATGCTCTGTCATTTCTTGAATGCTTTTCTGCTTAGAAATTTCTTCTGCTAGATATCCAAAATTATCTCTCTCAAGTTCAAAGTTCCACAGGTCTCTAAGGTAGGGGCAAAATGCTGTCAGGCTTTTTGCTAAAGCAAAGCAAGGGTAACCTTTACTCCAGTTCCGAACAAGTTCCCCATCTTTGTCTGAGACGACCTCAGCCTGGACTTCATTGTCCATATCAGTATCAACATTTTGGTCAAAGCCATTCAACAAGTCTCTAAGGAGTTCCGAACTTTCCCATATCTTTCTGTTTTCTTCTGAGCCCTTCAAACTCTTTCAGCCTCTGTTTCAAAGTTGCTTCCATATTTTTGGGCAGCCTTGTAACAGCACCCCACTCTCTGTGGCATGAATTTACTGTATTAGTCTGTTCTCACTTTACCATAAAGAACTCTCTGAGACTGGATAATTTATAAAGGAAACAGGCTTAATTGTTTCACAGTTCCACAGGACTGGGGATGTCTCAGGAAACTTACAATCATGGTGGAAAGGGAAGCACACATGCCCTTCTTCACACAATGGCAAGAAGGAGAAGTGCAGAGTGATTTGGGGGTCGGGGAGCTCCTCATAAAACCGTCAGATCTCAGGAAAACTCACTGTCATGAGAACAGCATGGAGGTAACCTCCCCCATGATTCAATGACCTCCTACTGGGTCCCTTCCACAGCACATGGGGATTATGGGAACTACAATTCAAGATGAGATTTGAGTGGGAACACAGCCTAACTGTATCAATAAAGTTGACTAAATAACATATTAGTTGAATTATTATTTGTCAATTTTATTTGTCAGGATAGATATGACATAGCTTGATATTCAATAATACAACAATCTTACTGATATAGAACATTACTAGTTCTTGTTTATAACATTTTAGTCAAATCATTAGACACTTGTTTTCCATAAAGGAATTATGGAGGCCAAGAAAGCATTCATTATCTTATCACTGCATCATATTGAAATATTGGGGGAACCTGCCCCCGATAGTCAAGTAGGTTCTTTTCTATTTTCCCTAAGTGTCAACCTGTCTGAGAAATAAAGGGAAAGAGTACAAAAGAGAGAAATTTTAAAACTGGGTGTCCAGGGGAGACATCACATGTCGGCAGGTTCTGTGATGCCCCCTGAGCCATAAAACCAGCAAGTTTTTATTAGTGATTTTCAAAAGGGGAGGGAGTGTACGAATAGGGTGTGGGTCACAGAGATCACATGTTTCACAAGGTAATAAGATATCACAAGGCAAATGGAGGCAGGACCAGATCACAGGACCACAGGACCAGGGCAAAATTAAAATTGCTAATGAAGTTTTGGGCATGCATTGTCATTGATAACATCTTATCAGGAGACAGGGTTTGAGAGCAGACAACTGGTCTGACCAAAATTTATTAGGCGGGAATTTCCTCATCCTAATAAGCCTGGGAGCACTACAGGAGACCATGGTTTATTTCATCCCTACAGCTGCAACCGTAAAAGATGACCACCCCTGCAGTGGCCATTTCAGAGGCCTACCCTCAGGGATGCATTCTCTTTCTCAGGGATGTTCCTGCTGAGAAAAATAATTCAGTGATATTTCTCCCATTTGCTTTTGAAAGAGGAGAAATATGGCTCTGTTCCATCCGGCTCACTGGCAGTCAGAGTTTAAGGTTATCTCTCTTGTCCCCTGAACATTGCTGTTAACCTGTTCTTTTTTCAATGTGCCCAGATTTCATATTGTTCAAACACATATGCTCTACAAACAATTTGTGCAGTTAACGCAATCATCACAGGGTCCTGAGGTGACATACATCCTCCTCAGTTTAGGAAGATGATGGGATTAAGAGATTAAAGTAAAGACAAGCATAGGAAATCACCAGGGTATTGATTGGGGAAGTGATAAGTGTCCATGAAATCTTCACAATTTATGTTCAGAGATTGCAGTGAAGACAGACGTAAGAAATTATAAAAGTATTAATTTGGGAAACTAATAAATATCCATGAAATCTTCACAATTTATGTTCTTCTGCCATGGCTTCACCCGGACCCTCAGTTTGGGGACCCTGACTTCCTGCAACATTGAAAAGGTTACAGAATTCCAGAGGCTCCCAAACTGGCAATTACATGCTTTGGCTAAGAAGCAATATGTATTACTTCTGATCACAAAATACTGGCTTTCATTAGTCACATTGCCACTTTCAGCTGTGTGAAACTAAAACATGCAGTTACACATGTGCCTCAAAGATGTGAACAGATAATATTATTAATATATTAGAAATGTCTACCACTCATTGGAGCATTGGTCTGTTATATGTTAAAATAAACGTATATGTTTCCATCATTACTTATTAGAAAACAAGATGCTATAAGCTATTAACTAAATCAACTTTCTCCTGTAAACTGAACAGTCTCAAAAATTTTGCAATTCTTTATAGACATTAAAACATTATTATATTTGTGCTTTAATTTTGAATACATGGAACAAACATTCTTAGAAATAATTGCTTCAATGTAAAAGAATCCATTGTATTCATGGGTTCATTTCACATACCTGGCAGCATGTGATTCATTACATTAAATTATGTTAAAGTATTTTTAATATTTGAAAACATGTTATATATCTAAAATGTTGTTATTGGTTAATTTTCTTTAGTATAATACTTTGGATAATACTTATGATCTGAATCATATATTGTTTACACTAATATTTTATTGTTGATTCAACTCTTCCTTCATTATTTTCTTTATATTAAATGATATTGCTTGTAGACCCTTTTGTTCCAAAACCATACATTTTATAGTTCGTGTTGTAACTATGGTACCAAGGAATTGAAAACTCAAAAAATGTATCTGATTCTATCTGGCTAAATGGGAAAAGAGGTATTTATCTGATAGAGAACTGGACTATGTGAGTATCAGTAGAACTCCTCATGATGGCAAAAGGAGAGGAAAAAAAAATGTATGACCAACGTGCGTTTTCTGTTAGATGATAGGCTTGGGTTAAAAAACACCAAGGAGAAATGTGTATACATACCTTCTGTAAATGATCTGACAGAGATCAGAAAATAACTGTGAGGAGGCCATGAACAGCAGAATTTCATAGATGTTTGCAATAAACTCAGAAACATTTGATTATATTTTGTAATCTATACTGACAAGCTGAGATAAATGGGAGAATGCATACACATTTTCAACTTTTACATTTTGTGTTTGTTGGAGAATGTATCTCAAGTTTATGGGAAAGTTATGAGGAATGTAAAAGTTCAAGTGTAGGATTTTCTTTCTTCTCAGTAATTAAACCATGTCTAGTATGCCTTTTCCTTAATCCCACCTGATTTATGTTTGACCCAAGCAGTAATTTATTCAAGTTTTACAAAATGTTCTACTTGTCCATTAAGATTTCTATGTGTTCCTGAGTGCATTACTTACTGAGTTATTCTTATGATAATCTTCATTTTTCATAAGTCAATTTTTATATTACTCTCTCTGGTTCTATTGCTTTAAATTTCTACATTGAACAGAGCAGTCCTCAGGAGCAAAATGCATTCGTGAGTGTCTGGTGGTTTGCTGACATTGATGCTAAATTATTTAAGTTGCTTGGAGGATAAAAGTTGCTTGAAGTTTATGTAGTATTTTTAAAAGCATTGTTTCTGTTCACATTTTTAAGCTAAAAGACAAATTCCTGCAATATCTTCAATATAGCTCAATAAATATAAACTGATTTATTATATCCCGTATTTGTTTTACTGTTTAAATAAATGATTAATCTTATTCTATTTTAATGATTAGCTTATTTTACCTTTTCTGCTGAAATTTCACTATGTTTCCTTTTTTCTTTCACTCCCTAAATAAAGTTAGGGGGAATTTCTGATCTCCTGGCCTGCCCACGGTTATTTTCTGTTCTCTGTCAGATCATTTGCAGGAAGGGCACACATAAATTTCTGTTTTACTTTTAGCACATTTTCTTTTATTGGTTAACTTAAACATGAAGCTAAAACGTTTATAGATACACAAGATACTTACCAGATTATGTATGGGCTACAAATAACCTCCTATTTTAGTGAACAACATAGCTAGAAGCCTGGATTCCACACAGTTTTGCTAATAACTAACTATAAGACTTTAGAAATGTCACATAACCTCAACGGAATTCACAATTTTAATCTGAGAAGTGAAAATAAAATTTCTAGATTATCTCCAAGTATTTTTACTATCAGTTTTACATCAGTATGATACATGTGCTGGAATTAATGAACCAATTTCGATATATTATTATTAACTAAAGTCAATTTTGTTTATATTTTCTTAGTTTGTACCTAATGCCACTTTTGGGTTTCAGGATCCTATCCAGGAAAACACAGTATATTTAGGTGTCATGTCTCCTGGTAATTTCTAAAGGCTTCTTCCTTTCTCTCTGTCTCTTTCCCCCCTTCCCCTTCGCCTTCCCCTTCCCCTTCCCCTTCCCCTTTCCCTTCCCCTTCCCCTTCTCCTTCCTTCCTTCCTTTCTTCCTTTCTTCCTTCTCTCCTTCCTTTCTCTTTTCTTTTTTCTTTTTCTCTTCCTCTCTTTCGTTCTTTCTCTTTATTCTTTCTTTCTTTCTTTCCTTCCTTCCTTCTTTCATTTTCTTTCTTCTTTATCTCCTTTCCTTTTCTTTTTCCTTTTGTTTTTCCTTTGCCCTTTCCTTTTTCCTTTCCTCTTTCTTTTTCCCTTTCCTTTCCTCTCCTCCCTTCCCCTCTCCTCTCCTCTCCTTTCCTTTTTCCTTTCATATCTCGTTTTCTTCCTTTCCTTTTCTTTTTGATGACTAGACAATTTCTAGTAGCACTGGCCAGAAATTTTATGTAATGTTCCTTTGTTGGTATTTGTCTGATATTTGTGTTTTGATTGCATTTGTGTGATAGGTTTGGGTAAGAAGTCTACAGAGGTAAAGTTTCATTTCCATAAGATCATACTAAGCATGACTTATTGTAGAAGTTGACCTTGATTGAGGTAGCATTTGTCAAATTTCTCCACTATAAAATTACTTCTTTATACCCATTAGATTGACATTGCATTGCCTTATTTCCTCTTTTATTTTAGTTCTATCTATCTATCTATCTATCTATCTATCTAATCTATCTATCTATCATCTATCATATATCTATTACCTATTTAAATTGTATTTGGTGTATGATCATTTGTTTTATATTTATTTTTCTTTCTAAGGAAACAATATGAAGTTTGTAAAAAGATAAACTATACTCTAGATTACATCTTCTCTACTTAGATGCTTTAACCTAATTAAGTTACCTAAAAGTAGAAGATCAAACTATCCTACTTTTACATAACACTAAGATTTGAATATATCTTCTTGTCACAGAATATATATTATATTTCACATATGAGGTTTTCATACATATGATGTGCTAATTTACAGAGTGTAGTATACTAATCTCACTCTCAAATTTGTACAATCTTAAGATAACCTCTAAAATACTGATTCCCTGGCTTTCTCCCTCAATATGTAAGTTTAGTTAAAATTTTGTGTGGGACCAGAAATAGGCATTTTTAACAAGCACTCCAGTCAGTTATGATATTGGTGGTTCAGAGACCACACTTCTAAAAATACTAGGTGTAATATTTAAAAGTGTTAGGTTTATCATCACCAATATTGAAATTTTACCCTATTTTCAACTTTTTTTATCTGTATGATTTTGAGCCAGTTACTTTTGGTCTCAATATATCAATTTATCTGTAAAGCGAAGGTGATAATAGAACTTTACACAGATAATGTGGCTAATACAGCATTTAGCCCAGTTCCTAATATATACTAAGTCATGAGTAAATTCTAGATCCTATTTTTAAGCAAGAAATATTCATCTTTTTCAGTTGTTTTTTTCTAATTACCGTTAGACTTTGTACAGTAAATATTATAGTTTTCGAATTACATTCTATGGTTTTCAAAACGACAACCATATTAATTCTGAATTGTGCTACTTCTCCCAATATCACAATAAACCTAAAACTTGTAATAATACATAAAACATTTGGAATAATATTTTCTTTATGCATCATAAAACATTCAAGCTCTCTACAGGGAAATGTGATATTAAGAACTAAACAATCAGGCTACGAGCTGAAAGGAAAACTTTCTAGCTAACATTGTCCTAAGTCATTACATTTCCCTTAAGGTAAGAAAATACAGTGTCTGTTTCCTGTGAGAATAACAATACCTGACATCATGTAATAGTTAAAAACATTTACTAATTTGGTAATGCATAGAATTTCAACACAAACATGATTTTTATCATGTAAATTGTCAGAACACTGAAACACAGAGATTTTCAGGGAAATGCCTTAGATTATTTAATAAATCTAAATCTCATAGCTACAAACAGCATGTTAGACAGAAAGAAAATTCAAAAAAATTTTTTTTGAGTCTGATAACAGAGAATGTTGACATCATTAACAGAAATACTGTTGCTAAACGATTCTGTTTTGGAATAGAGGGGTGTAAGTTTTATTTGTATGTTTGAACATTTTTAGTTTGAAGTAAAGTTAGCATATTTTCATTAAGCCTTCTCAGTGGCTTTTCTTTGAGTCTTTCATCTTTATTAAAAAAATGAAAGCAATAAAAATAATGAGTTGAGCATCATAACATACAAGAGTTTTCTACTATTAAACTTTATTTATAATTTACCCAAGTACTACATAAGTATTTTTTACTTTTCTAAAATAATTTTATTTAAATAATTTTGATTTAGACATTTGACATTCAAGTACTATAATTTATTTGCAAGTTTTCTTTTAATTGTAAAGATAAATTTTGTCTTTAGAAGAAAAATACATATTTGAAACATAAATATTGTTTTGAATTTTTACATGTATTTTAATTTATATTGTTTGATAAAATATGTTCACATTTTACATATTTTGAATACTGTTCTATCTTATTTTATAGGTTTCTTATTGATGATGATAGTGACACTTTTTGGGGTTTGTCTGTAAGAAAAAATATGCCTATCTACCTAAGTTCACTTTTAAAATGCTATTTTATCCTTTAGATTTATTTATATTCTGTAAACTTTAAAACTATTATTATACTTTATTTTATTATTGGTGCAGAAACTTTACTCTGAAACTCTTATTGGTCATATTAATTTCCTAGAAAATGTTCTTAGGATTAACATTCTTAATTTGTTAAGTTGAAAAAGTATTTTCAAAATCGATGTGTTATTTCATGATAGTCCACGGATATTTAAAAATATTTGCACTTTAATAGCAAGTTAAAGTGTTTTACATAAAGAGATATTCTGAAGTTTAATTAAAAACATGAATATTTCTGAAAATTTACATGTAATACAGGTTATAGGCACAGGTATGTAGCTTCTGGAACAGAACTACTCTTGGAATCTCCCTTTGTGTTTTCGTTATATGTCATGATGATGTGCTTATAATCAGCAACATTTCTTGTTTTTTTTTTCTGATACTTTGGGAAACACATAAAACCTCATTTTGTGTGTGTGTGTGCGTGTGTGTATGTATATATATACATGCACATATATATATGCACTTGCTTCCTAAACTTATATTCTAGTAGAGAAATAATATAACATAGTTGATTTTGGAAGTATTTCAATACAATAGAACCAAAAGTTTGAGTTAGAATTTTGGCAGCTAAAAATCTAGTGTGAAGGTTAATATTGAGTATAAACTTGATTAGATGGAAGGATGCAAAGTATTGTTCCTAGGTGTGTCTGTGAGGATGTTGCCAAAGGAGATTAACATTTGAGTCAGCTGGCTGGGAAAGGCAAACACACCCTTATTCTGGGTGGGCACAATCTAATCAGCTGCCAGTGGGGCCAGAATAAAAGCAGACAGAAGAATGTGGAAAGATTAGTCTGGTTTTGTCTTCTGGCCTACACCTTTCTTGCATGTTGGATGCTTCCTGCCCTCTAACATGGGACTCCAAGTTCTTCAGCTTTGGGACTCAGACTGGCTTCCTTTCTCCTCAGCTTGCAGGTGGCCTATTGTGGGACCTGACCTTGTGATTGTGTGAGTCAATAATCCTTAATAAACTCTCCTTTATTTATCCTATTAGTTATGCTTCTCTAAAGAACCCTGACTAATGCATCTAGTAACTATGCAATATGTGCTAATGTAGGAAAGCTTTTGGAAAGTTGGCCAAATGTTTAATTCTCATCAATGTTTACAAAGAATACTTTTAATACCTCTAAACTGGGATTACATTTTACTCTACCTACAGACTACCACTTCTTTATGTAGTACTCTGACAATGTTTTATAATTATGTTTTCAGTGTAGCCACAACAGACATTTGGATTTTCTATACCTAGTTTAGAATCTCTATATCAGTAGATTCCCAATTTTCTCACTAAACTTTCAAATACAGCAAAATTTGCCCAGATTATTTAAAAATATAACATTTCTTATAGATTTCATCATATTCTAATTCCTTCATAATTAGTATGCGGAGAAAACTATTTGAAAAATAATCAAGCCCTACAAATTTCAAAAATCTTATTTAACAGAGAACCCAGAGATAAAGCTGCACATCCATAGCCATCTGATCTTCAATAACGTTCACAAAAATAACTAATGGAGAAAGGACTTGCTATTCAATAGATGTAGTGGGATAGTTGGCTAGCTGTATGAGGAAGAATGACTCTGGACCTATACCTTTCACTATATACAAACATTAACTCAAGATGGATTGAATATTTAAATATAAAATATCAAACTATAAGAATTCTAGAAGAAAACCTAGGAAATACCATGCTACATGTAAGCCTTGGCAAAGAATTTATGACTAAGACCTTAAAAGCAATTGCAACAAATAATTTGACAAGAGGGATTTCATTAAACTAAAGAGTTTTTGCACAGCAAAAGAAGCTATCAACAGACTAAACAGACAACCTGGAGGATGAGAGAAAACATTCACAAACTATGCATCCAACAAAGATCTAATATCCAGAATCTACAAAGAACTTAAACAATTAACAAGCAAAAAACAAATAACGCCATTAAAAAGTGAGCAAAAGACATAAACAGACACTTCTCAAAAGGAGACATAGAAGCAGCCAACAAACATATGAAAAAATATTAAACATCACTAATAACCAGAGAAGTGCAAATCAAAACCACAATGAGATACCATCTCACACCAGTCAGAACTGCTATTTTTAAAAAGTCGAAAACCAGCAGGTAGTGGTGAGACTTCATAGAAAAGGGAACACTTATGCAATATAGGTGGAAATGTATACTATTTCAGCCATTGTGGAAAGCAATTTGGAGATTTCTCACAGAACTTAAAACAGAACTACCATTTCACCCAGCAATCCCATTAGTAGGTGTATTTCTGAAAGAAAATAAATTATTCTACAAAATAGCCACATGCATTCATATGTTCATTGTAGCACTATCCACAATAGCAAATATATGGAACCAACCTAGGTGTCCATCAGTGGTGAACTGGATAAAGAAAATGTGGTACATATACACCATGGAATACTATGTAGCCATAAGAAAGTACAAAATCCTGTACTTCATGTAGCAACATGGAAGCAGATGGAGGCCATTATCTTAAGTGAATTAACACAAGAACAGGAAACAAAATACTGTATGTTATAACTTACAAGTGGGAGATAAATTTTGCGTACCCATGGATATAAAGTTTGCAACAATAGACACTGGGGACTTTTAGAGCAGGGAGGCAGAAAGAGGGGCAAAGACTGAAAAACTAATGCTGGGTACCAGGTTCATTATCTGGATGATGGGATCATTCATATCTCGAACCTCAGCATCATGTAATATATCCATGTAACAAACCTGCAAATATACCCCCAAATCTAAAGTAAATGCCAAAATCATAAAATATAAACATACGTTGAGAAATCTTCTTTTACTTAAATGATAGGGTAAATTTTTATCAAAAATCATTAGTCTCAGATTTGCTTTTAACTATTTAAGTGTTTAGCCTAAAATAAACTTTTCTTTTTCCTCCTTGTTAGATGATTAACAACTTTCCATTTCTCTAACCACTTAGAGTAAGTAGTTCCATTTTTCCAACTACTTCTTCTGAATTATTCTGACTTTCCTTGCCTTTCATAACTGAATTGCATGGGTTCTTAATACAAATACAATATTTGTATTACATTCAAATATAGAAAGAATTGATCTATGGTTGTCCCTTATCAGATATATATTATATTAATATTTTCCGGCATGTATGTATTTATTTTTCTAACTGTGTCTGCATCTTCTGATGAGTAGAAATTTTTAATTTTGTTCAATTCCATTTTATCATATTTTTCTTTATATTCACTGCTTTCTGTTACCTGTCTACAAAAGGGTTGCCTTCATGGAAATATTTTGCTATATTGTCTATTAAATATGTTATGGCTTTAACTTGGGTTGTCTTAATAACTTTGACAATGTTATTTAGTCATATTAAGTCTATTCTTGGGTCTTTTTAATAAGTTTTGGAGTAAGGCGGTGAGCCTTAGGAACTTTTTCTTTTTTTCAAAATAAATTTGGATATTCTAAAGCCCCATTTATTTTCCACATAAATTGTATCATCAGCTTGGAAATTTCAACATCAGTAATGAAAAGAATTCTGGAATAATATTTGAGACCCCATTGGATTTATATATGAATTGGAGAAGAATTGACAACTTAGCAATATTGAGTCTTCCAATCTGCATCCTAGGAATAATGGCAATACTGGACATACTAAACAAAAAACTAACACTAGACAAAATACTGTGTTTCAGGTTCAAATTAGATCAACCAAAAGGTACTTACTGAAACTACTGAAACTCTCATAGATTTTTTGTGGGTATAAATTGTTACAGCCACCCTAGAAAACTCTTTATCAGACTCTAATAAAATGTGTACTTACACTGTGACACAAAATTTTTATCCTAGCTATATAGCCAAAAGACATGAAACTACATGTCGACCAAAATACAAACATACAGACAAGAGCAACAAAGTTTTATACCAGTTTTATTCATAAAATTCCAACCTGGAAACAACCCACAGAAATAAAATATGTTTTTGTACATTTACACAATGTCATACTACATATCAGTGAAAAAGAATAGACCACTGGTGAAACAACAGCATGGATGAATTTCGCAGAAATAATGCTGAATGAGAGAAGACAGACATAAAAGACAATATACTGTAAGATTGTATTTGTACTACATTCAAATATAGAAATAATTGATCTATGGTTGTAGAGGTCAGGTAAGTGGTTAATTTAAGTGACATATTGTCTACAGGGTGATGTGCTACAGCTTTCTTGGATACTAATCTCTCCTAATGTATATGGTGACAGTAAATAATATTGATACATAAAATTAATTGAGCCATATGGTAAATATTCATGTACTTTATTGCATGCACATTAAACACCAATTTAAAAGAAAATGTATTGAATAATTAGATTTCTCCACCTTATGCGGAACACAGACACTAAGGTAGCTCTTTCTAAAGCAACTTATCAAATGGATCTTATAAGAAGAAAGCAAAGAGCATAGAGGAAAGACTTCCATCTACTAAAATCTGGGGGATACCTCATTAAAGTAGTTTACTCTGCAGCAGTTGTAATGCAGTGAATCCTACAAGCTGACTGTCCCTATGCACAGCCAAAAATTTCTCGTTGGTTTAGTACTTTCCTCTTTTTAGTAGAAACAGATAATCAAGAATCAGAAGTTATGAGAGCAAATATCCAAACATGACAATCTACAAAATGAGGAATAAAAGAATTCAGAGGTAACAATGTGTTTTGAAAGAACAAGAGATCTAATTTTGAAATAAAACTAGATTCTAAGGATGACGAAGGAAAGATGTGCACCATGAATTTAACAATAGATTCAGTATTCTGCAAAAAACAAAACAAGACAAAACAAAACAAACAAAACAAATACAAAATGAAAAGATGCTCTTAAGAAAGAAAACTAATATCTACAATTTGAAATTTTTCAATAGAAGATTTGAAAGATTATGCCAAGTTAAGCTCTTAAAAGGTAGTAAAAATGACAAAAAGAAAATATGACAATTAGAAAATGATTTTGTGGAGTTCTCAGATCACAATAATATTTCTTCAAAGACAGAACAATGAATAAGAAGGAGAAGATTAATATATCAAAAATAGTATAATAAAACTTCCCAAAGACTGAAGAATATGTGTCTTACAGAAAAAAAAGACCCACTCTAGAAAACAGAACACAAAGGGAGCATGCTGGATGATATGGTTTGGCTCTGTGTCCCCACCCAAATCTCATCTTGATTTACACTCCCATAATTTCTGCTTGTTGTGAGAGGGACCCAGTAGGAGATAATCTGAATCATAGGGTGGTTTTCCCTATACTGTGCTCTTAGTAGTGAATAAGTTTAATGAGATCTGATTGTTTTAAAAGGGGTTTCTGCTTTGACGTTTTCCTCATTCTCTCTTTGCCTGCTGCTATCCATGTAAGATGGGACTTTCTCCTTGCATTCCACCATGATTGTGAGGCTTCCCCAGCAACATGGAACTGTGAGTCAAATTAAACCTCTTTTTTCTGTAAGTTACCCAGTCTCAAGTTTGTCTTTATCAGCAGCATGAAAATGGAATAATAGAGTAAATTGGTACCAGTAGAATGGGGCATGGCTGAAAAAATACCCCAAAATGTGGAAGTTACTTTGGAACTGAGTAACAGACAGAGGTTGAAACAGTTTGGAGGGCTCAGAAGAAGACAGGAAAATGTGGGAAAGTTTGGAACTTCATAGAGACTTGTTAAATGGCTTTGACAAAAATGCTGATAGTGATATGAACAATAAGGTCCAGGCTGAGGTGGTCTCAGATGGAGATGGGGAACTTTTTGGGAACTGAAGGAAAGATGACTCTTGTTATGTTTTAGCAAAGAGACTGGTGGCATTTTGCCCCTGCCCTAGAGATATGTGAAACTTAGAACTTCAAAAAGCTGATTTAGGGTATCTGCTGGAAGAAATTTCTAAGCACCAAACCATTCAAGAGGTGAATTGGGTGCTGTTAAAGGCATTCAGTTTAATAAGGAAAACGGCATAAAAGTTCAGAAAATTTGCAGCCTGACAGTGCAATAGAAAAGAAAATTTCATTTTCTGAGGAGAAATCCAAGCCTGCTGCAGAAATTTGCATAAGTAACAAAGAGCTGAATGTTAATCCCCAAGACAATGGGGAAAATGTCTTGAGGGCATGTCAGAGGTCTTCATGACAGCCCCTCCCATCACAGGCCCGGAGGCCTGGAAGGAAAACATGGTTTCATGGGCTGTGTCCAGGGCCCCTGTGCTGTGGGCAGCCAAGGGACTTGATGCCCTGTGTCCCAGCCACTCTTTCCATGATGAAAAAGGGTCAATGTAGAGCTCGGACATGTCTTCAGAGGATGCAAGTCCCATGCTTTAGCAGCTGCCAACTGGTATTGAGCCTGTGAATGCACAGAAGTCAAGAACTGGGGTTTGGGAACCTCTGCCTAGGTTTCAGAGTATGTATAGAAATGCCTGGATGCCCAGGAAGAAGTTTGCTGCAGGGATGGGGCTCTCATGGATAACCTCTGCTAGGGCAGTGTGGAAAGAAAACATGGGGTTGGAGCCCCATACAGAGTCCCTTCTAGGGCACTGCCTAGTGGAGCTGTGAGAAAAGAGCCACCATCCATCCGCTAGACCCCAGAAAGATAGATCCACCAACAGCTTGCATCATGTGCCTGGAAAAGCCACAGATAGTCAACACCAGACCCTGAAAGCAGCCAGGAGGGAGGCTGTACCCTACAGAGCCACAGTGGTGGGAGCTGCCCAAGACCATGGGAACCCACCTCTCGCATCAGCATGACCCAGATGCGAGACATGGCATCAAAGGAGATCAGTTTGGAGCTTTAAGATTTGACTGCCCTGCTGGATTTCAGACTTGCATAGGGCTGGTAGCCCCTTTGTTTTGGCCATTTTTCCCCATTTGGAAAAGCTGTATTCACCCAATGCCTATACCCCCATTGTATCAAGGAAGTAACGAACTTGCTTTTGGTTTTACAGGCTGATAGATGGAAGGGACTTGCCTTGTCTCAGATGAGACTTTGGACTGTGGATTTGGGGGTTAATGCTGAAATGAGATAAGACCTTGGGGAGCTGTTGGGAAGGCATGATTGGTTTTAAAATGTGAGGGCATTAGATTTGGAGGGGTCTGAGGTGGAATGATATGGTTTGGCTCTGTGTCCCCACCCAAATCTCATCTTGAATTTTACTCCCATAATTCCCATGTGTTGTGGGCAAACCCAGCGGAGATAATTTGAATCATTAGGATGGCTTCCCCATACTGTTTTCTTGTTAGTGAATAAGTCTTACAAGATGTGATGGTTTTATCCGGGGTTTCTGCTTTTGCATCTTCCTCATTCTGTCTTTGCCTGGTGCCATCCATGTAAGATGAGACTTGCTCCTCTTTGCCTCCCGCTATGATTGTGAGGCTTCCCCAACAATGTGGAACTGTAAGTCCAATTAAACTTCTTTCTTTCGTAAATTGTCAGTCTTGTATATGTCTTTATCAGCAGCACGAAAATGGTCTAATACACTGGGAAAGTGATTTTTAGTGTACCATTTATGTCTAGTTACACACTCCAAAGGTAAATGCAAAATAAAGACAGGATATGATTCAGAAAAATCTACCTCTTAAGCATATTTTCATAGGAAGCTACTAGAAGATGCTTTCTAACAAATCAATGAAATAAATTAAAACAAGAAGATATGAGGTTCATAAAACAGTAGCCGTAACAAATGATAGCAGATTAGAGAAATTCCAAGGTTGCAGTTGTGCTTCAATCATAGATAGCAAAGCATCCAGATTAGAACAAGAGGTTGATTCCAGGATGGCCTTTGCAGGCCAATGATTCATTGAGTGATACACTGGAGAAGTTAAGCCATAAATATATATCAGCAGCATACACATGGCATACCAAAAGCCCAAGCCTGTCTGCTGCCACTATAAAGGATTTATGTTATGTAGCAGCCTAGAACATGAAAAGTTGCACAGAAATAAAGCACTGATATTTGGTTTATTAACTATGACATCTTCTATTTAATTCTTCTATATTATAATCTTAGCAGAAATGATAAACATTAAAATAATTGCTAACTCAGCAATTTGGTAATAATAATAAATAAAACACATATCCTACTTTGACACTATACTTTTTGTTTTATATAGTAGAGCATCTATGATTGTCATAAAAACATGTTGGCTATGAAGATAAGAATTGTTCATATTTAATAGAATATGAACTAAAAATTTTAAAATATCACAAAGAAGTTTCAACCTTTATTTAATGAAATAAATGAAAAGATGATACTTTGATGAGAGGTTGAATATAGAGCACTGGAAAGTTGATAAATAAAAAATAATGTAATCATGTTATTTTGACGTACATGATTATCTGAAGTACTGAAAATGAGAATGTTTGAACTGGATACTTTGAAAGACTATGCCAAGTTCAGCTCTCAAAAGGTAGTTAAAAATGATAAAAAAAAAAAAGATAATTAGAAAATGTTTTTTGTATTTCCCATATCACAATAATATTTCTTCTAAGACAGAACAATGAATAACAAGAATAGTAAAAGGAGATTCAATGATGAGACATCGTGTTTGATTTGCTGCTTCTGATTACAATACTATTTGTACTATAATTTTAAAACGAATATGTGTGCATGTACATTGGATTTTTTAAATAAACAACAAATAAAGTGACACCATCTATTTCAGGGAATATAGAAAGAGTAATTTTATTTTTAATTTTAAGTTATTCTATAATGTTATTATATATGTAATATGTTATAATGCTTTAATTTTGTATTTTATATAATTTAAAACTATTTTAAATTAAATTAAATTAAATTTAAATTAAGCTATATATAGACGGCTTCCTTTGTCTTAGCACAAGAATTGCACACCACAGCTTGTGTGCTAAATCTTGTTCACCTCTTATTTTTGATATGACCTGCAAGCTAACAGGTTTATACTTTTAAAGATTGAAAATAAATGAAATAAATAATATTTTTTGATAATTGTATGAAGTGAGAATTTCAGTTTCCATATATCAACTTATATTGAAATACATCCATACTAATTTGTCTGTTCTCTATGATTGCTTTTGCCCTACAATGGAAAATTTGAATAATTGTGACAGAAGAAAAGCTTTAAATATTTACTATCTCACCTTTTACAGAAATCGTTTTCCAACCGGCCTTATAGGATAATTCTTAAACACCTCAAAAAGCAAATTTTCCTGATTTGAAGTAAAATCATTCTTTGAAAATTATGTCACACAATGAACATAGGCATAAAGTCAAGACTGTTTGTATAACTGAATCTTTAATTTAAAAAGACTAAAGATGAAAGAGGTTAGTAAAATAATGCAAATGATGAAGCTATGGTGTGAGATAGGAGAGACTTAAGGCTACTAGAGCCAAGTGTGCAATTTAAAGATAACCATGTGGTCCTTTGCTGTGAAGGCACTGAAGTCTTGGGGATGGAAAAGCTAAATTGTTTCTCGCATAAAAAAGGAATGACTGATGAGTCTAATCAGGGATAGTAAATGATAGTTCTCACAAAATTGAAATGTAGCCATCCAAATATATATTGCCCTGGGAAGCAAATCATAATATTCAATAAGTTAACATTCTGTTACAGATATTATGTGTGTGGAATCTGCATACCTAATGTAGGGGAGAAATTTGAAGAACAAAAGTTTTGGAGATTTTTATTTCTTTCAATGAAAACCATTACATTACTGTATCTGCCTTTGGAATATTTTAGTTTGCTTGTTTTACGTGGAGTAATTTAAAAACTTATTTTGCTGTCTTAACAACATCTAATATTATACTATGAAATTCAGGAGTTTAAGGAAAGATACTGTTGCATACACAATTAAAGAAAATGGTGTGCAATTTTAGTGAGATGAAACAATTTTATTCACATTTCATCACATAAATTATCTATTAACTGGCATCTCTATACTACTGTATTGTAGAAAAAACTGAACTTCATGATAATGACTCCAACGTTCAATAAATTTTGGATATACCTTTAGAGCCACTGCATTCTTTTAAAAATGAACTTTGACAGCTTGCTGTTACTTACAGCAGGAGAGCACATATTCAAAAATAAAATCAAACAAATATAAATTATATTTATTTGTAAATATCTTGAAACTTCTGAGTGGCTTTTCAAGAGATATCTGGACTAGTGAGAGAGGTCACATATAGATATAAGTAGTAATCAATAGTTTACTGGAAATAATATCCAGCTTGCATGAAAAATTCCCATGTAATTTATCAAGTTAATGCTGAATATATTATTTGTAAGTATCTTTTATTATAGTCTAATTATTTGTTAAAAATTTAAATATAATAACATGATAATTTCATTCCTGGATATTTGATCTACCACAATATCTCATTCTTCAATCTAATAGTAATTTATTTATAGAATATGGACTGGACATCATGTTAGCTTCATAACAAAATCTAGATATTTGTCAATTCTGTGTCCTGCACCACAGTCCTGAGAATCTCTTGACTGACTTATAGAGAGCTGCTCCAGGAGTTGCCTTCAAGTTTCACAAGTACGTTAAGAGACCGAAATCACCAATTCTTAGAAATAATTAGAGCTGTTTCTTTACTTTTCACAATCTCTACGATTCATGAATCAGTAAATAATAAAGAAGCTTTTAATGCTACCCATCAATGAAATTAGAAAGAGAACTTGGATGATCTTTTTATACTGCTCATACTAATTCTCAATCTTAGTGTATACTACTTACATTCTTTACATTACATTATTTACAGCACATTTTAAATTCTTAGAATGGATTCACCACTATAAAAAGCCAAGTTTTCACTCAATTTTTCTGCAAATGATATTTGATTTTCTTCTCGAGAGCCATCATTTCTTTACTCTCAATTCATTCATGGGGTTCATGAAGTAGTAACATCTTCACAACATACATACACACATATTTTGGTCTGAACACACAATACAACTCTATCATTAAGATTCATTTTTGTCGCCAGTGTTGGGATAATGGTGTCTAGCAAAACCAATGCCCAAGGATGTAGGAATGATGTATATAAGGGATTGTTAGACATCTTCAAATGACTGAAAATTAAGCTAAAACAGATGAAAGTAGGAAGCAAAAAACATATTTTTAATGACATTAGGCTTACAGACCTTAAGTAATATGTGAGTCAGCCATCTTTTTAAACTTGTCCCTTTAACTAAAAATATTCTAATTCTTGAGGTTACTGGATATAGAGTATACCATTGACCACATTTGATACCTGGGCTTGGCTAAAGTAGATAGAAGGCGGTGCCAGTCTACAGATTTCAAACTGTGAGTCTGATAGTACACTTACATGAGAGCAGAATTAGTCTGAATGGTGGCTTATGCTTTTAATCCTAGCACTTTGGGAGGCCAAGGCAGGAGGATTTCTTGAGCCCAGGAGTTCAAGACCAGCCTGGGCAACACAACAAGATCTTGTCTCAATTAAAAAAAGAAAAAAGAAAAAAAGAAAACAAAATGACAAATTAACCTTTCACCCCTGTTGTACCCTGGAGCATACACTCATAAGATATTTATCAGGTAAACATAAGATTGTTGAATTTTCTTTACTAATCATTGCATCCTTAAGTAAGGTCTTAAAAACTGACAATCTTTAGTTGATACTGGCCCATGAAAAGCAGAAGAAAAACAAACAGCTGTCCTTTGTTACATTGACCGTCTCAATGGCATTCAATGGCATAAAGTCTTCTGCTCATGATTTTTGCAGTACCTCAATCTGCCAAGATTGGCTGAAAAAAAAGCAGGTACATCAAGATAAAATAGTCAGTGAAATTGGATGCAGTGATACACCTGAACCCACCACCCATAAATATTTTTCTCCACTCTCTTAGCCTGACAAAAAGTAACTCTTAAGCTCATTTTAAATGACCATCATTCATGGTGATTTGTGAGATTTTGGTGCATCCCTCACCTGGGAAGCATACACTGCACCTATTTGTAGTTTTTTCTCTCTCACTGCCTTCCCACCCTTTTCCCTTGAGTCCCCAAATCCATTGTGTTATTATTATGACTTTGTATCCTCATAGTTTATCTCTCATCTATGAGTAAGAACATACGATGTTTGGTTTTCCATTCTTGAGTTATTTCTGTTAGAATAATAGTCTCCAATCTCATCCAGGTCACTGCAAATGCCATTAATTCATTCCTTTTTATGACTGAGCAGTTATTATATATATATGATATATTATATTACTGATGGAATACTTTATATGTGTGTATATATATATACACTATATATATATATTGTGTGAGTGTATATATATATATATATATAAAATAGTTTCTTTATTCATTCGTTGGTTGATGGGCATTTGGGTTGGTTCCACATTTTTACAATTGTGAATTGTACTGCTACAAAAAAGTGTGTGTAAGCATCTTTTTCATATAATGACTTCTTTTCCAGTGTATAGATACCAGTAGTGGGATTGCTGGATCAAATGGTAGCTCTACTTTTCATTCTTTAAGGAATCTTCACACACGTAGAAGTGTTGCCTGTTCACTTCAGCCATGCCAACTTCTACTATTTTTAAATTTTTTTTACTATGGCCATTTTTTCAGCGGCAGGTTGATATCACATTGCAGTTTTGATTTTCATTTCCCTGATCATTAGTGATGTTGAGCATTTTTTTATATGTTTGTTGACTATTTGTATATTATCATCTTTTGTGAATTGTCTATTCATGTTCTTTATCAGCACTAAAGAACTTACTCATGTAACCAAACCCACCTGCTCCCCAATAACTTATGAAGAAAAAAGAACAAAATGCAAATGGCCAGGCACAGTGGCTCATGCCTGTAATTCCAGCCCTTTGGGAGGCTGAGGTGGGCAAATTGCCTGAGCCCAGCAGCCTGGGAAACATTATGAGACCTCATCTCTACAAAAAAATCAAGAAATTATCCAGGCATGATTGTGTGTGCCTGTGGTTTCAGCTATTCAGGAGGCTGAGGTGGGAAATTGCTTGAGCTCAGAAAGTCAAAGCTGCAGTGATCCATGATTGCACCACTGCACACAAGCCTGGGTGACAAAGGCTTGTGTCCTGGGCTCTGCCCTTATGAATGGATTAGTTCTGTTATTACAGGAGTGGGTTAGTTATAAAAAGTGAGTATGGCCCCTTCTTGCTCTCTTTCATGTGTGTTCCTTTGCCCTTCCACCTTCTGCACAGGGTGACACAGCAAGAAGCCCTCATCAGATTCTGGTACCTTGATACTGGACTTCCCAAGCTCTAGAACTAAAACACTTCATGATTTTTTTTTTTTTTGTCTGTAAACTACCCATTCTATGGTTCTGTGACACAACAAAAAATGGGGAACATCTATAAGAATAGCTACAATAATTTCAAAAAACAACCATACCAATTCCTGACAAGGATGTGAAGCAATAGGAATTCTCCTACAATTCTAGCAGGATGCAAAATAGTTCAGCCACTCCAGAAAACAGTTTGGCATGTTCTTATAAAGTTAAACACACAACTTCCATTTCACCAAGGAAGCCAACTCCTAGGCCTTTACCCTAGAGAAATGGAAACTTATGTTCACAGAAAAACCTGTATGTCAATATTGGTAGAAATGCTACTTCATAATTGCCCAAATTGGACTCAGTCCAAATTTCCTGCAGTGTCTGAATGGATAAACAAACTGTGGTAGACTCATGCATTAAAATACTAGTCAGCAATAAAAAGGAACAGGCTACTTGAATTTCATGCAACAACTTCTATGAATCTCAAAGGTTTACGCTGAGTGAAAGAAGCCACTATCCAAAGGTTACCTACAGTATGATTTTATCTATATTACATTCTTGAAAAGCCAAAACCATAGTGTTGGAGAACAGATCAGTGGTTGCCATAGTGATGTGACTATAAAGGCATAGCGTGAGGGAGTTTTGGGGAGTGATAGGACTGTTCTAAGTACCATGATTGTGGTGGTGTTTACGCGAATATATATATGTCAAAATTCACAAATCTGCTGATTATTTCCCAATGCATATGTATATCGAATTATCAAGTTATACAGCCTAAATATTTAATTATATATGATTTTTAATTGCCAATTATACCTTAATAAAGTTGGAAAAAAATTTTAAAAATAAAAATAAAATGGCCATCAATGTGGGAGAGATTCCCCAACCTACACTATTGGTCCCTAAGGAAGACATTGAAAGGAGAACATTAGCCTGGATGTCCAATAGTCTGCTATCAGTTCTTGAGCTGGAGGTGTGTAGTTGTGTGTGAGAGGGTATGAATTGACTTTGCATCTGCGTTGTGGTTGCAATGCTGACTCCACTATATGGCTGGCAAGAAGGGCAGAGGTCTCTGCCAGGCTTTGGTATCAGGATGATGCTGGCCTCATAAAATGAGTTAGGGAGGATTCCCTCTTTTTCTATTGATTGGAATAGTTTCAGAAGGAATGGTACCAGCTCCTCTTTGTACCTCCGGTAGAATTCGGCTGTGAATCCATCTGGTCCTGGACTTTTTTTTGTTGGTAAGCTATTAATTATTGCTTCAATTTCAGAGCCAGTTATTGGTCTATTCAGAGATTCAACTTCTTCCTGGTTTAGTCTTGGGAGAGTGTATGTGTCGAGGAATTTATCCATTTCTTCTAGATTTTCTAGTTTGTTTACATAGAGGTGTTTATAGTATTCTCTGATGGTAGTTTGTATTTCTGTGGGATCGGTGGTTATATCCCCTTTATCATTTTTTACTGTGTCTATTTGATTCTTCTCTCTTTTCTTCTTTTTAGTCTTGCTAGCGGTCTATCAATTTTGTTGATCTTTTCTAAAAAAACAGGTCCTGGATTCATTGATTTTTGAAGGGTTTTTTGTATCTCTATCTCCTTCAGTTCTGCTCTGGTCTTAGTTATTTCTTGCCTTCTGCTAGCTTTCGAATGTGTTCACTCTTGCTTCTCTAGTTCTTTTAATTATGATGTTATGGTGTCAATTTTAGATCTTTCCTGCTTTCTCTTGTGGGCATTTAGTGCTATAAATTTCCCTCTACACACTGCTTTAAATGTGCCCCAGAGATTCCGGTATGTTGTGTCTTTGTTCTCATTGGTTTCAAAGAACATATTTATTTCTGCCTTCATTTTGTTATGTACCCAGTAGTCATTCAGGAGCAGGTTGTTCAGTTTCCATGTAGTTGAGCAGTTTTGAGTGAGTTTCTTAATCCTGAATTCTAGTATGATTGCACTGTGGTCTGAGAGACAGTTTGTTATAATTTCTGTTCTTTTACATTTGCTGAGGAGTGCTTTACTTCCAACTATGTGGTCAATTTTGGAGTAGGCGTGGTGTGGTTCTGAAAAGAATGTATATTCTGTTGATTTGAGGTGGAGAGTTCTGTAAACGTTTATTAGGTCCGCTTGGTGCAGAGCCGAGTTCAATTCCTGGATATCTTTGCTAATTTTCTGTCTTGTTGATCTGTCTAACATTGACAGTGGGGTGTTGAAGTCTCCCATTATTATTGTATGGGAGTCTAAGTCTCTTTGTAGGTCACTAAAGACTTGCTTTATGAATCTGGGTGCTCCTGTATTGGGTGCATATATATTTAGGATAGTTAGCTCTTCTTGTTGAATTGATCCTGGCAGAGACACAACAAAAAAAGAGAATTGTAAACCAATATCCCTGATGAACATCGATGCAAAAATCCTCAATAAAATCCTGGCAAACTGAATCCAGCAGCACATCAAAAAGCTAATCCACCATGATCAAGTGGGCTTCATCCCTGGGATGCAAGGCTGGTTCAACATATGCAAATCAACAGACGTAATCCACTACATAAACAGAACCAATGGCAAAAACCACATGATGATCTCAATAGATGCAGAAAAGGCCTTTGACAAAATTCAACAGCCCTTCATGCTAAAAACTCTCAATAAATTAGGTATTGATGGGACGTATCTCAAAATAATAAGAGCTATCTATGACAAACCCACAGCCAATATCATACTGAATGGGCAAAAACTGGAAGCATTCCCCTTGAAAATTGGCACAAGACAGGGATGCCCTCTCTCACCACTCCTATTCAACATAGTGCTGGAAGTTCTGGCCAGGGCAATCAGGCAGGAGAAGGAAATAAAGGACATTCAATTAGGAAAAGAGGAAGTCAAATTGTCCCTGTTTGCAGATGACATGATTGTATATCTAGAAAACCCCATTGTCTCAGCCCAAAATCTCCTTAAGCTGATAGGCAACTTCAGCAAAGTCTCAGGATACAAAATCAATGTACAAAATTCACAAGCATTCTTATACACCAATAACAGACAAACAGAGAGCCAAATCATGAGTGAACTCCCATTCACAATTGCTTCAAAGAGAATAAAATACTTAGGAATCCAACTTAAAAGGGAAGTGAAGGACCTCTTCAAAGAGAACAAGAAACCACTGCTCAATGAAATGAAAGAGGATACAAACAAAGGGAAGCACATTCCATGCTCATGGGTAGGAAGAATCAATATCCTCAAAATGGCCATACTGCACAAGGTAATTTATAGATTCAGTGCCATCCCCATCAAGCTATCAATGACTTTCTTCACAGAATTGGAAAAAACTACTTTAAAGTTCATATGGAACCAAAAAAGAGCCCACATTGCCAAGTCAATCCTAAGCCAAAAGAACAAAGCTGGAGGCATCACACTACCTGACTTCACAATATACTACAAGGCTACAGTAACCAAAAGAGCATGGTACTGGTACCAAAACAGAGATATAGACCAATGGAACAGAACAGAGCCCTCAGAAATAATGCTGCATATCTACAACTATCTGATCTTTGACAAACCTGACAAAAACAAGCAATGGGGAAAGGATCCCCTATTTAATAAATGGTGCTTGGAAAACTGGCTAGCCATATGCAGAAAGCTGAAATTGCATCCCTTCCTTACACCTTATACAAAACCTAATTCAAGATGGATTAAAGATTAAATGTTAGACCTAAAACCATAAAAACCCTAGAAGAAAACCTAGGCAATACCACTCAGGACATAGGCATGGGCAAGGACTTCATGTCTAAAACCCCAAAAGCAATGGCAACAAAAGCCAAAATTGACAAATGGGATCTAATTAAACTAAAGAGCTTCTGCACAGCAAAAGAAACTACCATCAGAGTGAACAGGCAACCTACAGAATGGGAGAAAAGTTTTGCAATCTACTCATCTGACAAAGGGCTAATATCCAGAATCTACAATGAACTCAAACAAATTTACAAGAAAAAAACAAACAACCCCATCAAAAAGTGGGCGAAGGATATGAACAGACACTTCTCAAAAGAAGACATTTATGTAGCAGAAAGACACATAAAAAAATGCTCATCATCACTGGCCATCAGAGAAATGCAAATCAAAACCACAGTGAGATACCATCTCACACCAGTTAGAATGGCAATCATTAAAAAGTCAGGAAACAACAAGTGCTGGAGAGGATGTGGAGAAATAGGAACACTTTTACACTGTTGGTGGGATAGTAAACTAGTTCAACCATTGTGGAAGTTAGTGTGGCCATTCCTGAGGGATATAGAACTAGAATTACCGTTTGACCCAGCCATCCCATTACTGGGTATGTACCCAAAGGATTATAAATCATGCTGCTATAAAGACACATGCACACGTATGTTTATTGCGGCACTATTCACAATAGCAAAGACTTGGAACCAACACACATGTCCAAAAATGATAGACTGGATTAAGAAAATGTGGCACATATACACCATGGAATCCTACGCAGCCATAAAAAATGATGAGTTCATGTCCTTTGTAGGGACATGGATGAAGCTGGAAACCATCATTCTCAGAAAACGATCACAAGGACAAAAAACCAAACACCACATGTTCTCACTCACAGGTGGGAATTGAACATTGAGAACACATGGACACAGGAAGGGGAACATCACACACTTGGGCCTGTTGTGGGGTGGGGGGAGGGATAGCAGTTCACAATTGGCTCTCTATTATTGGTGTATAGGAATGCTTGTGATTTTTGCACGTTGAATTTGTATCCTGAGACTTTGCTGAAGTTGCTTATCAGCTTAAGGAGATTTTGGGCTGAGACGATGGGGTTTTCTAAATATACAATCATGTCATCTGCGAGCAGAGACAATTTGACTTCCTCTCTTCTTATTTGAATACCCTTTATTTCTTTCTCTTACCTGAATGCTCTGGCCAGAGCTTCCAATACTATGTTGAATAGGAGTGGTGAGAGAGGACATCGTTGTCTTGTGCTGGTTTTCAAAGGGACTGCTTCCAGATTTTGCCTATTCAGTATGATACTGGCTGCGGGTTTGTCATAAATAGCTCTTATTATTAGGAGATATACCTAATGCTAAATGACGAGTTAATGGGTGCAGCAGACCAACATGGCACATGTATACATATGTAACAAACCTGCACATTGTACGCATGTACCCTAGAACTTAAAGTATAATAATAAAAAAAAAAGAAGGGCAGAGGTTATAGAAGGCCTTCTTGGTGTCTTTACCCTCTGCTATGGACACCCAGTGGAGTTACCCCAACCCCACCACAGACTCTACATTTGTTCAGGTTATCCTCTGTAAGTGGTCATACCTGTTTCCTCAAAGACTTTATTGGTTTACAAATCCAATAGACAGATACTTCCATTGATGCTTGCTTTTGCCTCTGATCATGCTGTACTATCCTGGGAAGATATTCATCTGATCTGGCTAAGTGATGTACATTTTTGCACAAATAGAGCGTTCTTTTTGCTTTCTTCATGAATCCCTTCCATTTTACTTCATATGGTGCCAGAATCATGATGCCATCAATATTAAAATATATTATAAAATATATTATATAATCCCTATATAATGCAGTGGTTACAGTATGCATATTTCAAGCTATGTGTGAAAATGCTTTGTGATGTGCTGTTTTATATCAAAGAATGGAACCTGTGTTTTGATTCACCAGCTTCAAAATACTCTTTTTGTAGAATCTGCGAAGTGACATTTCTGAGCCTATTGAGGCCTATAAGGAAAAATTGAATATCCAGCAGGATAAACTAGAAACAAGCTAAGGGAATAAATAGTTGGAGGATATGCTGTTCTACATTTATGCTAGAAATATTCCAGTAGTAAATATAATATAACCAGAAAATAAATAATCATCCACTTTTTCCAGCACACTCTAGATAAGACTTAAATTTGTGCTATTCATCAATAAAGACAAGTAACAAGCCTTTTTTTTATTGACAAGTTGATATACATCCATGAGCACATGGATATGGAAAGACACCCTGGAAAAAAAATTTTTGTACTGGGCCCTCACAACCTAGGATCAGTCCTGACACACACACACACACACACACACACACACACACACATACAGAGACAGAGAGAGAGAGAATAGAGTGCAATTGATGAAATTAGTTTATTTTATAATTATTATTAATGAATAAAATATTTTGTGCTGGGATAAAAATTGATATGGTGAGGCTGTTGTGAATTTTAGATACCCTTTAAGATACATTATCTGATAGCTCTATTTCTTTCCTTATTCCCCTGAAGCCTAATTTTATTGATTATTCTGAGTTATTGAAAGACCAAGTTGTATAGTAAGAATTGATTTGTGTATAGTGATAAAACTCTTATTACTTGAGTTTATGTGAGAGTATCTCTCTTTTTTATTATTATGCTATAAGTTCTGGGATACATGTGCAGAATGTGCAGGTTTGTTACATAGGTATACACGTGCCATGGTGGTTTGCTGCACCCATCATCCTGTCATCTACATTAAGTATTTCTGCTAATTTGTACATTATTTCTCCCCTATCTCCCAAACCCCTGACAGGCCCCAGTGTGTGATGTTCCCCTCCCTGTGTCCATGTTCTCATTGATCAACTCCCACTTATGAGTGAGAACATGTGGTGTTTGTGTTTCTGTTCTTCTTAGTTTGCTGAGAATAATGTTTTCCAGTTTCATCCATGTCCCTGCAAAGGACATGAACTCATCCTTTTATATGGCTGTATAGTATTCCATGGTGTATATGTGCCACATTTCCTTTTTCCAGTCTATCATTGATGGACATTTGGCTTGGTTCCAAGTCTTTGCTATTGTGAATAGTGCTGCAATAAACATATATGTGCATATGTCTTTGTAGTAGAATGATTTATAATCTTTTGAGTATATACCCAGTAATGGGATTGCTAGGTCAAATGGTATTTCTGCTTCTAGATCCTTGAGGAATCACCACACTGTCTCCCACAATGGTTGAATTAATTTACACTCTCACCAACAGTGTAAAAGTGTTCCTATTTCTCCACATCCTCTCCAGCATTTGTTGTTTCCTGACTTTTTTATGGTTGCCATACTAATTGGCGTGAGATGGTATCTCTTTGTGGTTTTGATTTCTGTTTCTCTAAAGACCAGTGATGATGAGCTTTTTTTCATATGTTTGTTGGCCTTATAAATGTCTTCATTTGAGAAGTGTCTGTTCATAGCCTTTATCCACTTTTTAATGGGGTTGTTTGTTCTTTTTCTTGTAAATTTGTTTAAGTTCCTTGTAAATTCTGGATATTAGCTGTTAGTCAGTTGGATAGACAGCAAAAATTTTCTCTCTTGCGATAGTTTACTGAGAATGATGATTTCCAATTTCATCCATGTCCTTACAAAGGACATGAACTCATCATTTTTTATGGCTGCATAGTAAAACCAAACACCGCATATTCTGGCTCATAGGTGGGAATTGAACAGTGAGAACACATGGACACAGGAAGGGGAACATCACACTCTGGGGACTGCTGTGGGGTGGGGGGAGGGGAGAGGAATAGCATTGGGAGATATACCTAATGTTAGATAACGAGTTAGTGGGTGCAGTGCACCAGCATGGCACATGTATACATATGTAACTAACCTGCATATTGTGCACATGTACCCTAAAACTTAAAGTGTAATAATAAATAAATAAATAAATAAAAAGAAAAAAAAATTTTCTCTCATTCTGTAGGTTGCCAGTTCATTCTGATGACAGTTTCTTTTGCCATGCAGAAGCTCTTTATTTTAATTAGATCTGATTTGTCAATTTTGGGTTTTGTTGCCATTGGTTTTGGTGTTTTAGTTATGAAGTCTTTGCCCTTGCCTATGTCCTGAATGGTATTGCCTAATTTTCTCCTATGGTTTTTATGGTTTTATATCTTACACTTAAGTCTTTAATCCATCTTGAGTTAATTTTTTATAAGGTGTAAGGAAGGGGTCCAGTTTTAGTTTTCTGCATATGGCTAACCAGTTTTTCCAACACTATTTATTAAATAGGAAATTCTTTCCCCATTGCTTTGACAGATTTATCAAAGAACAGATGGTTGTAGATAAGTGGCATTATTTCTAAGGCCTTCATTCTGTTCCATTGGTCTATATATCTGCTTTGTTACCAGTACCATGCTGTTTTTGTTACTGTAGCCTTGTAGTATAGTTTGAAGGCAGGTAGCATGATGCCTCTAGATTTTTTCTTTTTGCTTAGGATTGTCTTGGCTATATGGGCTCTTTTTTGGATTTTTAAAAATTCTATATGAAATTTAGGTTTTTTTAATTCTGTGAAGAAAGTCAATGGTAGCTTGATGGGGATAGGATTGATTCTACAAATTACTTTCGGCAGTATGGCCATTTTTATGATATTGATTCTTTCTATCCATGAGCATGGAATGTTTTTCCATTTGTTTGTGTCCTCTCTTATTTCCTCAAGCATTGGTTTGTAGTTCTCCTTAAGGGGTCCTTCACATCTATTGTAAGATGTATTCCTAGGTATTTTATTCTCTTTGTCACAATTGTGAATGGCAGTTCACAATTGGCTCTCTGTCTATTATTGGTGTATAGGAATGCTTGGGATTTTTGCACATTGAATTTGTATCCTGAGACTTTGCTGAAGTTGCTTATCAGCTTAAGGAGATTTTGGGCTGAGATGATGGGGTTTTCTAAAATATACAATCATGTCATCTGCAAGCAGAGACAATTTGACTTCCTCTCTTCTTATCTGAATACCCTTTATTTCTTTCTCTTACCTGAATGCTCTGGCCAGAGCTTCCAATACTATGTTGAATAGGAGTGGTGAGAGAGGTCATCGTTGTCTTGTGCTGGTTTTCAAAGGGACTGCTTCCAGCTTTTGCCTATTCAGTACGATACTGGCTGCAGGTTTGTCATAAATAGCTCTTATTATTTTGACATATGTTCCATCAATACCTAGTTTATTGAGAGTTTTTAGCATAAAGGGATGTTAAATTTTATCGAAGGCCTTTTCTGCATCTATTGAGATAATCATGAATATCTCTCTTTTTTGAATAAATAAAGACAAAAGTATTGGTGACTTATAAATCACAAGGGATCACCTAATTGACATATGTGATTTATGGTATTTAACTTCATGATGTAGTGGTTACTTCTTCAACTGCCTCCATCACAGAAATAGAAGCATTGCAATTTGTGCTTGATATGTTTCCAAATGACTAAGATGAGTATGTTTGATCAACTACTATTTTTGAGGTGATATTTTCTTTAAAAATATGCTCATTCCTAACCTGGAAAATAGGTACCTTTTTTAGAAAAGTGTCGATATTTTGGCTGCATTTCAAAACTGGGCAGGAGATTACCAGTGTTCAATCTACCAGTCATCTTTCTTCAAACTCCCACTGAGCTAAATGGGAGTTTTGTACTTTAGCAAACAGTAAATTAGGTTTCCAGTGACGTGAAGAGAGGAGGACAGACAGTTCCAGATGGCAAGTGCCACCGAAGCTAAGGGTCAATGTTTACAGAGAAGGGAGTGGGTGCAGTATACAATCTCAATTATTAAAAGTCAGTAGACAGGAAAACAACCAAAATGGTAACAGATGAGTGAAATGACTCTGTTGGAATGAGCAAGTACTGTAAGCCTTTGCAAAGCTCCCAAGGGCAAATGCATTATTAGTAGATTTGTATTTATTAGGAGCATGCCATGGGATTAAGCTGCTGTGAGCTAATTCTTACTCTTATTTAAAACTTTTCTTTTTTAAAAAAATCGAAATAGCAAACCTTGGTAGTTAACACATCTTTCATTACTTGGAAATAGTAATTCTACAGAAACATACTTGTTTTTGGCTTGCCTGAATGTAGTTACTTACCTTTATATTTTTCCTAATTATACTGTACCATATTAATATTGTTGGAACTGGAATAATACTATTTGTTTCTTTCCAGAGGAGATGAAAGTATCATACAATGTTTGCAGCATTAAGATTTTCTTCCGCTTTAACTAGTTATAGTGCAATAGATATCAGTTTTGTTTCCAGCATTATATTGTTAATGCCTCATGCAGGATTCATGCATGATTATCTCAATTTCGTGTTTTTAATTTAACACAAACATTAGCAAGAAGAACCAATTCACCAAACCTAATGACTGGTCATAATGCCATACAATAAAGTGTTACTTTCTACAACATTTTTTTTATGCAAAATTCATCTCAAAACACATTTTAAAGTTAAATGAAATCATTATAGATTTAATATTATCTCATTTCATCAGCTAATAAATAAGAGCAAAGAGAGAAATTAACTTATCTACAAATCAGAAAAAAGAAAGGTTTAGGAGACATGTATTTCAACTGGGTGATAGGAGATTCCAGAGGAAGGATAAAGAATAAAATTACTGGGAACTCTAGGAGCCATGGCTGCAAGCTTTATGGGACAGAGGTTTTAGTTTGTATTTGCTTCTTGTGTTGAAATTGCTTTTTGAACTTAAGCAAAATAGTTAATTATCTATAACTTAGATTTGCCTTGTTGATAAACTAAAATGGAGTACAGCTTTAGAATGGAGAGCTGCTCCCATTAAAAGTAAGTTCAAAAATATTATGTTTTTGGGAAGTCCATTTGTCACCCTTTTCTGGGCAGTAAGGCTCTAATACAAATTGTTGTTATAAAACATAAAATTAATGTCCTAAATGGAGTATTCTCTTATCTGCAAAACTATACAACACAAAACCTATGCTCTATGCCTTATTGATATATTCTTGCATGCTGAATTCTACCTTTAAAAAATTCACCAAACATTAAACACTGGAGCAATTTACACCTTCTCATTGTATTAGTATTAGAAAATTGAAGTAAAGTTCAGAAATTCAAAATGTTACTCTATTGCTCATTAAATTATTTAAATAAATTAACATGTGTATCCTAGCCAAGGTACCTCTTAAGAATGACAATTAATCTTAAGAGTGATTGACAATTAACTTTATATTTTTAAAATGTGGTTATGTGTTAGAATAATCAAAAGACATTGCTTATAATTTTCAAACTGTCAGAATGGATGAATTACCACTGTATGGTGGAAACATAAATCAAACTTAAAGATTTCTTCTGTTCTAACCAATTTTCATCACCATCATCTTCTGTGAGGTCACCTATCTCTAATTATAATTAAACTCTAATTTCTCACCTGTGAAATTAAATGATTAGTCTGAATATGAGACATAGATTCAAATATCCACAGAGAAGTGATAGGTAATTTAAGTTAATTAAATTTATCAGGTGACAATTTCAGCAAACTAAAGAGTAACTACTCCTTCCAAACTGGTCTTCTGAAATTGTTACCATGCAGGAATTTGGAGTAATACAGCAAATTTCTTTATTTGCATGCATATCAAACTGTTTTATTTCAAATGTCTGAATGCTAATTTTTAAGTGCTAGTCCAGATATTTTTAAGCAGCCAATACAAAATACTTATATGGTGCAAACAAACTGAAAACCACCAGTTTCTAAATATTACAATTGATCGATTTTTAGATTACTCCAAACAATCCACTTTTGAAATATTTTTCTAAAGCTAAAATCATACAAGTACATAGATATTTTCATGTCAGATGAGGAAATGTGGAGTGTAGTAATCCTTATATAGAGGTAAATGAATAGGCAAGGTTTATTTTGTTTGTTTGTTTTATTTTTTGTCTTTTAGACTTTAGTCTCGTTCCTTCACCAGGCTGGATTGCAGTGGTACAATCTCGGCTCACTGCAACCTCTGTAAAAGGCAAGTTTTGTACAAAAAATTATTCTGTTTTTTGAAAAAATAATATTTCCTCTGTCATTTTTTCCATTTTTTACCTTTTTAACATGCCTTCCTTGATGAGATGTAAAATGTCTACTATGGTGTTAATGTGTATCTCAATAATCACCATTTTAAAATTTAACAGATATTAATAATTAATTTTTTATGATTCCTACCTTAACCTTACAACCTGAGGAGGAAATGGTATCCTAGATGGAACAGAAATGTTGAAATGGAGGAGTATCTCACCTGAGAAACGCCATCTCCACCTCAAGTATGGCAGTACCTTGGTGTTGTCCTCAAACTCCAGGGTCTGTTGTTTACCATTGCAAGACTGGAAAATCAGTTGTTATTTCAGTAATAGAAAATAGCTTCCCAAATCCTCTCGTGGAAACTACACTCAATAAGAAACACATTTACTTAAAACATAAATGTCACATTTATTTTTAAAAAAAGAAATGTAATAAGCAAACAAGATATTTGTGCTCACTCAGTATTTCCTGTCACTATATTCCAACCTAATTGAATTGCCAATTATCATCTGAATTTTTCTCAGTGATTATCAAAATAGCTAATTCAAAGTAGGTTGATGACTTGTGTTATAAGTCTGACATGTACTGATATGTTAATCTTCACTATACGGATCTTTCTAACACAATTACCAAACACATAGGCCGTGACAGGCTCCCAACTAAATCACTCTAGACATATGCTATCATCATGTGCTTGTATCTGTTTGCCTTGGATATTTAAACTCTCTTTAAAAGTTGTAAGACCACATATGCAAATAGTTGAATTAATCTAACCTCAGGTTATTCACTCTCATTTGTCCCTGCAAAAGCCCTTGATATTCATTTTCAATCCTAGACCCAATTCCCATCCCCTTCCATACATAGACACCTACTTTGCTCTACTTAAAATAAGACATACCTTTATATATATAATAAATATCATCTGAAGGTATAGTATTGAATTATATTTTATTTTCAAAACCAGTATTTTTATGAATCATATTTTAACATAAAATTAAATTTTACCCTTTTTATTTTTCTGTACACAACCAGTTATTTGTGTTTGCCTGCATCACAGCATTCCATTTTACATACCCAGCACACTTTACTTTTATTCATACTCCCACTGATAGACCTTATATCTAAATTTCTGCCACCCCTCTTATTGGTATCATGAATATATTAATATCTGTTCCTAAAATGATCTGTTACTAAATTTAAGCATATAAATACAATTTTGAGATAGTAAGTACGTAGAGAATTTACATTAATGTCAAAGTCATCTGCTCATAACAGGAAAGGGAAAGTGTTGTCAAATATCCATATCATTGTGATTATTTGGTATTACCAAAATTTTACTTCTTTTAATCCTAACAGGCTAAGGTGCTATGTTAGTGTTGCTCATATTTGTGTTGCTTATTACTCTAAGAATATTGTCAGACATCTTTTATACCTGTTTACCTTTTACATACTGGCCATTTACATCCTTTGAACATTTTTCTAATATATTTACTATTTTTCTTAGTTTTTTTCAGGATTAAAATATATTATGTTAATGTATAATTAGTTTTAGAAATTGCAAATATTCTCTTTCAGACTTGTATAGAATTGTGTTTTCTTTTCATGTCAAAGTAGTTGACATTTTTCCCTACAGGTTTTAGTTTGTTCATCATTAATAAATTTATTGACTTTATATTTTTAAACAGGCCCAAATTTAGGCATTTAGGGTACAGAAATTAAAAATAATAAAAACTAATTAACTAACAAACTAAATAAATACTAGAAAATCACTTTTCTCAATGGAGCTTACCTATTTTTGAGGATATGGACAATCATCAAACACATTAACTTAAAGTATGTAAGGTGATTATAAGTGCAATGAGAACAAAATATTCACAGGAAACATATACAGCATGATAGTGATGTGTGATAATTTATAAAGGAAGGTGAAAAAAGTTATATTTGAACAGAAAGCTAAAAGAGTAGAGAATAACCTCCATGTGGTTATTTAGGAAAAAATAATTTCAGGCGAAAGGAAAAGAAGAAACAAAACTCACAGTTTTGAATTTTTTTTTACAAATACATTATTTGAGTAAATCATTGTAATAGAGGATCCAGAGTTCTTGGATATTTCTACTTTAACAGCACCTTGTGTTTATTCCTAAAACTTTAAATCACGTATCTTAATAGCTAGTATTATACATTCTCCATTTCGTCCTTTATTTTTAAAAAGTCTCAATATCAGCTATTCATTTCCATATAAGTTTATCACATTTTACTTTAGATTTCAAATTTCTAAATACTAAATAAATATTTTAATTTATGAGATGGAACTTGTTATAATATGATGTTGCAACATTTCCCTGGTACCAAAATTGGAAAAAAAAGTTATTAAAAAAATAAAACTACAGATCAATGTTCCTTATGAATGTATATGCAAAAATCCTCAACAAAATATTTGCAAATCAATCCAATAATTTAAGAAAAGGACAAGACATTACAACCAAGTGTGTTTTATTTTAAAAATGCAAGGTTGATTTAACATTTGAAAACCAATCAGTGCAATTCATTATATGTCTTAGTCCATTTGCATTGCTTAAACAAAATACCTAAGACCGATCAGCTTACTAACAAAGTAAATTTATTTCTCACAGCTCTGGTGGCTGAGAAGTATATGATCAAACATCAGCATATTCGGTGTCTGGTGAAGGCTTATTTTCTCATAGATGACACCTTTGCACTGTTACTCACATGTTGCAAAGGATAAATGGGCTCCTTTCAGCGTATTTTATTAGGGCACTAATACTATGCATGAGGGCTCCGTGCTCCTGACCTAATAACCTCTCATAAAGTCCCATTTCCCAATACCATGACATTAAGGCTTAGGTCCTAACGTATGAAACTTAGGAGACACAAACATTCAGACTACACCACCAAGTCAACACACTAAGGAAGAATAACCATATAATCATCTCCACAGATACAAAAGTGCATTGCGGAAAGTAAATTTAGCAAATTTTTACATCGTCATATAAACACACGCACACACAGAGACAGGCTGACTCTCAGCAAACTGAGAAGAAAGTAGTACTTCCTCTACTTGACAAAGGTTGAGAAACTCACATTAAGCTTATGTCTAAAATATTTAATGTAGAAAGACTAAAAGGTTTTCTCTTATACAGGGAACAAAGACATATCTATTTACTATTGTACTGAAGGCCCTAGTCAGTGCAATAGGATAAGAAAAATCAATAAATGTCATACAGATTTTTTAAAAATAATAAAGCTGTCTCTATTTGCATATTATTTGTCTATCTAAAATAAATATCAAAAATGACAAAAATGTTATCAAGACTAATAATAAGTTTAGCAGTTTGCAGGATACAAAGTAAATATATAAAATTATATTTACAAAATTGAATTTGTTTTTGTAATTATATGGGGATATATATTTTATATATTATGTTTGTAACATATGTATGAAAATATGTAACAGTAATATTAAAATATTTATAGGCAAGAAAGATATAGTCAAAAGTACTAAACATAGATGAAATAAATCAAAATAAACTTAGAGAAATATACTATTTTCATAGTTTTAAACACTCAATATTTAAAAAAATCAATTTGCTCTGATTTGCCTATATATTCCACACAACTCCAATCACATTTCTAGCAGGAATTTCTAGAAATTAGCAAACAGATTCTAAAACTTATATTCAAAAGTAAAGCAACAAAAAACAGTAAAACAATTTTCAAAAAAATAAAGAAAAAAGCTGGAAGGCACTTTTCTTTATTTAAGAGTGAACTCTAAACTTGCAGTAATCAAACACTGTGGTACCAGCAAAAGACTAGACATAGAACAAATGAACAGAAAAGAGTCTAGAAATAAAAGTACACATATTTGGCCAATTGATTTTCAACAAAGATACCTAGGCAAATCCATTAATAAATAAATTCTTCTAAATAAATAATGATAGGATATTTGGATATCCACATTAAAAAAAAAGCTTGACTTTTTTGTATTATTTAGTTTATAATTTATTACATGATATATGTAAATTAATTCTAAATAGATCATAAATCTAAAACTAAAGGAGAGACAAGAGGAGGAGGTAGAAGAGGAAGAGGAGGAGCAGAAAATATAGGAGAAATATTTAGCAATGTGACTTTGGAATAGACAAAGCATAGCTTAGATATGACACCAAATGCATACTCCATGGAAGAAAATTTGATAAACTGAACTTAATAAACCATTTGGTCTTAAAATGACATTCTTAAGAAATTGAAAAGACATCATATATTGAGGATATATTTATAATATATATATCTGATAAACCATTTATCTTTTGAATATATGAAAACTTCTTAAACCTTCAATTTTGAGAAATAACATAATTTTTACAAATCAACAAAACATTTAAATAGACAAATCACCAAGAATTATATCGGTGGCAAATAAACACATATGAGGGAACTAAACATCACTGGTCACTGGAGAAATGCAAATTAAAACTACAATGTGATATCACTACACACCTATTATAGTGCCTTGAATACAAAATAATAGTAGTAATGGCAGTAGTAGTAGTAGTAAAATACTAAGTACTAGTACAGATGCTTAGAAATTGAACTACCTTGCATCGCTGGTGGACATGCAAAATGGTGCCGGCACTTAGGCAAATAGTCTAGCAGTTTCTAGGAGACATAATCATAAACTTACCATGCTACCCAGTAATTCCACATCTATATATTTGCCCAAAAGAAATAAAAATTTATGTTAACACAAAAACCTGTACACTAGTATTTATAGAGGACTTGTTATGTAATATCAAAACTAGAAATGATTTTATTTTATCCTATTGCAATAATATAATCACCCAAATTTGGGAGCTGATATGATGCTACCCTTCCATCTTCACCTGACATTGATATGACTTTTCTAATTTGCTAGTATTTGATAAATGTGAGATAAATAGTGGATCAAGGAAATGAAGATAAAAGAAAATAACTCCAACTAGAAAATTACCTTAGAGCATAGGTATTAGTTTAGGACTTCTGCTTTTTTTCTTTTTATTTCTAGGCTGACATTCACCTGGCCTCAGTCTCACACACATGCACACGCACGCACACGCACACACACACATTCTTCACCTCTCTTCTCACTATTTACTGTAATAGCTACTGAATCTTATCTAGGTTTGACTTTTGCACTTAAATGTCTGAGAATATGTTTTTAATACCTTAAAAATGACAATTGACCAGTAGATTGTAAATGTGGAGTAGTCTGCAAACCTGGAAACATATTTGCATAGAACGACTAAAGTTTTAGCCCTGAATTTATCCATATAACTCCATCATGTAGGGATATTAATATAAATAAGTAAGAAGATGCATTTAAGGTCACATTATCAACTATCAAATTATTAGTGATACTATGAACTGGGACTTTTTAAACATTACATATATAATGAATACATTTGAATTTGCTTTTCAACATAAATACTACAAGAAAATAATTTTATGAATGCCTTAATCTAGAAAGTGTATTTTATGTGACAGATTTATGACAGCCAAAATAGGGACTGAAGCAATGAAGCAATATGTGCTTCACATGTATGTAGTATGTCACCTTTCTTCTTTAAAGGAGATGTAAAGACTATTCTAAGAACTGGTATGCAAATATCTTCTATACTATCCTCGGTTGCCACAAATTCATGCAAGAAGTGCACAAAGACATACAACACAATCAAACAATTTAGAATTCTAACTTTTATTTCTAAAGTCTTAGGTGGATTTTCTGCCTTAGATGAACCTTAGAGCTTAAAGATCCCTTCTATCATACAGCAGAGCCTAATAAACCCTTTGACTGCTCCTCTTAGAGCACACTGTTTAATATTTTGACTCTATATCTTAATACTCCACTAAGATAGAAGCAAAGAAAGGGAGTTACAAGGCAAAACCTTCCAAAAAAAATCATTTTCTCTAAATCCCAGAAAAAACCTCCTTGATATCTCTGCAGCCAGGGCGTCCTAAGGCAATGATTTAGGTGGTAGCTACGGGGCAATTTTACAACTAAGGCATTATTGAAGGAATCAATTCCAATATTTTACATAGACTCAATCATTGGAAAATCCTCTTTCTACAAATCAGAAGCTATGTCCTTCGTTTAATAATATATTTGACTCTGATCAAATTACTTTCAGTTCTTCTTCTTAGTGATACAATTATTTGGGGCAATGTGTAACTGAAAAAAGATGCAAAGCACTTGGTTTCTAAACGTCTGCTAATGGACAAAGATTATATTATGAGGTGCAAAATTAAATTCACTCTGCATATGGACAAAGTTCAGTATATTCACTGAGGGAATTTATTGACTACCTTAGTTGTTTTTGTTTGTTTGTTTTTGTTTTTTGTTTTTTGAGACAGAGTCTTGCTCTGTCGCCCAGGCTGGAGTGCAGTGGCGCGATCTCGGTTCACTGCAAGCTCCGCCTCCCGGGTTCACGCCATTCTCGTGCCTCAGCCTCTGGAGTAGCTGGGACAACAGGCGCCCGCCACCACGCCCGGCTAATTTTTTGTAGTTTTTTTAGTACAGACGGGGTTTCACCGCGTTGGCCAGGATGGTCTCGATCTCCTGACCTCGTGATCCGCCCGCCTGGGCCTCCCAAAATGCTGGGATTACAGGCGTGAGCCACCACGCCCGGCCTACTACCTTAGTTTTATCAACTAGTACTACATGACAGAAATTGCACCTTGGAGTGTCTTAATTCTCACTATCCTAAAAGATCTTATTTTAGTAATAGCCACAAGTAAAGACTTTACAATTATGAATTCCTAATTATTTGAAAAAGCATTTAGCAAGTATTTTTTAAATATAATCTTATGCTTAAATTAAATTGACACCATAAATATTTAGGGATATATCAAGAGTAGATTTTTATATGTCAAAGGTAGATATTGTTTTCTATTCAGACGGCCCCATTTTCTTTCTTCTGTTGTCCTACTTATTTGGCAAGGATGCCACTTTTAATTGGACTAATGGCTCAAAGCCACAAATTTAAATTATTTGAATTAAATCCTGTGCTTGCACTTGTTCTTCTGGCAGTTGATTCTTATCACCCCAGGAATGGTCTTGGAAATTTTTATCTATTAGGCTAAATGTTGAGCGTGGAAAAAGTTATAAAAATATCCATAGATTGCTCAAGGAAAAAAGATAGAAATATCGATAGCAGAAGGGCAAAGGAATTATGCTCATGATTCACTAATATAAGGTATATTTTTAGTAGATGAAATGTGATTTAAATATATTTCCTAAACAAATATTAGATCTGTTTTCTCATCATGGTTAGTTAGAAATAAAAGCAAGAAATAAAAGCAACAAAATTATAAAGTGTGGTAGACAGAGGTAACCAATTTTTTTCAGGGTTTTAAAAATATGTGTGTATGTATATGTATATATTGTATATGTATATGTATATATGTATATATACACATATTTTAGAAACTAAAAGTTTCTGTAAAGTTCTTTTCTAAATGGCACTTTATAGTTTCTCAGAAAACCATGTTGAGTGAGAAGCTTTCTCTATATCTCTGTGTCCCTCAATCTTCACTTTGTTGGCTTCCAGGAGCTTCTTTTCATCTTGGCTCTTAAAGTATCTGCTACTGTGATCTCCTCCATTATTTTTCCTCATTAATTTAATTTTACAGAAAATAAAGTGTAGGTTCAGAAATTAAATACTTCAACTAAAAGACGAATTCCATTAAAATTATAGTCCTTGCTCATTTTCAAGTGTTTGTAAAGTCACCTAGTACCATCATACACATTTTTCTTTGGATGTTTTCCCTTCGAGGCTTCATATTATATGTGACCCAGAATAAATGAATTGTTTCCCTTAACAAGTATCTATCAGCATTTTTCTGTGTATATTATAAGGTCTTATAGGTACACTTTAATGTTCTTAGAGGTAAAAAACAAAAATCAACTGTATTTTACTTAAGCAAAAAATACACTTATCTGATGGATTTCTGTGTGCCCATACAATTAGCTGAAGGAATGGACTGTGGTGAAGGAATGAACTGTGGTAAAGAAAGAACTGAGAGAAGATACAATCAGGATTCTCTTCAGTTGTAGATTACATGGGTCTCTCCTACATATTTCATCACTGGAATTTGACACAAATGCACTCATGATTCTGAGATAGTGACTGGGCATAACATCTTATTGTAAAATACTCTTTGAAATTTCATCAATAAATATAATAAAGAAACAGAGAGAACAAATTTGCCAGTATCAGAAATTAGGAATGAGAGAGAGTATATAAGTAAGACCCCTCAGACATTAATACAATAATTATGATAATTATGAAACAATATGAATGAATTTACTTGCATTCATTTGACAACTTAGACGAAATGAACCAATTCTTCAGATAAATACTGCCAAAACTCACTCAGGATGAAAAAGATTATATGAATAGTACTATAACAATTAAGATATTAACTCTGTAATTTAAAACGCTTTCAAAAAACATCTCCAGGTCCACATGGTTTTACTGGAAAATTATACAGATTTTAAAGAACAATAAACACAAATTCTACCAAACTTCTCACAGAAATTAGAAGAGGAGGCAAAACTCTTTGACTTTTATGAGGCCACTATTAATTGTAATACCAAAACCAGTACAAAAAAAATTACACATCAGTATAGTACATGAACATGAATACAAAAATCCTCAACAAAGCAAATAACAAAGTTGTATACACCAAAATATGTGTATGTGCACACATATGAATGTATATACACCACATCCGAACCAAGTGGAGTCTATTCAGAAACAAAAGTCTTATTTAAAATTGAAATGTCCATCAATGTCAGATTGATCATTTGACAAATTCCAAGATATACTCCTATTAAACTCTTAGTAAAGTAGGCATAGAATGTAAATCCTTCAACCTGATAAAGAACACCAAGGAAGAACCTAGATCTAATATTACACTTGACAGTGAAATATTGAATGACACCTCTAGGAGAATAGGGATTTAAGAGTAAAAGGAAAAATAATCTGAAAAGCAGCAACTTTTAATTGACTGCCATAAGAAAAAAGTTCATATGGGAAACCAAGAAATAATATTTTGAGGTATGTTCCTTTAATGCTTAGCTTTTTGAGAGTTTTTATCATAAAGGACATTGGATTTTATCTAAGACTTTTTCCACATCTATTGAGATGATCATATGTTTTTTATTTTTATATCTGTTTATGTGGTGAATTATATTTATTGATTTTTGTATGTTGAACTAAATTTGCAACCCAAGAGTGAAGCCTACTTGATCATGGTGAATTAACTCTTTGATGTGCTGCTGGATTCAGTTTGCTAGTATTTTGTTGAGAATTTTTGCATTTTTGTTCATCAGCGACATTGGCCTGAACATAGTTTTCTTTATTTTGTTGTGTCTTTGCCAGGTTTTGGTGGCAGAGTGATGCAGTGATGCTTGGTTCATAGAATAAGTTAGGGAGGAGTCCCTTCTTGATTTTTTGGAATTGTTTCAGCAGAATTGCTACCAGCTCTTCTTTGTGTGACTGGTAGAATTTAACTGTGAATCCATGTGATCTGGGGCTTTTGTTGGTTGGTGGGTTTTTTATTACTGCTTCAGTTCCAAAACTCAATATTGGTCTGTTCAAGGTTTTAGTTTCTTCCTGACTTAATTTCAGGAGGTTGTATATTTCTGGGAATTTATTCATTTCCTTCAGATTTTCCAGTTTGTGTGCATAGAAGTGGTCATAATTGTCACTGAAGATCTTTTGTATTAAATGTTTCTGTGGGATTGATTGTAATTTCATCTTTTTCATTTCTGTTTGTGCTCATTTTGATTTTCTCTTTTTTTTTGCTTCATTAATCTATCTGCCAATCTATCAATATTTTTTATCCTTTCAGAGAACAAAGTTGATTTTGATGATTCTTTATATGGAATTTTTGGTCTAAATTTTGTTTAATTCTGTTCTGGTTTTATTCATTTTATTTATTCTGTGATATGTCAGGTTAGTTCATTCTTGTTTTTATAGTTCCTCTAGATAATGATGTCAGATTGTTAATTTGAGATCTTTCTAACTTTTTGAAATAGTCATTTAACATGAGAACCTTTCCTCTTAACACTGTTTATGCTGGCTAAATCTGGTTAATTTTGAACATCAAAATAAATGAAAGTAAGACATTGTAACTTATTGGATAAATGAAGAATTCATGAGTCTATTCCATTATAAATATATAAATTAGTAATAAATACCTGAGGTGAATGATAAACTCTGTTTCACTATAAAATGCCAACTAATACATGTAGAATAAATGATGGAAATAAACAATTAGCATTTCACAAACATCATAAGGTGGTTCGGGAAATAGTTTTTAAAAGATGCCAATGCACATATGTGGAGTTTGGATGAAAATCAGAAAGTGGGACTTTAAATGTGATAATTTGATTTTAAAGCCTTAATGCTATATACATATTATAAGGATAAAAACAAAGTATTTATAGTTAAATATATTTTGTTGTAGCTAGAATTGGTAATTTAAGGTTTTGTGTTTGCATTATGGGGTAAAGCAAATATGATATTCTAATTTCATTATTTTTCATGTAGTTGCAAATTGAGATGCTCCGGGAGAGAAAAAAAAATGTGTGATATAAGAGGATAAGCCTTTGTAGTCTTGAATCTTAATAGAAAGTTTAATATAAATATATAATGTGTGCTCTCTTTAAGAATAAAAAAGTTATTTAACTATTTATTCGATCTAGTCCACTGATAAGGGCTAGCACAACCAACTCGGTAGCAATAAACATGTGACCCAGAGTCTGTTTTCTAAATACCATTTTCCTTTAATATTTTGACATATTAAACAGCAAAGAAACAAGGAAGAATGCAAAAATCATGCCAAAAGGACTCAGGAACCAAGTTGCAGATAGTTACACTTTCCAAAGATGGAAAAATCTCGACATTGATAAGTGTAATATTTGCAGTGGATTGACACACATCAAATACGTTTAAAATACGTGAGTCATAGTTACACAGCAAAAAGGGAAATTAATAGAGGAGGTTTGTGAATCAGAACATTATGTTGAATACTGGTAAATAGAGTAAGTATTCTGCCTTTTCTATGTAAGCTATGATATTAGATAACCAATAATAGATGAGGAAATATTTCTCTTTCCAAAAACATTCCAGCTAGTGAAGTGGGAAAGATTGACAGAATTATAGTCAACTTTGAGACACTGGAATAAATTAATGGACCTAAGCATTGATCATCAACGATCACTAACTTCACAAAAAGAGAGGTAACTAGATAGCATGTACTCCAGGATAGAAGTGTACTCTCCACTGCCTATTAAGGATACTTGAAAAAAAAAGAAAAAAAGAAAGAAAAAAAAAAAAGCAAATCCAAATCTGATCAGCCTCTAGAGCCAATGACCACATTTCAAAAAATACAGAGACAATGCCACAGGGATATAGTTAGCAAAATTCAGTCTGTGAGAAGTACTAGAGGTCAAATGATCCAGTTTCTTCAACAAATGAATTGCAGAAAAAAAAAAACAAATGTAGGCGGCACTTCTGAATTAAAAGAGACATAAGAGTCTTACAAATTGAAATGTGTAGAACATGTTTGAATATTCATTCAAACAAACTGAAGATGAAATTGAACCTGATGTGATAATTGAAATTTAAAACATTGAGTAGATATTTGAATTTATGCCTATTTTTAAGAGTGTTTATCTGATAGTAAAACATACTTAAATACTATGGGCAGAAATGATATGGATAATGGGAATTTTCTTAAAATAATAGGTACGTATTTGAAATAAAACCAGCAGGATTAATAATTACGGAAGCTGTGTGATGAGTATATGGGGTCCACCATGCCATTCTACATACTTTTGAATAGGTTGAAGTTTTTCTATAACAAAAAGTTAAAAATAATCAGAGAAATATCTTGAGTTTCCCACACTAATATAAGATTCATCATTCCATGACTCTTTCATTTTTCTCATAATAATCTTCTTTTCTACTTTTCAGTGTTAAACTGTTATCTAGCACATCTAGTGACATATATATATATATAATATTTCTACCTTTAAAAGTTCTGTTTTGATATATTTTCAAACATATATCTTTTCATTCTTTCATTCCTTTTATTTTATTTTTAACTACAACTTTTTAGAAACCCTCCTCATTAGTTATTATTTTATATTGTATATATTTCAACATCTGAAGTCCCAGGGTACTCAATCTATTATTTGGTATTTTTACTCAGTATTGCTCCTAGTGGATTGTCTCTTCATGTGTTTGATTTTTTTAAAATTAAGAACTTACATTAATTGTGATTAAGCAAAATATCAGTAACACTATCCTCATTTTTTATTGATGCTCTCCTTAAAGGTTGAGGTTTTCTGTGCCACACTTTAACAGATGATATTGGCCCTTCTATTGCTTTCTTTTCATTGTGTGTCTTAGATCTAAATATCTTCTCCATTGCTTTGAAATCTTTATTTTCCAAAGCTTTGGTTCCAGCCATCGGCATTTGTCCCCATTTCATCCAACCTCCTTGATCTCTTCTTGCTCTGGTTTCAGCTTGATCTTACATTATGTTGAGATTTCAGATAAAGTAAAAATGTACTTAGAGGTGTGATGGTTTTAATTCATCAAGAGTAAGTTTGTATTTCTGTAGGGTCAAAGGGCCTTCAAAGCTACACCATCTCACTGCCAGAAGTAAAACAAAGTCTTAATATTTTAATATTTCTTTTTAATTAACAAAGTTCCTATGTTCACTATTAAAACTACAGATTAAAAAAGATACATTTAATTCAACATCGTATACATTATATGTCTGAAAAACATAAATGCATATAAAAAGAAAATTGTTATTAAGTGTAATATTTGCAATGGATTGACACAGATCAAATATGTTTAAAATACATGAGTCATATTTATACAGCAAAAAGGGAGGTTTGTGAATCAGAACATTATGCTGATTACTGGTAAATAGAGTAAGTATTCTGCCTTTTCTATATAAGCTATGATATTAGATAACCGATAGACTATTATGTTTTATTTTAAGAAAAATCTAAAATTATTATGTTTTTAAAATAGAAAATGCATAAATGCCTTTCGTAAGACAATTTTTATTGGAATCTTACCACTTATTCTCTATATTAACAAAATATTTAAAGTATACTTCTTTAAGGCATGATATTTTTTTCAGAATTCTTGACTGTTATGTATTTATTGTTGTTGCTTCAGAAAATGCTTGCTTCCACAGAGACATTGAGGCCAATAGTCAGAATTGCTGAATAATTCAAATTGAAATAGAAAATAAAATTCAATACGATGATATTATGTGATAGATTTTCAATAGGTTACTAGTAAAATCTTGTTTTCTTTTTATCCATTCTTTCCATTGTTGATAAAGTGGCAATTTAAAAAGTGTAAGTATAAAAATTCTAGAAGATAACATTGGAAAAACCCTTCTGGACATTGGCTTAGGCAGGGATTTCATGACCAAAATCCCAAAAGCAAATGAAATAAAAACAAAGATAAATAGGTGGGACCTAGTTAAACTAAAGAGCTTTTGCACAGCAAAAGGAACAGTGAGCAGAGTAAACAGACAACCCACAGAGTGGGAGAAAATCTTTACAATCTATATATCCAACAAAGGACTAAATATCCAGAATCTACAGCAAATTCAAACAAATCAATAAGAGTAAAACAATCCCATCAAAAAGTAGGCTGAGGGCATGAATAGAAAATTTTCAAAAGAAGATATACAAATGGCCAACAAACATATGAAAAAAATGTTCAACATCACTAATGACTGGGGAAATGAAAAGTCAAAACCACAATGTTATACCAAGTCACTCCTGTAAGAACAGCCATAATCAAAAAACCAAAAAACAGTAGATGTTGGTGTGGAGGCAATGAACAGGGAACACTTCTACACTGCTGGTGGAAATGTAAACAAGTACAGCCACTATGGAAAACAGTACAGTGATTCCTTAAAGAATTAAAAGTAGAGCTACCATTTGATCCAGCAATCCCACCACTGGCTATCTACACAGAGAAAAAGAAGTCATTATTCAAAAAAGACACTTGCATACCTCTGTTTATAACAGCACAATTCACAGCTGCAAAATCATGGAACCAACCCAAATGCCCATCAATGAGTGGATAAATAAACTGTGATATATACATATATATGTATCATATATACAATAGAACATATATATAAAAGAACATAGAATATATTACATAGAATATAGATAATATATTCTATATTATATTACATACAATATACATAATATATTCTATATTATATTACATACAATATACATAATATATTCTATATTATATTACATAGAATATACATAATATATTCTATATTATATTACATAGAATATACATAATATATTCTATATTATATAGAATATACATAATATATTCTATATTATATAGAATATACATAATATATTCTATATTATATAGAATATACATAATATATTCTATATTATATAGAATATACATAATATATTCTATATTACATAGAATATATATAATATATTCTATATTATATAGAATATACATAATATATTCTATATTACATAGAATATATATGATATTTTACATTGCATTACATAGAACATATACAACGTATTCTACATTGCATTACATAAAATATATACAAAGTATTCTACATTGCATTACATAGAACATGTACAATGTATTCTACATTGCATTACGTAGAACATATACAATGTATTCTACATTGCATTACGTAGAACATATACAATGTATTCTACATTGCATTACATAGAACATATACAATGTATTCTACATTGCATTACATAGAACATATACAATGTATTCTACATTGCATTACATTGAATATATACAATGTAATCAACATTGCATTACATTGAACCTACACAATGTATTCTACCTTGCATTACATAGAACATATACAATGTATTCTACATTGCATTACATAGAACATATACAATGTATTCTACCTTGCATTACATAGAACATATACAATGTATTCTACCTTGCATTACATGGAATATATACAATGTATTCTACCTTGCATTACATGGAATATATACAATGTATTCTACCTTGCATTACATGGAATATATACAATGTATTCTACCTTGCATTACATGGAATATATACAATGTACTCTACCTTGCATTACATGGAATATACACAATGTACTGTACCTTGCATTACTTGGAATATATACAATGCATTCTACCTTGCATTACATGGAATATATACAATGTATTCTACCTTGCATTACATGGAATATATAAAATGTATTCTACCTTGCATTACATGGAATATATACAATGTATTCTACCTTGCATTACATAGAATATATACAATGTATTCTACCTTGCATTATAGGGAATATATACAATGTATTCTACCTTGCATTATAGGGAATATATACAATGTATCCTACCTTGCATTATAGGGAATATATACAATGTATCCTACCTTGCATTATAGGGAATATATACAATGTATTCTACCTTGCATTACATGGAATATATACAATGTATTCTACCTTGCATTACATAGAATATATACAATGTATTCTACCTTGCATTATAAGGAATATATACAATGTATTCTACCTTGCATTATACGGAATATATACAATGTATTCTACATTGCATTATACGGAATACATACAATGTATTCTACATTGCATTATACGGAATATATACAAGGTATTCTACATTGCATTATACGGAATATATAGGATATATTCTACATTGCATTATACGGAATATATACGATATATTCTACATTGTACTATACGGAATATATACGATATATTCTACATTGTATTATACGGAATATATACGATATATTCTACATTGTATTATACGGAATATATACAATATATTGTATATTGTATTATACGGAATATATAAAATATATTCTATATTGTATTATATAGAATATATACGATATATTCTACATTGTATTATACGGAATATATACAATATATTGTATATTGTATTATACGGAATATATAAAATATATTCTATATTATATTATATAGAGTATATTATAATATACTCTATACTATATAGTATAGAGTATATTATTATATACTCTATATAACATAACATAGAGTATATAATAATATACTCTATATTATATTATATAGAATATATAATATACTCTATATTATAATATTTAGAATATATATAATATACTCTATATTATAATATTTAGAATATATATAATATACTCTATATTATATTATATAGAATATAAATAATATACTCTATTATATTATATAGAATATATATAATATACTCTATATTATATTGAATATATATAATATACTCTATATTATATTATATAGAATATATATAATATACCCTATATTACATTATATAGAATATATATAATATACCCTATATTATATTATATAGAATACATATAATATACCCTATATTATATTATATAGATTATATAGTATACTCTATATTATATAGATTATATAATATACTCTATATTATATAGATTATATAATATACTCTATGTTATATAGATTATATAATATACTCTATGTTATATAGATTATATAATATACTCCATGTTATATAGATTATATAATATACTCTATATTTATATAATATACTCCATATTTTATAGATTATATAATATACTCTATATTATATTATATAGATTATATAATATACTCTATATTATATTATATAGATTATATAATATACTCTATATTATATTATATAGATTATATAATATACTCTATATTATATTACATAGATTATATAATATAGTATACATTATATTACATAGAATATATAATATACTCTACATTATAGTATATAGAATATATATAATATACTCTACATGATAGTATATAGAATATTTATAATATACTCTACATTATAGTATATAGAATGTATATAATATACCCTACATTATAGTATATGGAATATATATAATATACTCTACATTATAGTATATGGAATATATATAATATACTCTACATTATAGTATATGGAATATATATAATATACTCTATATTATAGTATATGGAACATATATAATATACTCTACATTATAGTATATAGAATATACGTAATATCCTCCATATTATATTATATAGAATATACGTAATATACTCCTTATTATATTATATAGAATATAAGTAATATACTCCATATTATATTATACAGAATATACGTAATATGCTCCATATTATATTATACAGAATATACGTAATATGCTCCATATTATATTATAAAGAATATACGTAATATACTCCATATTATATTATATAGAATGTACGTAATTTACTCCATATATTATATAGAATATATATAATATATATAGAATTATATATAGAATTCTATATATAATATAGAATAAATTCTCTATATATTCTTTAATATATATTTATCTATATATATTCTCTATATAATATATATTCTATATATATTCTCTATATAATATATATTCTATATATATTCTCTATATAATATAAATTATATATATATTCTATAATATATATTTTTCTATATATATTCTTTATATAATGTATACTCTCTATATATTCTATATATAATATACATTCTACATACATTCTATATATAATATACATTCTACATATATTCTATATATAATATACACTCTATATATATTCCATATATAATATACATTCCATAAATATTCTATATATAATATACATTCTGTATATAGTCTATATATTATATGCATTCTATATATATTCTATATATTATATGCATTCTATATATATTCTATATATTCTATATATAATCTATATTCTATATATATTTTATATATTCTGTATATAATCTATATTCTATATATTCTATATATTCTGTATATAATCTATATACTATATATTCTATATATTCTGTATATAATCTATATTCTATATATATTCTATATATTCTGTATATAATCTATATTCTATATATATTCTATATATATTCTATATTCTAACTATATTGTATATATATTCTATATATATTCTATATATATTCTATATATAATCTATATTCTATACATATTCTTTATATGTTATATACTCTATATA